>NC_000013.11:94131766-94434797 GCF_000001405.40 Homo sapiens | reverse complement strand
ATTATTATTTTTTGAGATGGAGTCTCACTCTGTTGCCCAGGCTGGAGTGCAGCGGCGAGATCTTGACTCACTGCAGGCTCCACCTCCTGAGTTCGAGCGATTCTCCAGCCTCAGCCTCCTGAGTAGCTGGGACTACAGGTGCACACCACCATGCCATGCTAATTTTTGTACTTTAAGTAGAGATGGGGTTTTGCCATGTTGGCCAGGCTGGTCTCCAGCTCTCGACCTCAGGTGATCCACTTGCCTGGACCTCCCGAAGTGCTGGAAATATAGGCGTGAGCCACCGTGCCCCACCCTGATATTATTATTTAATAATACTACTTAAGGTTTCATTTCCAGTATTTTTATTTGTTTTTTCAAATAGCAAGATTTGTCTTGATCATTGCCACTAATCAGTTTTTCCTTCCTAAAATTATTTTTGTATTTTGAGTCTTGCATTTCATGTCAAGGAGGTGTGCACAGCAGAGACATGTATGTCTTGGTGCTTTAAGTCATTAGGCTCATTTGTACGAGCAAATGACTGGTCTCGAAAACAGAAGCGTAATCTCTATAATAATCCGTGCAGTTAGCTATTGCTTCTTTTTCTCTTCTTCAACTGTGGCAAGCACACAACTTTCAGGCTTTCCTAGCTTGAAGTCTGATTTGAGCTGCCCATTTTCTTTTCATTTTAGGCATTTTACAATTCCGAGACGTGTAGCATTTTTATAAACTCAAGGTCATTTTCTTTCTTTCTGTGCATATCTCTCCTCACTGATGTCCTCTTATCAAGATGCAGGCTTCTTTGTGTTTTTAACATTTTTACTTGAGATATTTCCAACGCTTTGATTCCGTGCTGACTCTAAATCGTTTGCTGTCAGCTACACTTAGTGCAGATCTGGTGCGTCTCGGCCGCCGCTCAGTCCACCGAGCTCTTGACAGCATTATCGGGCCTCTCCAACAATCAAAGGGCTCTTGCAACCCAGTAACATGCAAATTTGTTCTTTATCTGCTTCAGTCTGTCGCAGCGCACATTTTGCAGCTTAGCTGCACAAAAGCAGGCGTGATGAAAATCATTCTGAAGTTGACGCTGGGAGTAATGGGTATAAATTCATTGTTTTTAAGCAACCGCTACTCACAACATGCAATTACAGTGAACTCACCTTGCAACTAGATGGCTGCCTTAGAGCTGGTTTCCCCTTGCTGGAGAGATGATGCAATTGAGCGGCTTTTATCACAGGGCAATCTGCTCACCCTTGCTGTACTTGTCAGCAGGTAATCCCCCTGCTGCTCTCTGGGTTTGCCCAGGCTTCTGGGTGTGTGCTTATCTATACACAGTCCCAGGAGAAAACAAATCCTCCTCTAGGTGCGGCAGCTCCTTCCCTTTTTATGTCTGTCAGCTTACCCGACTAGAACTTGTTCCTTTCCAATGAACACTAAAAATGCCACCAGGAAATATTAATCTCAAAAAGCCCACTATATTTTTTTCTACTTGAACCACCAATAAGTGACTTGACCTCCCTGTAAGAAATCTCTGGAAGTCTAAGATAAGGGTTCTTGGCTCCCATGAATAACATGGTCTTTCCTGAGCCCAGTGACAAGTTAGTTTCAACACACTCTGGCGTAATTGTAATTTTCTCTGTAGAAGCGAGCACTGAGTCTGTGGTCAGGGAGGGCTCTCAAGGGATATTTTCAATGATAAAGGGGCACTTTGGGAATAAAATATGAACAGGCCTCAGCCGACGTGGAAGTGAAACATGTTAGGAGAGAGTTTTTTCTTTTTCCTTTTCCTTTTCATTTCTTTTTTTCTTTTTTTCGTGTAAGAGAAACATAACATAAAATTTGCCATCTGAACCTTTTTAAAGTGTACAATTGAGTGGCATTCAGCACGTTTACAATATTCTACAACCGTTACCACCATGTTTCCAGAGCTTTTTCATCATCCCAAATAGAACTCTGTACTGTTAAAAGAAAACTTCAGACAAATTAAATTTGATGGAATTTAATTGAGCGAAAAGAAGAATTAACCGTTCGTGAATCGGGCAGCCCCCAGAATCACAGCAGATTCAGAAAGACTCCAGGGGTGCCTCGTGGTCAGAAAAAAATATAGACAAAAAAAGGAAAGCGATGTACAAGGATTGGAAGTGAGGTACAGAGATAGCTGGATTGGTTACAGGTTGGCATTTGCCTTATTTGAACACAGTTTGAACACTCAGCAGTCTATGAGTGGCTGAAGCATGGCTGCTGGAATTGGCCAACACTCAGCTATTGTTACAGGCTGCATACTCCTAAGTTAGGTTTTCAATCTTGTCTTCCTATTAAGCTAGGTTAGGTTTGTCCACAAGGACTCAAATATAGAAGTACACAGTCCTTCTCAGGCCATATTTAGTTCACTTTAACAGTACCCATTAAATGGTAACTCCCTCCCTATGCCTCCTCCCACCAGCCTCTGGCAACCTCCAACAAGGCTTTGGGAAGTTCCTTCCATCTCCATCCTGAGACCCTCAGCTCTGTGATTTGGATGGGAATCTAACTGTCTTAAACAAATTACTCTATTCCAGACCCTTGGCCATGGTGTCTCAGCCATGAATGTGAAACTGAAAGCCAAATAATGGAAAGGCACTTTTGCTGAGGGTTCTGAGAAATGAGGCCCAAAGACCAGGTCTCACCCCTGAGTCACATGATGTGAAGATGTGAAGGCTGGAAATGTAGCAGCCATCTTACCTGCTAGAGGATTTATAGTGGCCACTTATTAAAAAATTTAATTTAATTTAGAAGTAGCCACTTAAAAAAATTAATTTAGACCAGTTTGAGTTGGGGGTTTCTCTTACAAGATAAATAATCTTAACTAATGAACTCATCTTCAGAGAATTTAAAAAGAAAATGAGGAAACAGAAGCATTGGCTTTCTTGCTTATTTATTTGTAGATACCATATTCCATGTTTTTAAGTGAGTAAAAAAATTTTTTTTTCTTTGTTCTTTAAAGATTGCAAGAAACGGAGTGATGTAGCAATTCATAGTGAAGGATGCCAGCAATATACAGAAACAGGAGCATGTAGTGGTTCAGCATGGCCTCTGGAGGCAGACAGAGAACGGGCATTTAAATTCTAGCTCAATCATTTATTTAGCATGTAATTTTTCTTTAACTTGTATTTTCTAACTGCTCTGGACTTTAGTTTCCCTGTCTGCAGAAGGATGTTGATGCCCCTCTTGTTCCATTTACACACACACAGAGGCTGTTGTTAGAATGAATTGAGTTAATCTATGTAACTTCTTCAGAACAGTGCCTGTCATTAGACGGGGTGGTTTAAACAATGGAAATGTATTTCTCACAGTTTGGAGGCTGGAAATCCAAGATCAAGGTGTCGGTAGGGTTGGTTTCTCCTGAGGCCTTTCTTCTTAGCTTGCAGGTAGTCATGCTTTTGCTGCCTCTTCAGTCTTTCCTCTGCGCATCTGCACATGCCTGGGGTCTTTTTGTGTGTCCAACTTTCCTCTTCTCACAAGGGCACTGGCCAGGTTGGATTAGGACCCATCCTAACAGCCTCATTTTAACTTACTCACCTCTTTAAAGGTCCTGGCTCCAAATATGGTTCCTTTCTGAGGTACTGGGAGTTGGGACTTGAACATATGAATTTTGGGATTCAACTTGAAACAGAGAAGTTGCTCAATAATATTTAGGTTTTTTTTGAAGTTTTAGATCTGGGGTTACACATGCTTGTTTGTTACATGAATATTACATGTGTAATGGTGAGGACTGGGCTTCTGGTGTACCCATCACCCAAATATTGAACATTGTACCCAATGGGTAACTTTTCAACTCTCCCTCCCCTTCCACTCTCCTGCTTTTGGATTCCCAGTATCTGTTATCTCCTTCTTCATGTCCATGTCTGCCCATTGTTTAGCTCCCACTTATAAGTGAGAATATATGATATTTGATCTTCTGCTTCTGAGCTCACTTAGGATAATAGTCTCCAGTTCCACCCATGTTGCTGCAAAGGACATGCTTCATTGTTTTTTTATGGCTGCATGGTATTCCATGGTGTGTAAGTACCACCTTTTCTTTTTTTTTTTTTTCGAGATAGAGTCTCGCTCTGTCACCCAGGCTGGAGTGCAGTGGCACGATCTCGGCTCACTGCAAGCTCCACCTCCTGGGTTCACGCCATTCTCCTGCCTCAGCCTCCCGAGTAGCTGGGACTACAGGAGCCTGCCACCATGCCTGGCTAGTTTTTTGTTGTTGTTGTTTTCGTATTTTTAGTAGAGACGGGGTTTCACCGTGTTAGCCAGGATGGTCTCAATCTCCTGACCTTGTGATCTGCCTGCCTCGGCCTCCCAAAATGCTGGGATTACAGGTGTGAGCCACTGCGCCTGGCCATGTACCACCTTTTCTTTATCTGACCCACCACTGGTGGACACTTAATTAGTTCCATGACTTTGCTATTGTGAATAGTGCTGTGATAAACATCTGAGTGCAGGTGTCTTTTTTATAGGCTTTCTTTTCCTTTGGGTAGATGCCGAGTAGGGAGATTGCTGGGTTGAATAGTAGTTCTATTTTTAATTCTTTGAGATATTCTCATACTGTATGTTTTCCATAGAGGTTGAACTAATTTACATTTCCACCAGCAGCATATAAGCGTTCCCTTTTCTCCACATCCAAGCCAACATCGTTGTTGTGTGGCTTTTTAATAATAGCCATTCTGCTGTAGTCTCAGCACTTTGGGAGGCCAAGGCAGGTGGATCACTTGAGGTCAGGAGTTCAAGAGCACCCTGGCCAACATGGTGAAACCCCTTTTCTACTAAAAAAAAAAAAAAAAATAGCTGGTTATGGTGGGGGGCACCTGTAAAACCAGCTACTCAGGAGGCTGAGGGAGGAGAATTGCTTGAACCTGGGAGGTGGAGGTTGCGGTGAGCTGAGATCGCACCACTGCACTCCACACCGGGTGATAGAGCGAGACTCCATCTCGAATATATATATATATATATATACATATATATATACATATATATATATACATATATATATATGTATATATATATATGTATATATATATGTATATATATATGTATATATATATGTATATATATATATGTCAATTCTGATTAGTGTAAGGTGATATCTTAGGATGGTTTTAATTTGCATTTCTCTCATGATTAGTGATGTTGAGCGTTTTTTCATGTGTTTGTTGGCTTGTTGGCTACTTGCATTTCTTCTTTTATAAATGTTGCTATTATTCGTAAAATCTTTTTGGAATACCTTTTAGGTAAATCTAGTGCAGCAGGTTAGATTTCATGGATCAAGACAAGAAATCCTGGCTTCAGAACTCAAATATAGGCTCTTCAGAGTACATAAAGATATTTGAAAAGCTAAGTGGGACTTAGCTCTGTAAGCTCATTGCTCTTTCACTCATGGCAGAAGAACCTGTGTGATTTTTTGGTGCTCAGGTGGGTCACTGAGGTACAGGTGGTTCCAGTTGGCATCAAGATCTCTCACCACTGAGTGAGAAATGAAGAAAAGGAAGAGTGACAGAGAGGGAAGCACTTCAAGGAGATCCAACCATCCTGCTAAGCCCCAAAGGGCACCATTGCCTTTTCCACTTGGTGGAGAGAGAACTGGAATGTAAATGGTGTGTGAAATGTTAAATGTGAGTGAACTTTAAGCAGTTGACATGGTGCTTCTGCTTCATTACCGATTGCATTTTTTCTGCTAGTGAAACCAGAGAAAATGTTCCCAGTTTCCAATTCTTTCTAAGAGATGAACAGCTTTAATGGCGGGCTCAGGTTGGACTTACTACAGGCATACTTTGGATAATCACAGCCTCCTGTTTTCTTGGTTTGCCTGCTGGGCTTAGCTTTGGGGTGGGAGAGAGGCAGAGGGGTTTGGGTGATTGGGAGGAAAAGAGCTGATTAGCTCCTCACTGCTCAGTCTGGAGCTTGAGCTATTTACTGCCTTACAAAACAGTCAAGAGAAATGAAGAGTCTTCTCTCTGCTCAGCATGTGTCCAAATCCTTGGAGGCTTTGACTTAGAATTTTAACCTTCCAGAGGTCATTTATTTGTCTTTGTATATTTTGTTGTCTTTCACACATTTGACTGTTGTACTATAACATATTCTTCCAGAAATTATGCACTGACACTTTAGGCCTGCCTTACAAATTGCACATTGGATTTGCTTATATCGTTGAACCAAAAAAAATTGTGAGCTATGTTGTGCTGTGTGTCACCTGTCAGGTAACAGCTCAGTTTCAACAGAATTGTTAGGTTTTTCTCTCCTGCAGTATTTGTGCACCTATTTGAATATTTAATTTAATGTTTACCCCTTAATATTTTAGAAAAGCGAATGCCAAATGAAGCAAAAAAAAAAAAAAAAGAGAGAGAAGGATTAATACTAGTGATAAATTTCACAAATAACACACGTGAGACAAAGATGGAAACCAAGTGGGGGTAGATTTAACTTCATTGGAATGCAAGGTGGATATCTATGGATTTAATTGTGAAGAGAAAGAATAGAAAGAAATGCAAAGTCCTAAAAATATATCCTCAGAAATTACATCAAAATGGTGAGGTGTAATTAGGAATTTTTGTAAATATTTTAAACTCTCTGGAAATACATATTTATTGTTGAATTTTTATTTCCAGCTTCTTTGGCTATTCCCTGTGATTAAAATTAGAATCCGCTGCTCTCAGATACGTGCTATTTGGCCAAGGCTAATTTTAACCTGCAATCCTAATCTGAACTATTTTTTTTATTAGGCCCTAAAACATAAAAATAATGTCTATTTATTTAAACGAAGGAAATAAGGCATTATACATCTCCCCTGCCCCCACTGGAGATTATACACTTCCTGAACAAAATTTAAAGAAACAAAGGCAGATAAAATTTTGCTCTTTTACCCCTCATCACTGTTACAAATTCAATACTTAACAAATGAAAATCGTATTCCTAACCCTGATTAAAAAGGCTTTTTTTTCCCCCAAAAAGTAACAGGCATGACTGAGATAGTAACCTTGGAGTCCAGATATGATTACATCTCTTTTTTTCCAGTTAATTGCTATGTGACCAGCTTGCTATATTAGTGGGAAATCTAGAATATCTTTCTGAGCTTTCCCCTGTTGAATTACTCAAAGTTGCCTGAGGCTTATGTAGTCCTCAGTCTGATTTCCACCCCTACGAAGGAAGCACTGGTGATTTATTAATCTCCTCTTGCTGTTATTTCTCATTAGCCCATGGTGTGGATTTTGAAATCTGGCTGTAAACAGTTCAGCAGGTGACGCTGATCCACTCTATACTGCAAGGATCATGCACTGTTCGCTCATTTGTCTACCGCTGCCTTCTCAGGGGTGCTGGACTTTCCCAGTGTGCAAGGTGTGGCCTCCTCTGCTGGCAGCTGTTGAGTTCAACTCTCTCAGTGCCACATTCAGGCCTTTCCCAGGGTACCAGTTATCCCAGGGTTTGGCACCTCTTGTTCCTGAACAAACTGATCCCTTTCCTGCAGAAAAAGGGGTGTGTTTTCTCTTTGGGCCCAGGAGCTTTTTCTTTTACAAATCTTAGAACTCAAAATGCTTGATTATACTTCTTTTATGGGTCAATGGCATTGCCTGTTCTTATTTCCAAGAGAGGCAAAACAGGATTTTTTTTTTTTTTTTTTGAGACAGAATCTCACTCCGTTGCCCAGGCTGGCATGCAGTGGCATGATCTTGGCTCACTGCAGCCTCTGCTTCCTGGGTTCAAGTGATTCTCCTGCCTCAGTCTCCCAAGTAGCTACAACTACAAGCACCTACCACTACAGCTGGCTAATTTTTGTGTTTTTAGTACAGATGGGGTTTCATCATGTTGGACAGGCTGGTCTTGAACTCCTGACCTCAAGTGATCCACTCGCCTCGGCCTCCCAAAGTGCTGGGATTACAGGCATGAGCCACCGCACCCAGCCCCAAACAAGATTTTTCATGGGACCCATCCACTCCCAAAGGGATCCAGGCTCAGGGACTCACCTTCCTTAGGATGCCCCAGGTGATGTTCAGGTATCTTTCTCTTTGGAGCAAAGAAAAAGAAATCAACCCACACGGCAAAATAAATTCAGTCTCTAATGGAGCATCTGGTTTCATAAGTCAACCCAAAGTTTGGATCCTGAATCTCTCCCAGGATTATTATAACCCTCTGAATTCTGTAAATATTGGTTATTGATTTTCTAGCAAAATTTCTTTGACTACTCCATGATTTCTTTTCTGATGGATTATTTACACCATTGTTTCCATCTGTCATTTTCAATTAAAATGAAAATATCCTACAGAGATGGAAGATGGAGGTAAAGAAGTATCTTTTTTTTTTGTTCCTAGCGTCTTACTTGCTTTTTAAAAAAATCTCGTTCAACATAAACAGAAGTGATATTAATCACCTAAGCTTGTCCCTCTGTAGACCGTAGGAAATTTTGTGACTCCTTCTTTTCCTGCCTATCCCTTTTCTTTCTCCCAATTTTCTAATCAGAAGGAAATAATTGTTGGTTACAGAAAAGTAAAAGGACACTAACTGTTATTCGCGACTGTTATTCACTGTGTTAGTGGGTAATTTAGTTAATGATCTATAGTTAACCACTTTATATGGTACATATATGCCTTTGCTTTGGGGCATAAGTATCATGGCAAAGTAGGCATAAAAATGGTTTTTATTACTAGCTCATATTTATATCAGAATAAGAACTAAATCTCACCAGATTTTCAATAAGAAGATGTCAGATTGTCTAATAAATGGAGCTTGGATAAATGGCTAGCCATTTAAAAAATTATAAAGCTGGCCTCCTAACTTTATTCCTTTCACCAAAATAAATTACAGATGGATTAAAATTTAAATTTAAGAAAGAATATTATGAGAGTACTAGAAGAGAATGTAAGTCAATATATTTATAATGTAACGATAGGAAACACTGTTTCTAAGGACCACACCGAATTAGGAGTCAAAAAGTAAAAGATCAACAGATTTGATACCATTCAAGTGTGAAACATTTATGTTTTGAGCATTGATCATGTGTCAGGACTATTCTGGAAGCTTAGGATACAAAGTAATGAACAAAACAGAAAAAAAAAATGATTTCTTTACACTCCACTGGGCTCAGGAGGAGGGGTGAGACAGACAACACACAAACAAGTAAACTATATAATATGCAATATGCTGAAAAATTCTTTAGAGAAAAACGTTGGAGAACGGTGCTAAGGAGTGCTCCTTATACTCAACTTCCTACTCTACCTTCCTGCTGTGACGTCTAAAGGACAGTTTACACCTAACATGTCCAAAGCTGAGCCCTAGATAGTCCGCTCCCAATTCTGTTCCTCTCTGCATTGTCCCATTTCACTGAATGGCAACTCCATCCTTCCACTGGTCAAGCTAAAGTCGAGCTTCTCTCTTTTCCTCACATTCCATGTCTATACCATGAGTAAGTCTAGTCAGTGCTGCCTTTATGTAGCCCTATATGGGGTGTGGATCACCTCTTATCATCTCCAAGCCCCCATCACCTCTCTTCTGGACAACTGTAATTGCCTCCTAAGCAGATCCTGCCTCTGCCCTTGTCCTCACACAGCCTCCCTCAGCAGCAGAAGTCATCCTGTCACTCCCCATTAAAACCCCCCAGCTATGCCCCCCTCACTCAAGGAAAAGCCAAAACCTTACAATGACTTAAAAGACCCATGCGATCTACCTCTCTTCTTCCCTCTCTGAATTCATTCCTACAACTCCCGCTGTCTTGCTCACGCCATGCCAGTCATGCCGGTTTCCTAGCTGTTCCTCAATAGCATGTTATGTCTCAGGGCATTTGCACATACTGTTCTCTCTCTCTGGAATACTTTTCTCCCTGACACAGGCATGCTTGCTCTTTTACTTCTCTCATGATTTTACCCAAAAGCTACCTTCTTGGTGGGGTCTTTCCCGACCACCCTGCGTACAATTTCAATTCCCCACCTTGGCACTTCATATCCCTCTCTCTCATTTGTTTTTCCCTTTAACACTTAACATTATCTAACATCCTATCCCTTTCCTTATTCATTTTGTTTATTGTCTGTCTCCCACACATAAAGTAAGTATCATGAATACAATGCCCAGAACAGTGCCTGGCACATAGAAATCACTTATTATATTATATTATATATTATATAATATATAATATATATTATAATATACTATATAATATATTATACTATATAATATATAGTATAGATTATATATATTATACTATATAATATATATATTATTTGGATAATTGAATAAATAAATAATAACAGTTTAAATTATTTTATTCAGTGACCTTTAGGGAATTATAGATGCAAATTGCCACCCCAGAGGAAGTTCAGAGCTGGAAGTACTAGTTTGCAAACTCATCTGCCAGAAGTGATCACCAAATTGTTGAGATAGAGGTAATGAAATCAACAACATGGTCCTGGATGTCAGGAAAATGGAAAGGATTAAATGGCAAGGAGGAGGGAAAGACAAAGAGCTTGGGGAGAGCCAACATTGTGGGCCCAGAGACAGGAGACTGGGGACATTTAATCCCAAGTTTTCCATTGGCTAGCAGCTGATCTTGGGTAAGCAAGGTGAGGCAAGGTGACCTCTCAGTGCTTTATTTTGTCCATCTGTAAAATTGGGGAAGGAGGTGTTGGGATTAAATGATCTTGAAGACCCTGTCAAGCTTACAAGGAGAAACTCCGTAATACAACAGAAAGAACACAGAACACTGAACTAAAAGGCAGAGATCTGAGACTAAATTCCTTTTCTAAGCAAGGATTGACTTAATAACATGTATGAAAACATTTAAAAAGTTGCTGGCATGTAGAAGGGGTTCAGTGATCATTCACTGAATCTGAACTAATGTTTGTGAATCTGAAATTTATGTTTTTTGATGATAAAAAGGAATGGAGGACCATTTTGTTTCCATGCAATTTTTGCCTTACTTATCCTCAGAAGCTTTGGCTGACAAAGGTAAATAAAATGGAAAACAGAGAACAATTAAAAACACCAAAAGGACAACAACAAAGCAGAAGGAACACAAGAATCAATAATACTTTGTTCCTAGCACAGTTTAGTTACAGAGTTGGACACTGAATCTAGCTCTGAGTTTCTTAGCAGCTAAATTAAACCTAGGATTGCATCGCCTTCTATAATCAACAGTAGAGCCTCCTTCCGGGAAGCGCATACACTCATTGGTAGGGAAATTTCTTGCACATAACATATAGTTGGTCATGTCATTATGTCATTTGGAACACTGATAACTTTGGGCAGTCTCTTCATTCATGGTTTGGTAATTTATTGTGAACCAAAAAAACCACAAAGATGGAGTAAAGTGTTTTTGCTTGTTTTTGGATTCAGAGAGTGGGAAAACAAAAGTGTTTTTTTTTGTTTTTGTTTTTTTTTTTCTTTTTTTTGAGACCGAGTCTCGCTCTGTCGCCTAGGCTGGAGTGCAGTGGCACAAACTCGACTCGCTGCAAGCTCCACCTCCCAGGTTCACGCCATTCTCCTGCCTCAGCCTCCTGAGTAGTGGGGACTACAGGTGCCTGCCACCACGCCTGGCTAATTTTTTGTATTTTTAGTAGAGACGGGGTTTCACCGTGTTATCCAGGATGGTCTCGGTCTCCTGACCTCGTGATCCTCCTACCTCAGCCTCCCAAAGTGCTTGGATTACCAAAAGTGGTTTTAATATGTAATAATATTATTAGCTGGGCACATACCAGCATGCCCAGCTAATTTTTTAATTTTTAGTAGAGACGAGGTCTTGCTAGCCTTGGCTTCAAGGAGTGTAGGGAAAAGCATGAGATCAAAAGTAACCTTAGTTCTCCTTAGCTTTTGGGAACTCTTATATTACTTTTGAACAAAGGACAGTCTCTACTGTTTAGCCCTCAGTTATGAGAATTTCATTAGTCCTGGTGTGAAAACAGAAACAATATTCTTAAGGTATAAAGGCACTACACAACTTGAATGCTTTAAACAGGTTGAGCATCCCAAATCTAAAAATCCCAAATCTGAAATACTCCAAAATCTGAAAACTTTTGAGTGCCGACATGATGCTACCAGTGGACAATTCCACACCTGACCTCGTGTGACAGGTTGCAACCAAAATGCAGATGCACAACACATAGTTTGTTTAGCAACGCCAAGGAAAAAGACCCTCCCATCCCCCTTCGGCTGCAATATATCTTTTCTGAACATACCCAGATTCTCCTATGCAAGCACACCCACAAATGGTGGTAAAATGGTTCAGTGTACACAAACTTTGTTTCGTGTACAAAAATATTAAACATATTGTATGAAATTATTATTGGACATACAGACTATGTGTTTAAGGTGTCTATGAAATATAAATGAATATCATGTTTAGACTTAGGTCCCCGCCATGAGCTATCTCATTATGTATATGCAAGTTTTCCAAAATTAGAAAAAATCTGAAATCCGAAACACTTCTTGTCCCAACCTTTTTTTCTTTTCTTCTTTTTTTTCTTTTTTTGTGACAGGGTCTCACTCTGTCACCCAGCCTAGAGTGCAGTGGTGCAATCATGGCTCATTGCAGCCTCAACTTTTTGTGCCCAAGCGATCCTCCCACCTCAGCCTCCTGAGTAGCTGGGACTACAGGCATGCACCACCATGCCCAGCTATTTTTTTTTTATTTTTACTAGATATGAGGTCTTGCTATGTTGCCCAGGCTGGTTTTGAACTCCTGAGTTCAAGTCATCCTCCTGCCTCAACCTCCCAGAATGTTGGAATTACAGGTGTGAGCCCTGGCTCCTGACCCCAAGCATTTTGAATAAGGGTTACTCAATCTATATATAGAAATGAGTCGTCTCCTCCATTTTGCCCCTGAAAATATTTAACAGAACCTCTCCTTCCCCTTCATACACTATCATATAATTTTTTAAAAAATTCTGAAAGATATTATGATTATGTTTCAAGCATTAATGAAAGATGTGGTGGGTTCTTACTAGACTCTTGATTTAGGACTTTATATGCCTTCAGGGAAAGAAAGCAGGGTTTGAAGAAAAGGTAAAATGGGGAGGAAAGTTAAATGACCCAAAAGTCAACTTGAACTTTATAAAGTACTGTACACATGTATTGATTATTGATGCTGTGTAACAAATGGACACAAACTTGAAGGTGCAAAACAACAAACATTTATTATCTCACAGTTTCTGTGGGTCTGGAATCCAGGCACAGAATAGCTGGATTTTCTGCTCAGGGTCTCACAAGGCTGCAATGAAGGCAGCAGCCAGGGCTGATGTCTCATCAGAGGCTGGACTGGGGAAGGGTCTGCTTCCCAGCTCACATGGTTATTGGCAGCATTCAGTTCCAGTGGCCTGTTTGACTGAAGGCCTCAGTTACTTGCTGTTTGTCATCTGGATGCTACTGGGCCTTACCAACATTTTTGCTTGTTTCTTTAAAGCTAGCAAGGGGGAGAAACTTTTGGCAAGATAAGTATCACAGTCTTATATAACATAATTTCATAATTCACACACCTCATGTACTTGCTTTTACCTTTGCTATTTTCTGTTGGTTAGTGATATGGTTTCACTTGAGGAATTCTTCCCTGATATGTTTTGGCTCTGTGTCCCCACCCAAATCTCACCTGGAATTATAATGTCCACAATAGCCTCATGTCAAGGGTGGGATCAGATGAAGGCAATTGCATCATGGGAACAGTTTTCCCCATACTGTTCTAGTGATAATGAGTGAGTCTCATGAGATCTGATGGTTTTATAAGCATCTGACATTCCTCTGCTTGCACTCATTCTCTGTCCTGCCACCCTGTGAAGAGGTGCGTTCCACCATGATTATAAGTTTCCTGAGGGCTCCCCAGCCATGCAGAACTGTGAGTCAATTAAACTTCTTTTCTTTGTAAATTACCCAGTCTCAAGTACTTCTTCATAGCAGTGTGAGAAAGGACTAATACAGTTAGAAGTAAGTGAAAGGTGCCATGCACATTCAAGTGGAAGGGACCACACAGGGGCATGAAACTGGAGGCAGGAACCATAGGGACCACCTTAGAGTCTGTTTGCCACAAGACACAACTATATATAGCAATCCATTTCAAATTTAAAAAGCACAAATGATTTTGGAAGGACAATCAAATCTGCAAAGCCAAACCATCAATTAATAACCATGTCTGGCCTCTGCTTTCTTACTCTTCCTTCCATCCACCTTTCAGAGCCTTCCGCCAGCATTATCCTCCCTTTGGTTTTTCTCCTCTCACTACCTGCACTCACAGTTTCTGGAAATTGCTTCCTCTCATTTTCTCAAGTTTAAACTCTCATTCTCACCTACAGAGTTCAAATAACGGCACCTCACATGAAATCCCCTATCCTCCCTCATTGTCAAAGGTACTTGTGTGGCTGCTTCTAAAACAGGCTCTTTTCCTTCCTCCTTCCCTTGTTATGTTTATCACCCTGACCCAACTTCAATCTTTCTGCTTTGAGCAGTTTTTCACTTTATACGCTGGAAATCCTCTCTTTTCTTCAAATCATTCCCTACAGGCACCATTGATTTTGAAACACCTGCTGATGTTCATCTCTTTCTAAAGGTGTATGTATTTTTCAGAGCTGAGCTGATCTGTGTGGCATCTCACTCAGATCCAGATTTCAGATTTCTTTCTTCCTTTTTTTTTTTTTTTTAACATGAGATCATCTCAGTGCCTTTTTAAATGACTTCCTGCAATTTGCTCAGCTAGTTCTAGGTCCATAGCTTCCTTTTTGATAACTGGGACCAATCCAGGCTGAATGACCACATTCACTGTTGCAACGGCTTATTATTCTCCTGGAAGTAGTTCCTTGTTTCAAGATTACCCTTTCTAGGTTAGTGAGTGTTTTCCATAAGTAATTCTAGAAGCCACACATGGGTTCCAGATGCATGGCCCAGCCTGAGCTGGGTACCAGGGCCAGCTTCATTGGTGTGTTACTTGTACAGTTTCACAGGGTCTCATGCTCAGAAGGGCCCTGGGCTTGCTTCAATGCTCCATTGTCATTATCTTGAAATTCTTGATAATTTTATCTTTGAACTTGTACTTTGTATATAAAATATGATGGGACAATGCAACATGTATGTGAGCAGAAGATAGGTGCAAAATATACATGTCTGCTGTTCCTTGTCACCTCTTTCACTTGCAGCATTTGTAATGTCCCATGAGTACAAAACTCCAGGGAACCTATGATGTGTGGGAGTTCAGTGAGACTCATAGTTAGTATTAGTAAACACATCACAGCTATGACTAAGCAGGGGTGCTGACACACAGAGGGACCATGTTTCCATTTGAATGAGAATTTGCTTCAAATGCAATAAGAAGGCAATTCTAAGTAAGACAAATGACTAAGGAAACTTATCATATATTTCCTCACTTGTATTACTTCCGTATTAGTCAACCACTTACCCTGAAAATGACATAAAAAGAAAAGAAAAAAATAGAAAAACCCATAGTTATTTTTCCTTTCACTTCTTCCTTCCTGTTCAGTAGGCTAAAGATAGAGCATGTTGGTAGAATCTGTGAGTATCAAGAAATGAAATAAAAACTCTTGAGTTTTGTGCAGTGTTTTCACTGCTTTGATAAGAACAAAATACATACGCATGTACAAACTATGAAATACAGATTGTGTAATTTCAGGGATTTCTGTTAAATGCACATATATTTTCATTTAAAACTGGCAGTGCTCGATTAAAAAATGAACGGTAAAGTGTGTGCTAATATTTTAATTTTCTTAGAACAGCATTAAATAGCAAGTTAAAAAAAAAGTGGCATGGCAAATTAAGGAAGAGAGACCATAGAGAAAGGAAAAAGGTTTATATTTTAGCGACTATAACTGTACTTTTTTCCTACATAAGGCATCCCATGTTTTCATTTTCAGTGGGCCTGGTAAATTATGTAGCTATGCCTGCTGGGGGTGCTGACTGAGATCGGAGTTAAATCCCCTCTATTCTACAAAGGCATATGTGACATCAGTGGAATTCCCAGGCCATCAAAAGTCTAGAAGAAGGCTTCCAAGTATTCCTTTGGATATAGCTCATGTCACTACCTCTCACTCCTTAGAACACAGTTAAAGGCACACCAAGATATTAATTTTCTCAGTCCTCAGGGTTATGAGCAGGACCAAAGCTGGTCAAATCATCCATTGACATCAGAGAGCCACATATATAGAGGGAAACATTGTGTTAGAGAGGTCTAGTTGTGGTTGAGATCAAAAGACTTGTTAAAAAAAGCTATAAGATGCTAAAGAGAAAACCAGAGAAGACATCTCCATTAAAATGGATGTGACTTAACATCAAGACTATTGCAACTGTTATCAGTTTTGGTTAGAGTCAACTGAGTAGGGAAGCACATGAAACAAACAATTCTGATGACAGTTGATTCTCATTATTTATGGAAGTTATGCTCTATAATTGTAGTGAAGACTGAGTCATTGCCCCTAGGGGGAAATACAGGGTTCCTACAAGCCTCTGGTCATAACATTTTAATCAACTGATAAACATATAACTATTTAATTGTGTTTCTGTTTAAAGACATCTTATTTAATATATATAATTTACATTATTGATTAATTAACTTTCAACTTGCCACCACAAACACTGTAACATGCCTGAACGAAGCTTATCTAACACATGCATTTTCTCTGTAAGACACCTCAAGAACTCCTCAGCTTTAGGAACACTACACAGCACTTCAGCACCACATTTGGTGGGGGACATTGTAAACAGCAAAATCAACAGAAAGCACAAAACTGAGAAAAAGATGGCACTAAATAGACTGTGAAAAGAACACTAGTTTTAGTATGAGAGTTGAAATGAGAAGGCAGAGCATCACCTTGTTGAACCTCAGCTAGAATGTGGGCATCAGATGAGTTAAATTTGTCACTGCTCTGTGCATATGCATGTCTGCAAATCACTATGAAAATGAATTTTAATGAGTAGGTGAACTAGCAAGTATGAAATCTGCAAGTAATGAATTACAAAAACACCAGTACTATATTTAATTCCTATACTTAATGAGGTCTTTCAAACCACCAGATTTTGGCCTCTTTGTGGAGGAAAATGAAATGATAAATAACATGAAGTGAGTTGGTAGTATGGCATACTTATTTCATATAATTCTTATAAGAATAGGTAAGGGGCTAAAAACTTTTCCTCTATCATCTTAGGTTTAGTGCCAGGCCTATGAATTAAACTGATAAAATACAGGTTAAAAGAAGAAAAAAAACCAGAGCCTATTTACACATGGTATATGTAGGACATGAGGGAGAACTCACTGATGAGTAACTCAGAGGGCTGGTTAGAATTGATAGCTTATATACCATCCTAACAGAGGGTGATAAATTCTGGAGACCTAGATAAAGGAAAGGGGGATTGGGGCTCCTAGGGGAGGTAAGTTGTGGGAAGGTGACTAAAAATATATAGTAGATAAGAGTTGTTTGGTAAGATTGTTATGCAAATAACAGCTCTCTCCTCTTTCTAGTAAGGAAGATGTGAACACCTTTACAAATAAAAATTTGTGTCAACTTTACAATGGGAAATTTATGCCCTACTTTTAGGCAAAAATGGGGAGGAGGGAGAATTCCTCTTATGTCTGGTATTTCTCAATTGTCTTCAGCTCAAAATAATTCTTATGTGAAAGTGGCATATTTTGGGGTGGCATATTCTGACCATCTTCAGATAAAATAGACAATTATTATGGCAGAACAAATGAGCATTTTTTTGTTGTTTTTGCTGTTATAACAGTTCTTAACAGATCATTCAATACAATTATGCAAACTGAGACATGGATAAAATTTTCACAGATGTGAGAAGTGTATCAACGGTGTAAAAGACTATTCCAGAATTAATTCTTGCTTTTCGTCTTGGGTTTTAATAAACGCAGCAGGAAAAATCTCCTGGGTCAATGGTCTGAATAGATAGAATGTTTACCTGAGATGCTTATCTGGTAAGCTCTCAGGATTTGCTAGTAAGTAGTTTGTAGGGACTCTAAGTCCTAGTTTGAAAATGGGGATTAGCAAGTAGGTTAAGGGTTTAGATTCTCACATTCACGGTGATTTTAAGAAAGGGGTTACAAACTGGTTTTGGGGAAGGAGATTTTTGCTCTCAGACCTGTCTTTACCAGCTGTGTGCGGAATGAATGCCTTGGAATTGCACAGGAATCCCTTTAGGTGGCGCTAGCTCATGCTGCTTAGTTGCAGCCAGCACCTTCCTTGTTGCCTCATACTTTGCAGTTGCTGCAATTGCATTACCTGCTTGGTCAAGGAGGCAGTCCTGCAGGCCACACTCAGAAGCTACTAGGCTAAGTAATAACTGCACAGAAGCAAGAGCCCTTTGCCCTAGGACTGGCGCCTTCATCACTCTTTCCTCCCCTCTTGCCAAAGGTAGAAATTTGCTTTGCTGGGTGTTTTTTTTTGTTTTGTTTTTTGTTTTTTCCTACATCACTCACAGCCTTCACTCTTTCTTGAGTTTGAGTTTTTTTTTTTCACATCATTTGGATCTCCCTCATTCAAACTGAGGAAAGACTTCTTACTAATAGCAATAAGGCACATTCTTGGGGAAGTCAGATGCCTGAGGATTTAGGGGTACTTAACTCTTTTTCCTTTTTCATGCTTTACAACTGTGATTAAGTCAGTGCAGACCACCCGTCACCATTTCTTACTGCTTAATTAAGAAACATCTCAGAATTTTCTCCCTGTTAGTTTCAGGCAGATTAGAAGGGAAAAATATTTTAACAGATGCTAAAGAGTCTTTCCAATGATTTGAAGATTAGGAGAGTGCCTTTTATAGAGCTCCCAAAGTGTTCCCTGGCTGCTTCTGCCAGAATTGAAAAAAATTTAGTGGCTGAGTACTTAATGAAAAGCCAAGATGCTCTGACAAAGAACTCCTGGGCAGCTATTACTGTAGCTCCAAAGAGTTATTGCAAATTAAATTTTATTCTTGTCCTTTATGATCTATATCAGGCAGTAGGTGTAACAGCATGACTGAAATATTCTTGTCTTACACTTTTGTTAATGAAAGCACCCATTCATTAATATATGTGTACCAGCAGGAAATATGAAATGGTGTGCTCCAGTTGAAAAGCCAGATATTGTATTGTCAACTTCGTAGGCAAAAGGCAGGGTAAATACAATTAGAGTTCGGGGACAGGGTAATTACTGTCTCCATCTGGTAACGCATTCTTTATCTGAGCTCAACCGTCTTACGGGTTTTAAGTACTTATGGGGCATCTTGCTAGGCAACCTAATAAAGGATTACTTTTTAAATGTTACCTTGAAAGCTTTTCAAGATTGCCTTTGTCTAACAACACAATATCACATCTGGTATGATTGCCATCGCTGTAAAGCAAAATCTTTTAATAGTATTTATTAAGTACTTCCCAAAGATGCATGATCACCAACATGAGTTGGTGTTAATAGAGAGTCATTAGTCAGCTCAGTTTTCAATATTTGTGGAAAAGCAGGCTCAGCAAGAAACGTATAATGAATGTAAAGCAAATACAAAACACAACATCCCTGCGGTCTGACTCCTTTTCCCGATGGATGGGAACATCACGTTTCACAGTCTAGCTGCTTGGTAATTTCTGAACACTGTCTCTAAAATATTTGGCATGAAATATCATGAGCTAAAGAAGCACGAAGAACACAGCAGCTAAAGGGAGCCTTATGGGGAGAAATGGTATTTACTTTAATGACCATGACTTAGGAAATTGCCATATTCCATACTGGGTTAATAAAGGCTTGGGGCAAAGTGGAGAGTGAGTGGCAACCGTGCTGGCTGAGAGTGTGGAGGAAATGTCAAGCACCTTCTCATTGTCACTGGAACATCAGAACTCTCCACTCCCCTCTGCTCCTTCCCGGAGCCTCACAGCCCAGAGCAGGGCTGGGTAAGAAAAAAAATTGTGATTAGGGTAATTCAGCAGCTGGGAAGGTATTTTCTGACAGTTCTGCAGATAATGGAGCGTTGTACACAGGGTAATAAGCAGAGAGAGTATGATTGTAAGCTATAATTCAGTCAAGAGGTTAGATGATCTCATAAACAGTCAGCACAAAGCCACTGTGGTTTGTCTTAATATTATCAGGACCTTAAGATTGAACAAGAACTTTGCTACTCAATATTTTGCCGAGTTTGTTCCTTTGGAGTATGGAGTGGGGATGGGAACCAGGTCTCCACTTGATCAATTATTCTAACCTGTGTATATTTATGTGCATGTACATATGGCTTTATGTATATCCTGTCAGGGCTATGCATTCTCCCCAGACCCCAGGGTACACAGAGGAAACACAATTTAAAAAATCTTGACAGAGTAACAGCATGTATAAAAATGAGATGATCATTGACTATTTTTCATGCACTTTGTTTTGCATTGGAGCCCACACTAGATCATTATTTCCAAAAGGTAACCTCTCTCCTTCCTTTATGCTACTGCAGAGCAGGGAATACTTATCTCTCTTCATTCCAAACACTGTGCACCTTTTCAGGTAGCCATAGTGTATATTCAGCTTTGGCGATGTCAGCATTTTTCTATCTGCTAATTTCTAGCTGTATGGGACCTTGAGGTAGTCATTTAACTTATCTGTGCTTCAATTTCCTTATCTGTCTACTTAGGACAACAATAGTACCTACTTTTTTTTTTAGAATGTTTTATTTTTAGAATAAGATGAATTAATACATGGCAAGGGCTTAGAACAGTTCCTAGGCATTTCTTATTACTAGTGTTGCTTTTGTTATTACTTTTTGGTAGGTGGTGTTATTTTCTCCTTGAGCAGACAGAGTATGTCTTGATCAATTATATATCTTTCCAAACATATATCATAGTACAGTGCACAATAATAAATGAATTGCATTTAGATCTTTGGCTAGATTTTAAAAGTTTGGGGTAATATTTTAAATTCTAGTAGAAATCTTTGTCTCTACCCTGTAGACAATACAAGTGTACACATTTGTGCCCAACTGATCTTTAAAGAATAACTTTAGGAATAGGTAATCTTGCAAAAGCAAGCCTGGAGTATCCTTTGAAGGGCTGAGTGATTTAATCAAAGGGTAAGTTCCTTTATTCCAGTAGCTGTCAATCTAAGAGGTACCTTTTAATATGTTGGGTATCAGTAGGTGGCACTTTTTATATCACACTTTGTTCTCTTTGGAACACATCCTCTCACATGTTAAGTGGAACAGCACAAAGATCTCATAAATCCACTGTAGGAATCAATTGGAAAGTATTGCAAGTAGTTTATAACTGAATTAGTAAAATATGTGAATGATTTTCTGTAAGTTTGAGTGGATTCATTATGAGTTTTATGGCAATTTCATACCCATCACTTCCTTGCATTCTGGTATGCTCATCTGAGTGGGAGAGAAAGGGGTGGGGTTACATTTAGTGCAATTAAATGTAAATAAATTATTGGTACTACTTGATGTGAATATCATGTGTCCTGTGGTATGGATGGCCAACCCAGAAACAGGGCTCAAGCAATTGATCATAGATGTGAGTCAAAACCAAAAGAAAATGTTAGCAGAGCATTTTCAACTTATCAACAACTTAGAACAATTTAGCTGAAGTTGTTGTGGGACTGCTAAGATTGGCAGGTAAAGAAAACAAGCCTCAAATTACAACCCTCTAGCAGCAGCAAATGGAACCAAAATACAACTTCTAGGGTGGCACCCATTTTCAGTGGTTTTGTTCACTGACATATCCAGCAAAATTGCTGAAAAGGAGAAGGGGTCAACCACCTGGGATCAAGTTTCAAGTGTGGCTTATTTTGAGATGAAAGCATGCTGGCGTTTAGAGCTGGGCATTTGTGAACTGGGATTATCTAGCATACTTGGCAATGTCTAAGTTGTTTTTGGATTCCTGATTCTGATTCCAGATGTCTTTCAATATAACAAGTAGGTAGGGAGATTTAAATAGGAAAGTCACTGGTGAATAACATTACCCGTTACTTTCGTCAGCTGGGTGGGTGTTTTGAAAAATTATTAGGTGTCATATACATTAGAGTGTAAATTGATCATGTGAATAGCCATGATTTATACCTAGGGTGACCATAGAATTTACCATTCAAGTGAAGGACAGCATGGAGAGTGAAAGGGTGCTGTTAATAATAATACTAGGACAACAGACATAATGGGGACTGTCTGAGACAATTTGGGACATATGGACTTTTTATTTACATATGGTGAGTGAAGAAGAGTATTCATTCAACACACCAGAGTTCCTATGTGATTTCTTTTTAAGTTTTTCATTAAGTACCGTTATTTTATATTATTTGTAGAGAACCTTCCCTTTCTATGACAGGAGACTTTTATAGTAGAGGTTCAGAAATGGTCAAATGAATATATAGGAAACTTATCACATGTGTCAGTAGTACTGGATTTTGGTTTTTCCCTCTTTTTAAATTTTGCTCCCCCACCCCCGTGCCATTCTATGGCACTCCCTCCTTGTTCATGAGGTACAAACAGGGGAAAGATCAAAGGCTTGCCCCAGGGGAAGGAATATTTCAGATGTGGAGGAAATCTCTGTTCTTCCCTACAGAAAGCCCTTTTGCTTGCCGATTTCTCCTGGCTCATGCTCTCTGTCCAATAATGCATTACTCAACGTAAAGTTTTTCCTTTTCCATTAAAAAAAACCCTTAAGTTCAAACACAAGCACAATCACAGAACCTTCAGCTGTATAAAAATAGCCTTCGTGCACTAATTCATATGCAATAGTTCAAACAAACAAAAACCAATACAATCATTCCTGTGTCACTAACAGGATTTTCATAAAACTGTTTGAGTGAAATTTCTTGGGCTTAATATAATTTTGGGACTTCTAGTTTTTTTCACACACGGAAACTCAGTATATAATAGCTCACAACATATGATTCAGAAGTGGAGATGAATCAGAAGACTGTTGGGGTATCGTTCTACCAGGCTCAGCTTGAGAACTAGTGGCTGGGTCCCTGCAGCTGAACTACTGGGCTGGTTCCATAACCTAGTAAGAGGTTGGTAGGAACAAGAATGATTTACATTCAAGTCCTTACAGTTTGGGTGAGCTGGGGTTAAGGGAGAGAAGAAGAAGAAAAGGAGAGAAGAGACAAAAATAAGGTGAGAAGATCTCGGCTCCACCGTGTAGCTTCTCTGATCTGTACCACAGGGTCAGTAGCTCCTGCCTACTTCATGGAGATGTAGTGAAGATTATGAAAGAAAATGATTTGAAAGCTCCCTTTAGGATGAAATGCTTTATGTAAATATAAGGCATGTTTTATCAAGAAACAGAAATAAACAGAGCTTTGTAACAAACCTTTCCCTAACGTGATCATCACCTTTATGAAATGTCTAGAGCAGGGGTCCTCAACCCACTGGCCACAGACTGGTACTGGTCCGTGGCCCGTTAGGAACCGGCCGCACAGCAGGAGGTGAGTGGCAGGTGGGCGAACATTGCCACCTGAGCTCTGCCTTCTGTCAGATCAGCGGTGGCATTAGATTCTCACAGAAGCACAAACCCTATTGTGAAGTGCACAAGTGAGGGATTTAGGTTGCACACACCTTATAAGAATCTAATGCCTGATGATCTGTCACTGTCTCTCATCACCCCCAGATAGGACTGTCTCCTTGCAGGAAAACAAGCTCAGGGCTCCCAGATTCTGCATTATGGTGAGTTGTATAATTATTTCATTATATATTATAATGTAATAATAATAGAAAGAAAGTGCACAATAAATGTAATGCACTTGAATCATCCTGAAACCATTACCTCTCTAATCCTAGTTCATGGAAAGATTGTCTTCCATGAAACTGGTCCCTGGTGTCAAAAAGGTTGAGGACTCCTCATCTAGAGGAACTTTTTTTTTTTTTTTTTTTTTAGATGGAGTCTCACTCTGTCACCCAGGCTGGAGTGCAGTGGTATGATCTTGACTCACTGCAACCTCTGCCTCCTGTGTTCAAGCAATTTTCCTGCCTCAGCCTCCCGAGTAGCTGGGACTTCAGGCACCCGCCACCATGCCCAGCTAATTTTTATATTTTTAGTAAAGACGGGGTTTCACCATATTGGCCAGGCTAGTCTTGAACTTCTGACCTTGTGATCAGCCCCCCCCCCCCCCACCCCCGGGCCTCCCAAAGTGCTGTGATTACAGGTGTGAGCCACCGCACCCGGCCTAGAGAACCTTTTTAAGAAGGACACAACCTGTGCTCAATACCCCTGATTCTCTCAGGTAAGGATGGCAATGACCCACGCCTTTTAAGCAAGCATGAGGTAGAAACCAACAATGAAAGTAGCTTTAACTCCAGGAATATGAAAGGCACAGGGGGTCCCTATGCTGCAGTCTTTATTTTAACTAAGAAAGCCCTCGCTAGGACTTTGATTGGGCTGGATGTTCAATGTTACGGTACTTTATAAGATGTTTTAACAGTCAGTGTAGTTTTCAAAGCTGCCAAACTAGTTATCTGAGTTGGGTAATTGTTGAGCTGTTTTGATTTATATTTTAGGTCCACTTGACCATCAGAAGAGTTAAATTACAGACGGCTAATATACGGGAGAGTCACTGGGAGTTGGGCTAAGCCCTGTGAATTTGATATCTAATTTGCTTCCTGTGAATATGGTGTCTAAGCCGAGTTGACAAACAAGGGGAAGCAGGCTTGATGCGTGTTTCTGTCTTAGGGATCATGCTTTGTTTCAAGGTGGCTGCAAGTTCAAAACTACATAATAAGAACCCAGAGTCCCCAGTCATTTATTTACTTAGGATTTTAATTTTGAAAAAAATTTAAGACACGAAGCAACTCCATCTCAGAATTAAAATTTCACATATATCCTTTATGCTGATAGAAATCTGTGGATTCCTGTTTTCACACTTGTTGCCAATTTGCACAATTGTTGTCAATACTCAGAGCACGCTTGGATAATTGAATTTGTAACAACAAAAACAAACTTATATATTAAT
The DNA here is from genome assembly GCF_000001405.40 of Homo sapiens. NCBI lineage: Eukaryota > Metazoa > Chordata > Mammalia > Primates > Hominidae > Homo > Homo sapiens. The sequence goes on along the minus strand of NC_000013.11, from coordinate 94,409,934 downwards.
ACCTTCATTTTTCTGTCCAGTTCTTACAGATCAGGGTTCATATCATGACCTTCTTAGTGTGATTGGGTGAGTTATTAATTTCACTGTGTCTCATTTTATTCAGTATAAAATGGGCATTATTATGTTTATATCATAGAGATGCTATAAAGATGAAATATGGCTGGGCATGGTGGCTCACGCCTGTAATCCCAGCACTTTGGGAGGTTGAGGCGGGCGGATCACGACGACAGGAATTCGAGACCAGCCTGGCCAACATGGTGAAACTCCGTCTCTACTAAAAATACAAAAAATTAGCCGGGCGTGGTGGCAGGCGCCCGTAATCCCAGCTATTCGGGAGGCTGAGAGGCAGGAGAATCGCTTGAACCCCAGAGACGGAGGTTGCAGTGAGCCAAGATGGCGCCACTGCACTCCAGCCTGGGCGACAGAGCGAGAGACTCCAGCAGAACGAGACTCCGTCTGCCCCACCCACCCCCCGCAAAAAAAAAATGTTAGTGAGTGCGACCAGCAGGGCTGCTGTGTCCCACGAGGGTTCTGGCTTCACCAGGGGATAAGACCATAGCTTTGGCCATTAGGCTTAACATGGCTGCCCCAATTTTAGCGTCTTGCTCTTGCACCCAGGACCATGTTTGGCATGCGATAATTTCTCATTATCTATCTTTTGAAAAAAAGTGGATAATTCCCAAAGTCAGCTCTTCAGTCATCTCACCGCTCAGCACCTCACTGCAGTCACGCTGAAGTACAGGTCATTCCTGAACTGAGATCTCTGCATTTGCACTTTCTCTGCTTGGAAATTTCTATCCCCGGCTCTGCTCATGGTTGTCTCTTTCCCTGTCATTCATCACAGCTCCATCACCCCAGGCTCTCCTGGACCACTAACCTAAAGGAGAGTTTCCTTCCTGGTCGCTATCCCATTTCCTGTTTCATTCCTTCATGGCGCCTTTCACTTTCTGAATCTTCGTGTTCATTTATTGGCTTACATGTTGTCTGTCTCTTCCTCACTAAAGGGAGAGGGCGGAAATTTTAGTGTCTTGCTCTTGCACCCAGAACTGTTTGGCATGGGATGATTTCTCATTATATATCTTTTGAAAAAGTGAATAATTGCTGAGGTCAGTAATTTTGTTTTAATTAAAAAAATCCACAGATGCTTGTTCTTATTAAAGGGAAGGTGGCTTTAGTCAAGGTAAATATTCTTCTGCTCTCTTGAATCCAGTTTGTAATCCTTCTTTCACCTTCTCTCCAAACTTGAGCATTCACAGGGTAAAAGTCCCATTTTCCCAATTTCTCGTTTTGCTTTATGCTTCAAGGTATACATGAGCTTGCGCTCCTTAAGCAGGCTATAAAGGCAGGCATCTAATTCCTCCTGGCTTTGTTGCATGCCCTATTTATGAGCCAGCAAAATATGTTTGGCCACATGTTTACACCAGCAAAGAAATATGTCTATGGAATGGAAATGTGTCTGCACTAAGTCAGTTGTCAACGTCTATTTAAACAGACTTAAATTTGTGCCTGCATGTTTCTAGCTCTCAAGATACAAAAACACTTTATCCCTCATTGCCACTGTTTTACAAGTTGGATTTTTTAAATCAATGTAATTCTGTTACCACATTTGTGCATATACTTTAACTATATCCCTGTCCACTTATCCAAAGAGCAAATTAAAATAAATATTGTTGTTACCTGATAAAAGTGTCTGGTTTCATTTGGATGAAAAACACTTGGATGTTTTTCCTGCCCAATAAATTGGTTTCTGTTGCTTCCAAATAAAATTTGTTATATTTTGATCTTATAGATGGAATTATTCTAACATTCCTTAATTGTTTTGTAATAGTCACTTTTCTCAATAAAAACCAAAATAGTAATAATGTGAGCTAAATCACAGTATTTCTTACAGTTAAATGCTGTATTCTTGGTACCTTTGTTTGTATGGGTTCCTTTATTTATAAGATCATTCTTGAAATACATTATTTATCTGTAATAATTATGATTAGCTGCATTAAGGAATGAATAATTTTCAACTGGTGGTTTTTCACAGCCAGTGATAAATCCCCTAGAGCAGGGTTTATAGAGAATAAGAGTTCAATAAGCATTTGTGAAATAAATCTTTAGCAGGTTATACAATATTTAGCATGCCTGAGAGGATGGAAACATTTCAGAAGTATAAAAATCAATGCAATTGGCTAAATTGGGAAATTATTAGTCTTTTCACATTTGATCTTATTTTCTGACCTCATTTATAAAGTATTGACATCAGTTTTCAAGTCACTAAATTTATCCTCTGAGAAGAAATCAGTACAAAAGAACAGCGCTACAGTATTTTCCATACACATTTGGGAAGCTCTAAATGTTCTAAAGTTCAAATAGTTCCTGATTTCAGATGCTGAGTGTACTTAGGAGAGTGGCACTGTTTTAATATACGAGGTTTGTTGTTGTTTTTTAATATTGAAGCTTCTAAAAATGTCTCAAACACAAAAAATTCCATGGCTCTGAAATTTAGACTATGACAATAATTAAGAAAATGCAGAAAGGGCACTGGTAGATTTTTAAAAACTATTTTAATACAAGATTAATAGCAATTTTCTATCCAAATCAGAAATGAAAAATCTTAACCCAAATAATATTCATTTGACAGTCACATAAAATTTTAGATTTGATTGGTGCACACATTTATCCTGCATATATATTATGTATATGCACAGAGAGACCTCACTATTATGCCATTGTTAGGGGTCTTTTTTTGGAAGTACCTCATTACAAGGCAATGTCAAAGGTTCCAGTAACTACTCAACTTTGAATGAAGTTCAAAATGTCCCCATGCTAAGCTGAGTCTGTGCCATAGCAAACCATGATATAGCAAGTCTCCAGAATGTGTACAAATCAATACTCTCTTTGTATAAGTTGGTCTAAAACTAAACACTGGCTAATGTCTCCAACAAGGAGGAACACATTACAAATTTATAAGTTATGGTTTCCTTTACTCTTCTGTTGGCAAAGCTAAATTGTGTTTTTAAATAAAAATCAGGTCTGTTCGTTAGTAAGTAAATGGAAATGTGTTTAAATTTCTGCAAGTTTTAGGTAAAACTTGCATTTCCTAATGCGTCTAGGTTTAATCAAATCATTTGATAATTAGCTTTGCAAAAAGAAGTAATAAAAGAATCACATCTCAGGAATATGTTAAGGTTTTTTCCTCCTTAGGGACTTTAGTTCGTGTTCAGTCTGTAGCCGAAACATGTATGTAATGGCAAAAGAATTAAAGAAGGCTAATGTCTGCAGCAGGGAATATAAATTAAAAATCAGGGTTCTGCCTGTAATAATATTTTCAATGTGTTTGCTTTAAAGAATGTTACTTTTATAATTATTACTACTTATCAATGAATAATAATGTTTTTCAGTGTAGACAAAATAGTATTTTCTATCCCTTACATTTAAAGCAGGTGATACAAGTTACTTGATGCTAGCTAGGTAAGTCATTGTAAGGGAGACAGATTTCTAGTGCTAATGTTCTACGATGGCTATAATCAAAGTACCAACTTGGCCTTCGTGAAAATGACAGAAGGTTGTCATGGTTGTCCTTCAATACAGAACCATAAACAGAGCTCTTATTGGTAAATTTGTAATTCATTCTTCTCTGCTAAAGACTTTAGCCTCTGTTTAGCTTTTGTTGTGACACATACAAAGTATAATATATACCAATTACAGACGTGTATTTCTGTTAGAAAAATACATATTATAACTAAAGAACATGTAAATAGAGGCACTTCAATAAGCTAAGTGTTTGCAGTTATGAGCATCACCCACCAATTTCTAGTGTCAGGTTTCAGTGAGCCCATTCCTCTCTATTCATAACAAAAGTTATGATATGATTACAGAATTTAGGGAACATCAGAGCAAATGAGGGGCAGGTCATAAAAAATAATGAAGCCTCATTGCATCCCCTATCACTATGCTGAAATGAGAAAAAATAATTCGAGGGTTGAATTCCAAAATACTTACTGAAATAGGGTAACTAGGTTAAGTGAAATCCTTTAGGGCCAAAACATTTCTCATGTTAAATTAGTCTGAAAATCATATGACATAGTAGTATGATGATAAAAACTAGGAAGTACAACTTGAATGATATTTTGACCACATCCATGCAGGGTGCTAACACTGTGACATCATTAACTGATATCATTTCAGCTCTCTGCCTGGCTCATTATGCATCACTATATCTCATCAATATGAATCATATTGATAATGAAGGTGTTGAAACAAATGAAGCAGGCGTTTATATATTAACTGTGTGTTTAGTGCGTATAGAACATGGGTTCACATTCACTAATATTATGTGTATTCATACACATGCACAAAACCTTTTGGGGGTGAAAGCACAGGAAAAACAAGGCATCCTGATCTAGTTCATAAAAGAGAATGCAGAAATATTTTAAAAAGGAAAGACCTGGAGTTTAAAGCCATAAAAGCAAGTTATTATTCAAATAGTCTGGAAAATCAAGGTTGATTTAATTTGTATTGCACCTTAATTATTGGAGAAAGACAATACTGACTTCTGAACACAGAATGAAATGAGCAATGTAAATGACTGGTCCTTCATAGAGAAGTCTTATGTGGAATTTGTGGTAGGAAGCCAAAATGTGGGCAGTGAAATGGATGGTTTTCTAGGAGTATGTAATGATGAACTAGATGGTTAATTTCATAAAGGTTTAAATGAAAGAATGCCACAAAGTCTCTCATCATCCTACATTTTATATTTCATTAGGCATAAAGTAGCAATAGATGCTTGTAAATACTTTCTGTCTTGCAAAAGTGCTCAAATATACTTAATACTATTGTGCCACATGTGTTCTACTTAAATGTGATGACTAAATCAATAACTAATTTTAATTTTGATGAGAACAGATTGAAAAATACCATTTACGTGTCAATACTGTCGATGAGTTAATTAAAATGTAACTGGCCTACTATGGTGTCTTGAAACATTACTTTTCCCTACTCCAGATGCATCATAAAAACTAAGAAACATATGGATAGCCAACTGTATTCATAAAGCCCCCAGTTGGGTTTATTTTGCTTCTCTCTGTCAGGGGGAGCGAAAGGCCTGGCTTTGGCCTACTTGGTGAACAGGTTAGGCTGTGGCTCTAAACTGGCCTATTGAGTTAGGTAATGTATCCAAGTGCCAGGCAGGAATCCTAGGCCGAAGGTGTTTTACATGAAAGCAATGGTTTTTCATGAATAACATTCTTTACACATACAGTTTCCATCACCGGTAAAGCCCTGCACACCAATGGCTCATCCCATGAGTTTGGTGTAGTCTGGAGCACCCAGGCTGAAGCACACTCATGCAGAAGGGTGTGCCCTGGCAAATTTTTAATAAATGGACAGTTAGATACATAAAAAGTTCTCTTTCTTGATTCTTGGTGCTCACCGATCACTGAGGAATCCCTTCTTTGAGCAGCACAAAACAAGAAGAGCTGGTTGACAAAACATTTTCTTACAAAGGTGTGTCAACCCTGAGCTTGGAATTAAGAAGTTAAAATCTGTGATTTATATATACATAGATATAAAAATAGATGATCATACTAAGACTAAAAAAGTGAAAGAAATCTCCATGTCAATACTATATATATATATTTTTTGTCTTGACTTTTTTTTTCTGTTGTGAGTTGTTTTGTAAGAGAATGCCCTTGTGATGCAGAAACCAACTGACACAAAGTAAATAGTTAAAAATGAAAACTCAGGAATGGATCTAATTGTGTTTCAATTCATTAAAAAAACTATTGTTTTGGGAGGGTAATGAGCACAGGGGCAGAAACGTCTAGTTAATGTCAAACCTGTGGCAAAAGCAGAGATTGTATCATCAAAGATTATTTTCAATTGAGACTCTTGAGGAAGGTGAATTGATGGGGGTAGCTACTAGTAATTGAAGATGAAGGGGAAAATCTGTGCCAATTGGATACAGCGGACAGACATTAAGGGAATTAAGAATAATGGTGCCATTACTAAATTGAAATTGGGCAGAGTAAGACAGAGGTACTGAGTTGTAGTAATTTGTGTTCTCATATTAAAGACGGGATTCCAAATTTAGTATCAGTACCTCCAGATTAATTTGGTGTTGTTTGGTTAGAGTGCAAGATGATACCTCCAAGACAACAGTGCATTTTCACTACATTTAGAACAAACTTTAAGCTTTCTCCCCATAAGCATTTTTAAACCCGGATTTGTCACAAAAAAGCTTACACTGGAAGTTGGCTGTCAATGCTGAACTTACAGTGTTAAAGTTCATTTATTTTTCTCTGTTTGCTTTTTTGTTGAAAATGTAGCTGTCTTGGGGTTTGGCCCGATTTTACAAGGAAAATTATTTTCTTTCTTCCTTTTTTATTTTAAATGAGAAAAAAAAAACCCTCACAACGTGAGATTCCTTTACTTCTGCAGCATAAAAGCAAATGAAGGTAAGAAAATCTCCTGGTACGAAAAATTTGAGTAAGAATTCTCTCTAGAATAAACAAGGTCCCCACAGATAGCTGAAGGAAAGAGGAAGCAGTTCAGTCTGGCACCCGGTACTCTTTGGGAAAACAAAAAGGGAGGCAGATTGCATTACTGCTCTCTTCTCATAGAAAACGGTAAGTTTTTGTGGCATGGTCCATTGTCCAAGAGTGTAAGAAAAGAAGTGAGTTGGCCATTCAGATAGCTAAAATGCAGTTTCATCTGACCAAAAACCCAAGATTATCTGCACAGTCTCTGCAGTGCCAGGACAATGCAGGTGAGAGACCAGGAGAGCAGGGAGTGGCCACGCTGGGCTGCAGAAGAGTCCACCTCTCTCCGGTCGGGATCCACTGCGGGGGCCTCTGTGGTGACAAACTCAAACTCCGTGGGACACACGTCATCCATGCACCCACTGCCACTCCCTGAGCCACTGGATTCATCACCTAGTGTGGAAAGATTGAAAAAGAAAGTTAGACCACTGATATGTTTAGGCTTTGTGGCCCCACCCAAATCTCATCTTGAATTGTAATCCCCATAATCCCCACCTGTCAGGGGAGAGGCCATGTGGAGGTAATTCAATCATGGTGGTGGTTTCCCCCATCCTGTTCTCGTGATAGTGAGTGAGTTCTCACGAGATCTGATGGTTTTTTAAGGGGCTCTTCCCCCACGGCTTGGCACTTCTCTTTCCTGTCACCTTGTGAAGAAGGTCTTTTGCTTCCCCTTCGCCTTCCACCATGATTGTAATTTTCCTGAGGCCTCCCCAGCCATGCTGAACTGTGAGTTAATTAACCACTTTCCTTTATAAATTACCCAGTCTCGGGCAGTTCTTTATAGCAGTATGAAAACGGACTAATACAACCAACCAGGAAAGAGTGGAAACAGAGCTCAGCAGATATGGGGCATGGTGGTGGGAGGCAAAATCTCCCCATCCATGGTCCCCCACCCTACCCAACAGGATTGTTTTTAATAGGCAGTGGTGTGATGAGTGGGTGGACTGTACAGAAATAGGTGTTTGAAGAACAATATCAACTGATACCTGAGTTATGCAACCCAAGGAATGTGTGAACCCCAGACTCAAGGGGAGGCCACACCTACCATGTTGGCCTTAGACATTTCTTCTGGCCAGTACTTAAGTTTAAGAAATTCCATTCTTTGCTCTTTTTATACTCAGAGCCATTGCTCTAGGAAGATACCATGCTTTTTAAAGGATTTTAAAAGAAAAATAGAGGAAAACAAGTTCTACAAATAGGAAATGAGAGGAGCAGCAGCAATAGTAGTGAGAGGTCTCTATCAATATGACTTTTGTCCACCTTTTCCCCACCTGTGTTCTCCTGAGAGCAAGGCTGGACTCTGTCCCAGCCAGCTTGTCCCTTTAAACCAGAAGTTGACAAACTATGACCTGCTGCTTGCTTTTGTATGGTCCATAACTCCAAAATGGTTTATTTACATAAAAGTATATATTTTATAGATATCCATAAAGTCTATTATCTATCTATCTATCTATCTATCTATCAATCAATCAATCAATCATAGGGTCTGGCTCTGTTGCCCAGGCTGGAGTGTAGTGGCGCCATCATAACTCACTGCAGCCCCAAACTCCTGGGCCTAAGTGATCTTCCTGCCTTAGCCTCCTAAGTAGCTGGGACTATAGGCATGTGCCTCTGTACCTGGTGGTTTTTATAGTTTTAAGTGTTTGAAAAAAATCAAGTGAAGAATATTTTATGACATGTAAAAAGTGTATGTGAAATTCACATTTCAGCATCCATATATGAAGTTTTATTAGAATCCAACTACCCGTTCACATACATATTATCACGTTAGACCAGCAGTGTGGGGTAGTGGTGGCAGAGACGATGTGGCCCTCAAAGATTAACATATTTAATATACGGCCCTTGACAGAAACAGTTGGCCATTCTCTGCTTGAAACCAAGGCCTTGGTACCCACAGAGTATGTCGACCCAGGGTAGCATCGTCCCTTCCTGCCCAACTTGCTTTCTTCCCTATTTCCACTTCTCAAGGCTTGATTCCTTCTTGTTTGACAAATCCTGTCACTCAAACCTGGCCCAGATCAGGCTGCCAATTACTAGCTTTATGAAAGTACTTTTCACCGCTTGGAGGTGGTATTATTTACGTGCCTGTTCACTTGCTTACTGTTTATCTCCTTCTCAAGAATGTTAACTGAGGACATAATCTTTGAGAGGGTAGAGATTTGGTAAATCCTGTTCATTTCTGTACCTCTAAGGTCTTCAGTGGCCCCTGGCATACAGCAAGTGCTCAACAAATACTTGCTGAATAAATAAATGTGCTTTGGGCAGTTACTCAACTTTTGCAGTTTCCTCACTTAAACAAATACAGATGACAATATTGACCTTGGAGAGAGTGTGTGAAGACAAATCACTAGAGTGCTCGAGGACACCAAACCCAGTGCTGCCAATGATGCCTGATGGAAAAAACATGGTTCCTACAGCAAAGGCGACCTGGAATGTACCCTGACATTTGTTATTTAAATGCACCAGGGTAAGCCAGTTAGACTTACTGAGGCTCCGTTTCCTCACCCGTAAAAATGAGAGTAATAACATCTATCTGTTAGGAGAAATGATGTTCCTGGAAGGGCTCAGGAAACTGGAAGCTTTGTAAGGACATTAGCTATTTCTCTCACTTGCTCAATGATTTCCAACCAATGTCCCTAAACTCCTCCCTGCTAGTCCGAAGTGGTGATGCTCTGTTGAGCTGCTCCTGAGAAACCAGGGCCATCCTTAGCTGCTGGATGCTACTTAAGTAAATCTGGGGCAGTGTAGGGACTCTTCTAATGTCCTCTTGAATGAGAAAGACACAATTAGAGAATGAGCACAGTTTCTTTTTTTAATGGGACATCTAAATACCAGATAAGATCACTTCAATACACTATACTAGGTTTTCAACATTTTCTCTGATTTACCTTTAGTGGCCTTTACAAGGGGGAAAATTCCTGTTAATTAAATTCAGAGATATCAGAATTGCTAAGGGAATTGTTCTGAACACTGGTGTCATGAACAAGAAGTAATACAACCTTTACAGAGATATTATTAAAATGATTTAGAATATTAAAAAATGTGGGAAGCAAATATGACAGGAGATTTTGGCTGGAAAAAATAATGGCCCCATCTCTTTTTGAAAAGGAATCACAAATGCAAATATTAAGGGGTGGGATGAGTAACTTAAAAAAATGTTCAAAGCAATAAGGATGCTGATGCTTATAAGATGTGATAATGGTTTGTATGACAGACACCAGCCTAAAATAGAGGGCCACATTTGGTGCTTGGGTTAGAACTCAGGGATCCTCTTAATTGTTGATTTTATTTTCTTTTGAGGGGAAATGGAGTAAGATCTCTGCCTCCTGGCCATTCCCTGAGCTTTGCAGCTTGATATGTGCATAACCTCTTTAGGTCAGAGAGGAGTGAGAAGCAACAAAGCCAAACCAACTAATTCTTATGTATCTTGAATTATTCATTCCAACAGCCACTCTCTAGATGATAGAGCACTTTATTTAATACAGAAGACAATGGATAAAATGAGAGGTGTGAGGCTAAGTGCTAACAAGGGTGAAGCAACAATGGCTGAAACCTGTGTAATGTTCTCTTCTGAAGAGGAAAGGAGGGGTTTAGTAAAAGGAGGAGAGATAATGGGATTATTTTGAGGAATTTTACAGCCATAACGTCCATTGGGTTGGTAATTATTCTGTGTTTAGAAAATCATTTTTTTGAGTTCTTTAAAATGGAATAAAGCACAAAAATTTTTTGCAGGGGATAACTTGGTAGGCTGATAACTATGACTGAAATGACTTGAGGTCTTCTATCTGTAACTTATTTCTTTCTATCTCATTAATCCAAGCACACAAGCATCATCTTATGATTCAGTGACCAAATTACAGAATCACTGGCAACTTCACATCTTATGTTCAAGAATCCTTGTCCTGGGAATTCTCTTTGTAAGGGTAATATTTTTAAAAAGCAACAAGCAACAATGACAGAAAAAACTCTTTTTTTGTAGTTAGTCATCTTGAAACTACTCAGACAAAACCCATATATAGTTTCATGTCAATGTTCACTTAATAGTCTTCCAAATAATTTTTGATGCTTCTTTGATCCTTAATGAAATAGTCGTGTGTAATATTGCACTAGAATTTTACAATTTCTCTCAATATTTCAGATATAAATGTCTATGGGTTGTGTATGTGCATAGCTGGATAGAGAGGGAAATGATGTAGTCAGCTACATCTACCCACCAGACACTATCATAGCTCCTCAAATGAGGCTTCTAAAAGCCTCTGAAGCAGGGATGCTTCCCATTCTATAGAAGAGGAACCTGAGACTCAAGAAGTAGAGTAATTTGTAGAGACTCTAATTAATAAAGAATAAGACAGGGATTCTAGCTTAGGCTTGTCTAAGCAATCTGCTGAGCTTTCTTCTTTTGGTGGGAACAGGGCAGAAGTTTGGGTCAGATGTGAATAGTGATGAGGACAGGAGAAAGTGAAAAAATTACTTTGCTGTTTTGTCATTAATGAATCAACTGGTAGATGAAACTCAATTTCAGCTTTGGTATGGCTGAATGTAATCCATTGCAATTATTCCTTGTGTTGTGGAATTTATGATTTTATTCGTATCCTATGTTTTGTGGATCAGAGCTCTCTGTCCAAAAGACTATAACAAGAATCACAGCCTGAGGAAGAATGAGAATAAATTAAAAGGGCATATTGCTCTTGAAGAAAGTCAGGGCATCATCTTCTAAAACCATTTTTTACTTTGAAAATTTCTGGTGCTGGGAAGGATTTTCTTACTTGTGTCCTGGAAATTGACATCATTGCCATTGTAGGCGTTTTTTAGTTTGTTGGTCATCACACGGAGAGCCATAATCTGCTGTCTGATGAAAGTGTCAGGCCGAGTGATGTCCACATCCACCTCGGGATTGTTGATCTGGTTGGTGAGCCCATCATTCATGATCTCAGGCAAGTATCTGCAAGGCAGAGAGTGAGAGAACACCTCAGGGAGATGCCACAGAAACTGTAAAACCAGATGCTGCCATGCAAAACCAGATGACTGTCTCTGACAGTCAGCCAAGACACCTGGCAAAAACTGGATCTAGTTCCTGGAAAAAAAATGCCAAATAGTGAAAACATGGAATACATTTTTTCAGATGAAGATGTGGCTAAAATAGCCTCAGACTAGTTTTTTTTTTTTTTTTAAATGGCACTGAGTTCTTAGGTAGGTCTGCCTACAGATAAATGCGAAATTGGGGACCTATAAGAAACCACTTGTATTAGTCTGTTCTCACACTGAAACATACATACCTGAGACTGGGTAATTTAGAAAGAAAAAGAGGTTTAATAGATTCACAGTTCCACATAGCTGGAGAGACCTCACAATCATGGTGGAAGAGGAGCAAAGGCACATCTCACATGGTGGCAGGCAAGAGAAGTGCCAAGTAAAAGGGGGAAATGCCCCTTATAAAACCATCAGATGTTGTGAGAACTCACTATCATGAGAACAGCAGCATGGGGTAACAGCCCCCATGATTCAATTACCTCCCACCAGTTCCCTCTCATGACACTTGGGGATTATGGAACTACAAGTCAAGATGGGATTTGGGAGGGGACACAGCCAAACCACATCACCACTACTTAACATTAATGACTCTTTCCTCCCTCCATCCCAAATGTTAGCTTAGGTCAAGGATTCAATGCCTTCCTCAGTTCTGCTAATTTTGGTAGTAAGAACTGGGCTTATAAATTACATATGATTCAAGAGAGTTCTCTGTGAGGATGCCCATTCTCAACTGCAGAGGCCCTACCTCAGATCTTAATCAGAAGAAATTCTGGATATGAAAAACCTGCTTTGGGGACATTTCAGAAGTAAGCAGTGGTTACTGGAATGATTGAGGTGTCTATTAGGGTTTTTATTTTGTAATAGAATCTTGGGTTCGATTAGGTAGATTTACCAATGTTCAGTAAAACAGAAGGGTAAAATCAAATGATTCTGAGTTTCACATTTCTTTCCCTTGTACCAAAATGTCAAAATTGTCAGTCCTTCAATGTGAGCTGCCTAAGCTGCCTAGGGGTATTTATATAAGTGGAGGCTAAAGATCTTGGAAATGTGCTTGGGGCCCTCTCTGACTCCTTACTCTCACAATCTGTCCATCTTCCAGTCCTCTTCCTCTTCTCACAGAGCTTCTTATGCTTGCTTCTATTTTCCCATTTCCCATTTCTCTCACTGGAGAGACACCCCCCTGTAGCCTCAAAGTGACCTCCCCAATGCCCTTCTTTCCTCTCTAGAGCATCCTGCACATGCTGTATGATTAGTTTTCAAAAAATATTGCTTTCATCATATCACCCTTCTCTTTAAAAACTTTTGAGGATAGTAGCTAATGTCCAATAACTACCAGGCACTGCAGTAAAACATTTGACGCACATCTTTAAATTCAGCCCAACAGCAAATCTAGGAGATGGGGAGTATTTTATCCTTGTTTTATGAAACAGAAAACTGAGGCTTAGTGAGAATAAGCAAATGTGCAAAGTCACAGAGCTAATAGCTGGCAAAACCATGACTTACTCCCAGTCTAGCTCTGGAGCCCCAGTGCAAAAACACTGCCCCAGACTGCCTGGAGGATCATCAACTAGAATTCACATGTTATAGCTCAGCAATCAAAGGGTCTCCACCCACTTCTAATTTCTCATACTCTCTCCAGGGACCCTCCTTGTCTTATAGAGTCAACTCACTGTAGCCATCCCATGCCTTCCTGTCCTACAGGTTTTCCTTGCATAGTGCAATTTCCCATTTAAGTCCCAAATACCCTTAAAGACCCAGGCCTATCCTCACTTTCTCCTCAAGATATTTCCCAGCTTTCAGGGATCTGCCCACCCTTTTGTAAGGGGGCCAGGTTTGGTTGGGCATTTCGTGCACTGCACAAACTCACCCCTTGAAGCTGCAGGAGTGAGTTGGTGCTGAAATCCAGCCTCACTTCTGTGGTCACCAAGCTACACCCCTGCAGGGCACCATCCACCAAAAGACGTGCCTTTATTCTTTTCTTTTTGGTACTCTTTTTATTTTAGAAAACTTCAATACATGTTAAAGTAAAGACAATAACATAATGAACCCCCATGCACCCATCTGGGTGCGTTTTTCTAATTCCTACCAAGGTGCTATATTTGTCTGTGTCCTGGTAAGAAACAGACAGCACACTCAAAGGGGTAATAAAGAGAGTTTAAAGAAGACGCTATTTATAAACGTGTGGACAAGTTAAAGGAAACCAGCCCAGAGAGGTGAAGCGCCCTGGGGCTGGCCACAGGAGAGGGGGCCCCAGGGGATAAAGGGAAGAAGTTGTTAGTGGAATGAACAAGAACTGATACCACAGAGAGGCACCCAAAGACACAGTAACTGCCAAACCAAGACCTATCAGGGAGGGGACCGGGGCAGGATGCCCTGACCCCTTTAGTCCCGCCTCTTGACCTCCAGCTGCTGCCTCCCATTGGCTGATCCAACTGGAAGCTGGTGGGCAAGGGAGCCCAGATGATATAGCTTGTAGAGGGTCCTGGAGGGCCAGGGCCACAGTGGATTGATGAAGATTGGGTCTGACAGGGAATCAGGACATCCAGCTCTGGCCCTCTACAGGCCTGGGACAGCCCTACCTAATTGCCATTACTGTTATTCTTTTACTTGCTCTACTGTTGTTGCTTGAAAGCTCAAAAAACATCTTTTCCTCTATTTTATTATTCCTATCTACATATTCTTGCATAATATCCATATGCTTGAAATTCTTCCCTTCCTGCAAGTGATTTTCCAAGTTCTGGAAACCAAAAGCTCTATCCATCAACCTCCAAAAGAAGAACTACACAGAGAAACTTTGGTATTTAAGCTATTTTTCAGGTATTGAATCTATGCTTGATGTGTTTGTGTATGAATTGGTTTACTCATTTTAAATCAGAGGTCCCATGAATAAGCTCCATGTCTTCATCCATATCTTGAACAAAATCGACTTCACAATGCTCACTAAATAATGAATAATAAAACACACAGAGTGCATTGTAAATTCTTTTCCATGAAGCTTTAAGTATTTACTGCTCTAAAAAATGGCCTCATAGAAAATTTTAAAAGCCGTGGACTCATATCTCTTTCTTTTGCCATAAAGCATAACTTCTGTCCTGCCTTTTACTATATCTCATATGCAAATAAATTCCTGTTTGATCCTGAGACTGTTTTCCTGATGTAACTTCTAAAATATGCCATTGGATTGACTATTACTGACAGGCAATTATATGAGCCAGGCTCCGTGAGCTCTACCTAATTATTACAGCCTATTGGAATAAACAATAGCAGGTGCAGCCCATCTTTTGCTGACACCAGAGCTGAGAGGTGATGGTCGATTCTGGCATTGCTCCTCTACATTTTGGGAAATGACTCCTGCAGTTGTACCTATGCTGAGTCAGAGGCGAGCTTTGTTTCTTTCAGATGCTGTGTGCACTGCATGGTTAGCTGAGAGTCATTTATCAGAAGCTCACTGCAATAGCTTACATGGGAATGCTACCCCTGGGAGTCTGAACATCCAGGAACAATAAGAGACTGCCAAGTAAACCCAGCCTCTAACTGTGCCTACTGATGCTCAGCTGCTTACAATAAAAACAAGTAACAGCGCATCCGTATCCTCAAGAGCCTTTTCTCCTTTTGGTGTATTCAAAAGATGACTTTGGAGACATTGTGAAAACTTAAACCTAAAATAGCTGAAAATAAAAATGGTCATTTTGTCACTCCAGAGGTAAGTCCTGAATCTAAATCTATAGATGTCCATTGTGCGACCCCCGGAAAGGGTCTGTGAAAGCCCCACTCAGCATGAGGACCTCATGAGCCCATTTATTTCTTCCCTCTCACATTTGGTTTCTTTACATAACACTCCTGTCCTGCAAGAATAGATATGTCTTTGAGCCCACAATGTTATTCCTTTTATTGGGTTTTGCACAGTTTTTTGACATGACAGCATCCTGTTTTTGCACCATCATATCCCTGGGAGACATAGAAGGAGAATTTTGGCACAGAGAGCCCATGTTCCAAGGCTGGATGCAAGTTTACCTGGTGGATCCAGCCTTGGGAGAAGCCAGAAGTGAGGACAACCTGGAGAGTTGAGCAGGGATGTCATGGTTTGCCAATGCGGCTTGCCCTGGGCAAGTGGGTGGCATTCATGAACAGCCAAGCACAGCTTCCTCATTTTGGTTGCCTTCTGTTCTGGAAGAGCATGGCTAGGAACTAAATCTTTGGCAGTTTTACAGAATTATTTTTCTTTGCATCTAACTGCATATTATAAATGTGAGTGTCCTTGACTACATCCAAACATTAGAACCGATTAGGGTAGAAGAGTCCTATGGAAATTTGGGGGTGAGAGGGCTGATACATCCAGCCCTGTGGGTAGAATTGACAGTTCTTGTCATCTGAGAGATATTAAACAGGACCATCCCCACAGAAGTTTCCCAGCAGCCAACCACAGCCCCCGCTATTCTCAACATTCAACATCACTCCTGACAGTTAAACCAATGCTTCCAGAAAGACCCTGTTGATATGTGAATGTGCTTAGTATTTCTCATCATCACGTTAATGCTGGTAGCTGTTTTGATGTAAGGCACTGCATATTGGGGGAGTAGGTCACATGACTCTCAAGATTTAATGAAATTTAAAAGCCAGTAGGTCTGAGAAGTGAGGCACTAGCAAGGAAGGTTAGCCTGGTGGTGCTTGGTGGGGGTGTCATGAATCCAAGTAGGAGCTAAGGGAGGAATGGGGAGAAATGGGGAGCTTGGGTGCCGGTCTGGGCTTCTTCTCAGGTGCATGATTCTTCCCCTGACTGCTACTGCCTCAAGGCACAATGAGAAGGGTAAAGCGAAAGCAATTTCAGTACTGTTTGTTGCCACAAATGAGCTCCACTCAATACACATCTCTTCAAATTCTAAGCTACCTATTCATTCATGTTAAGCAGGCTTAAGAGTTTTACTCATCTAAGTAGATGTAAATCCCTATGTGCAGTGCCAAAATTCAAGACCCCCCATTTTTTCCTTCAATCTGCTTGTTAGCAAAACTTCATCTCGTCTGAAACAAGGTTAATTATAGTCCTCATTTATCTCACTCAGTGTGAATTTTAATACATTTTGCTGCAGAAATACTAATATGTTTGATTGTGGATTGCAACCCCAGACCCCACTGGAGATACGATGTAATATATAGCATATTCACTGTGGTCATTTTCTGAAATCTAAGAAGTTATGGATTCTGAAACACATGTGGTTTCAAGGGTCTCAAATAAGGGACTACAAGCCTATGCTATCAGCAACCTCTTCTAGAAGATTTCTTAAAAATCTAAGTTTTAAACTTCCCACATATTAGGATGGCTATAATTTAAAATAAACAAACAAAAAATAACAAGTGTTGGTAAAAATGTGGAGAGATTGGAACCCTGTGCACTGCTCTTGGGAATGTGACATGGTGTAGTTGCTGCAGAAAACTGCATGGCAATTCCTCAAAAAATTAAAAACAGGGCCGGGTGCAGTGGCTCACACCTATAATCCCAGCACTTTGGGAGGCCGAGGAGGGTGGATCACCTGAGGTCGAGAGTTCGAGACCAGCCTGACCAAGAGGGTGGATCACCTGAGGTCGAGAGTTCGAGACCAGCCTGACCAAGAGGGTGGATCACCTGAGGTCGAGAGTTCGAGACCAGCCTGACCAAGAGGGTGGATCACCTGAGGTCGAGAGTTCGAGACCAGCCTGACCAAGAGGGTGGATCACCTGAGGTCGAGAGTTCGAGACCAGCCTGACCAACATGGAGAAACCCCATCTCTACTAAAAATACAAAATTAGCCACGCGTGGTGGCGCATGCCTGTAATTCCAGCTACTTGGGAGGCTGAGACAGGAGAATCACTTGAACCTGGGATGCGGAGGTTGTGGTGAGCTGAGATCACGGCCATTGCACTCCAGCCTGGGCCACAAGAGCTAAACTCCATCTCCAAAAAAAAAAAAAAAAAAAAAAAAAAAAATTAAAAATAGAATTACCATATGATCCAGCAATTGCATATATACACACCCCAAGTACCAAGAACCAATGTTCATAGTACCATTATTATTATATATATGAATAATACATATATTATTATTACAGCTGCTACTTGGATTCATGACACCCCTACTAAGCACCACCAGGCTAACCTTCCTTGCTAGTGCCTTATTTCTCAGAACTATTGGCTTTCAAATCTCATTATTATATACATGAATAATGGTACTGTGAAGAGAAGTATACAGATATCTTTGGGATATCCCAAAGAATGAAAGGCAAGGACTTGAGCAGATATTTATATACCTCTGCTCACAGTACCATTCATAATAACCAAAAGGTGAAAGGTGTCCATTTATGGATGAATGGAGAAATAAAATATGGTATACACATAGAGTGGAAATATAATTCAGCCTTAGAAAGGAAGAAAATTGACATGTGATACCACATAGATGAACCTTGAGGACATTATAGTAAGTGAAATAAGACAGTCACAAAAGGACAAATATTTTATGATTCCACTTATATGAGGTACCTAAAATAGGCAAATTCAAAGAGACAGAAAATAGAATGGTGGTCAGCAGGGCCTGGGGGTAGAGGGGAGGGAATTTATGTTTAATGGGTACAGAGTTTCAGTTTAGGAAGATAAAAAAGTTCTGTGGATGGATGGTGATGATGGTTGCACAACCACGTGACTGCACTTAATGCCACAAAACTATTCATCGTACAATGGTACATGTTTTTATGTTTGGTATATTTCACCACAATGTTAAAAATTCAAGTTTTAGTTATAACTTTACTAAAGTTCTTGATAAGAATTACTTTTTTCCCTTTCCATTTTTCTTGGATGGAAAGTTGGATTATTCAACGTAAACTGTGACCTTCTGCTTTAAGTGTAATTATAAATTCTTGAAGATCATTAAGCTAGGGTTGTCTGAGGCACTAGGGGACTTCATGAGATCTGACATCAAAATACGGTTAAGCGCATAAGGGCTATGTATGACTGGGTCACCTGTGATCTCTCTGGGACCCCGCAGTGTGACCATGGACAAGTCATTTAGCTACTTTATATAATTATGCAATTTTAATGTAGTCTTATGAAAATTAAGTTGTTAACATGGCTCCCCAAATTGCCAAACTAATTTCTTGTGAGTGGATGACGGTAGCAGAATCTGAAATTTTAAAGCCTGAATTCATGTTCAGAAAAAGAATTTGCTGTGGCTCTTTTCCAGTTGGAGAATGTGAGGCAGGAAATGGTTTGGGGATGCTTTTGGAGAACACATAGCTCATTGATTGCAGCAGTAAGCAGGAGCAAAATTCTTTGACTTGGCCTCTTAATTCATTGGCAGGAACTCCCCAAACCCATTCTTTCTTAGTAGACCTGCAGTTAGCAAACTACAGACCAGAAAGGAAAAAAAGACTCACGAGCCAGTTTTCAGGAATGCCATGTTGTGAACAAGAAACATGCTCCCTTCTTCCTATTTGCAGCCAGCTCTGCCTAACATTTATTTTTTTTTTCCCATTTGCAAGAGGTTCACACAGCTTCCTCCCTGCCAGGACAGTCAGGAAGACTTTATGGGGTCCTCTCTCTTCAAGTGTGTCTGAAGAAGGGAAGTGGGCATTTTAGAACACCTGGCTTGACAGTAGCCAGTTCTTTCCTAAGACAGAATTCCCACTGATATGGTTTGGATTTGTGTTCAAATCTCATGTCAAATTTTAATCTCCAATGTTGGAGATGGGTGATGGTGGGAGGTGATTGGATCATGGGGGTGGGTTTCCCCTTTGGTGTTGTTCTCATGATAGATTTCTCTCGAGAGCTGGTTGTTTAAAATTGTGTGGCACCACCCCCTTCCCTCTCTTCCTCCTGCTCCAGCCATGTAAGACATGTCTGCTTTCCCTTCGCCTTCCACCATGGTTGTAAGTTTCCTGAGGCCTCCCCAGCCATGCTTCCTATACAGCCTGTGGAACTGTGAGACAATTAAACCTCTTTTCTTTATAAGTTACCCACTCTCAGTTATTTCTTTATAGCAGTGTGAGAACGGATGAATACACCCACCTTTCCAAGGTGTTTGACTTGGTATATATTGGATATTTTACAGTTCTTTAAAATGCAGTTAGAGTGCTTTGGGCCACACCCCACAATTAGGTTAAAACAATATTGTCCTCAAGACGGCCAAGTCACTATCTTTGACAGATTTGCCATCATCGTGCATCATTCCATCTCCTTCCATCTGTTTAGACTTACCCAGTCATGACTTGCTGTTTTCGTTGGTTAGTCAACCCACACTCTGTGATGAGAGTGACTGATCTATTTTCTAGATTTTTCTACTTTTCCTATTTCTTACAATTTACTGTGTTTACCTCTTGGCCTTGGGAAGGATTTCCTTGGGGACACAATATTTCTGTCAGGATCAGGTGCCTTGAAAAACAGCAGGGGCTCCCTGCAAAAGCCATGTTTCCAACGGGTCCGATTAATTTTGTCCCTCAGCCAGCTCCTTGATAGCCTCCTCCCAGAAAGCATTTTAAAGAAAGGACACAGTGAAAGCTCAACACTGCCTTACAAGGAGCAACGTCAGAAAGCTGTTTTGTCAGTTTTATGGGGGAGAGGGAGGAGTCTGGAAATGACTGACTCAAGACCTCTGAAGGCTCTGAAATAATTTATGTCCTATCAGATAACATGTGTGCCAGTGGGACTTGGCTCTCAGACTGGCTTTCATTTTTCCTGCCCTGTCTCATTGTCTGTCATACTCTCCTTTTCTTTTTAATCCCTCTGAGTTTGGAAAAAGGGTCTGCGTGAAGAGAAAACAATGCTACAAGAAGTTAGAGGTGATGCAGTTTAACATGGCTATGTTCTAAAAAAGCAAGAATCTGCCTCTTTATGAGCAAAAAGGTAAGGGCCTATTTGAACACCATTAGGGCTTTATTTTTTCTTTTGCTGCTGCCTGACAAAGTTCTAACCTGTATATGCTAACCATATAAAAGCTTTATTTCCCTCCAAGCCTATGCTTTCCTGCCTCCTATCTAATCATTCTTTTCTAGCTTCTGTACAGACAGCTCATTATGGCCACCGACTGCCCAGAACGCCCTTCTCAGGGATGACTGATGACTGCAAATGTCCTCCTAGGGTCTCTCAGTTCACCCCAGGAACTTTGGGAGGCCTAGATTTGTAACCTGCACCATGAGTCTTTAATTTTTTTCCCTTTGGCCTTCTAGATTATTATCGATTTTCCTCTGTAACTTACTAGCTTCCTTTCAGTTCCTATTTGTCTGAGTGGAGTCAGAATGTTGCTGTGTCTTCTCACATTTACCCCTGAGAAGTTGCTTAGGTAAGTGAAAAATAGAAGGAGTAGAAATTACACTTGCTCCTGCTGGTCACTGAAGACGACTAGGCTGTCTTTCTCAAGTGACAGACATTGCCATGAACTCTAAGAAAAATCCTGTATTAGCTCTTCTGATAAGTAGGATGTGATTCTGAACACAATGTCTGTGTGCCACCAAAATCCACATGTTGAAGCCCTAATCCCCAGTGTGATGGTACCTGGAGATAGGGCCTTTGGTACCTCTTAGGTACCCTCTTACGGTTGAATGAGATCATGAGGGTAGATGATTTCTCATACTAGCTCCCTTATAAGAGAAAGGAACCAGGACTCTCTGTCTCTCTAAGGCTACAGTAAGGAGGCCATTGTCTATAAGCCAGGAAGAGAACCCAATCTGCCGGCACCCTGATCTTGGACTTCCCAGCCTCTAGAACTATGAGAAATAAATTTCTGTTGTTTAGTCTATTATATCTGTGGTATTTTTTGAGCTAAGACACTAATTGAATAAAATGCTGACCAAAGATACAAAGTATTCATCCTTGCCATGTATCAAAATGGCACTATTAAAGACCAGAGGTTTGTGTGGATGATATTCTGCATTGCGAAGGCTGTGCTGTATTTCTAACTTAAAATTCTCTCCTGATGCACATGTGAAGCCTATGCAATTCATTGTTGAGAAGACTTCAACCTTGTCCATAACCTGTCTATCATTAGTGGGTGATGTTATAATTGAACGACGTGAACTCCTAGCTCATATTGCTGTTGTTATTTTTAATATAAGAAAAGCCCCATTAAAGGAAACATCAAGGGTATCAGTGAAGAAACCCCCAAAATTGCAACATGCTCCCTGAGGCTTGTGTGTGGACTGAAAAAGGTAATATCTTACATGTTAATAGGGACATTTAAAACACCAGATAAAACACATGGTTGCCAATTAAATGTGAATTTCAGGTGAACAACGAATCCTTTTTTTAGTATAAGTGTGTTCCATTTGTTGTCTATTATCTTTATGTGCTAGATCTGGCAATCCTGCCTTCAAGCCTTGCTACTCCAAGTGGTCCCTGGATCAACAATAACTGCATCACCTAAAAGCTTGTTAGAAATGCTGAATCTCACTCAGGTTCTACCCTAGACTTACCGTCTTAGCTTGGGCTTCTATGACAAAAATCCCACAGACTGGGCAGTTTAAACAATGCACATTTATTTCTCACAATTCTTGGGACCATGGTGTCCAAGACCAAGGTGCTGGCATATCCTGTGTCTGATTAGGGCTCTCTTCCTAGTTTGCTGATGGCTGCCTTGTTGTGTCCTCACACGGCAGAGAGAGAGAGAGAGAGAGAGAGAGAGAGAGAGAAACTCATGTCTCCTCTTACAAGGGTAGTAATCCCATTAATGAGGGCTGCACCCTCAAGACCTAATTATCTCCCAAAGTCCCCACCTCCAAAGATGATTGCACAAGGGGTGAGGATTTCAACTATGAATTTTCGGGGGACACAAACAGTCAATCCATAGCACTTACTGAATCAGAATCTGCATTTTAATAAGATCTCCAAGAGTTTAGCCTGCACCCTAAAGTTTGAGAAGCACTGTTTTAGGATTACAAACTATTTGTATTGAGATTATCTCATTGATCTTCACATTGTCCCAGGAGAAAGAGGAAGCAGGGAAGACATTCCCTTAACCACTTTGTTTAACCCATTCTTGTTTTCAGAATGAAAATTTAAATGCTGATCAGGTCACTGTGATTGGGCACACTTGCAATTTCCTCCCATCAAAGGGCAGAGTCTCCTCTTACCCTGCCTCCTGTTGCAGACCTGTTGAGCTACAGAGGCAGAGTGAGATCTGTCAGAGATGGGTGAGGGTGGAGTGACTTGGGGGAGCAGGGGGATGAAAGTGGGTTCAAACCTTAGGGGAGCCACTGCTTACACACCCTTAACCACAGTCTCAACACTGCAGATTGCACCCTGCAGACTGCCACAGCACCCATACTGCTGTGTATCCTGTTCTATTTGAAGTCATCATCAATTTCAACTGGTGCCATTACTTAATAACAGCTTTTTAAAAAATAAGATAATCACTGGAGTAAATAGACATATCTACTGTAAGAGTCATTTTGATGTCAGAAATGTTAACATTTGAAATAGGTATGTTTCTGAATCAAGGAAGTACGGTAGAGAGCTATGGAGCAAGATTCAGAAAGTAATCAGGAAAAATAAGGTGATGGAAGACAAGCCTGATTAAACACTTAGATAGGACAAAAGGCTGCAGGAGCGGGTACAAACAGAAAAATGTGGCCGAAAGAGTCTGATGGATAAAACAGAAAGAGAGGAAGAAATGTCTGGTTTATTGGAGACCTATCACACAGGCTTGAGTTTATAAACTTCAGGCATGACAATCTCTATCAGTTCTAATAAGCATCTCTGCTTCATATCTATTAATACGTGATGGATTTTTTAAAAAAATTATTTCTTCTTATTTTTTATTTTTATTTTTTAGAGATAGAATCTCACTCTGTTGCTCAGGCTGGAGTACAGTGGCACAATAATAGCTTACTGCAGCCTCAAATTCCTGGGCTTAAGTGATCCTCCTGCCTCAGCCTTCTGAGTAGTTAAGATTATAGGCGCCTGCCACCATGCCTAGCTACTTTAATATTTTTTGTAGAGACAGGGTCTCACTATGTTGCCCAGGCTAGTCTTTCTTTCTTTTCTTTTCTTTTTTTTTTTTTGAGACAGAGTCTTGCTCTCTCGCCCAGGCTGGAGTGCAGTGGTGTGATCTCTGCTCACTGCAAGCTCTGCCTCCCAGGCTCATGCCATTCTCCTGCCTCAGCCTCCCGAGTAGCTGGGACTACAGGCACCCACCACCACACCCAGCTAATTTTTTGTATTTTTTAGTAGAGACGGGGTTTCACCATGTTAGCCAGGATGGTCTCGATCTGCTGACCTCATCATCCGCCCGCCTTGGCCTCCCAAAGTGCTGGGATTACAGGCTGCCCAGGCTAGTCTTAAACTCTTGAGCTCAAGTGATCCTCCTGCCTCAGCTTCTCAAAGTGTTGGGATTACAGGTGTGAGTCATTGCCTCTGGCCAGATTTTCTACAAATAAAGTTTCTAGTTCTTTTATTTCACATAGGTGATAAAAGTAACTTTTCTTTCTTTTTCTTTTCTTTTTTTAACAACCATTCCTAAACAATTAAAAAGACCTGTCATCTTAAAACTCATAATTCAAAAGTGTGAAAAAATGTTATTATCTGCATTATAAATGGATTCTTACAAAATAGTTTAGTAAATTTAAGTGAAAAATTTCTTTGATGTTTTTCTAGATGAATTAATATTTGGATAAGAAGAAAGCTTCAATTACATTTAATTCAGCAAGTCTTTATTGGTGATCCATTTACTATGCTAGTATATAAAAATATAATATTAGGATTCCCTGCTAGTGGAATAATTAAAAAAAAGAACTAAAGGAAACCATGGAATTGTAATTGTTCAATGGGTACATAATTTGAATCACAAATATTTGACAGCTTCATCTTTTAATAATATACTTATGCATAATAAAAGATATATTTTATTGGACCAAATTCTGGACTATTCCTACAAGTGATTTCATTGCATTAAACTGGATCATTTTCCCACCTGCATAAAATCTTCCAATGGCTTCCCATTGATCTCAGGATGAAATTTAAATCTTTTTCCTGAGGACTGATCCAGGTGTTTCTCTACCAGTGTGGTCCGTTCCTAAACCTGCAGTCTAGCAGTAGGGTACTGATGTTTCCAGGTTCACTGGGCTCACCCCAGTCACTGTACCTTTTCAGGTATTGATCCCATTGCCATTTTTTTTTTTTTTTGAGATGGAGTCTCACTCTGTCACCCAGGCTGGAGTGCAGTGGTATGATCTTGGCTCACTGCAACCTCCTTTTCCTGGGTTCAAGCGATTCTCCTGCCTTAGCTTCCTAAGTAGCTGGGACTACAGGCATGTGCCACCACACCCAGCTAATTTTTGTATTTTTAGTAGAGACAGGGTTTCTGTATCTTGGCTAGGATGGTCTCGAACTCCTGACCTCAGGTGATCTGCCTGCCTTGGCCTCCCATTGCCATCTTACAGCACTTAATCTACAGGGCCTTGCACAGAGCCTGGGACACAGGGAGTACTTAATCATACTGCTGATGGACTGGTGGACTGACTCAATGAATGCTGTAGAACCACTGAAGCTTTTATAGCACTTAGGATCTGTCTCATTTGTTCTCCTAACTTGGGGAGGACAGTATTTAGCTGTTGTTTGCTTAAGAGGTAGGGTATTGCCATAAAAAAAATACTGGGCTAGGATTTGGGAGATTCCCAGCTTTCACCCTTGTTCATTGGGTAACAGTGGACTAATTGTTTACCCTGTCTGAGTTCTTAATCTGCACAATGAGGAACTTGTCTGCCATCCTGATCTCCTCCAGCTCTAACTTCAGTGGTCTTTATATTCCCCATTCATATTCTTGGTAGTGTTTAGTCTCTTCCCCTAACTTCGCCCATGGCCTTTTTTTAAAAAAATATTTCCTTTTGTAAGAAATTGCATATGGACTAATATCAGCAACCTGTGTGACAATCTGTGGGAATAGCAGTTCAAAACCCAGGCTTTATGTTAGCCAAGGCTTAAAGGTAAACACAGATGGGAAACAGAGAAGCTCAAAAAACCAAGCATTTTATTCATTAGGCCATCTGGCCATTCTTCACAGTGTCTTTCTGTACAGTCATCGGGAAAATACACACTAGAAGCTGTTAATTCATAGCTGAATTTTCTGGCCAAAGGTCTCCTAGCTAAAAAGCCAGACACTGGTAAAATGCTAAATATTTTTTAGTGGCATGTTGTTAATATCATAACTAATTTCCTTCTCATGATCTATGATTTGATATTGATATTTTGAGCATTTTGAAATGGTTAGAGCTCTTTGTGTAGGTATCTTGCTTTCACCTTGCTAAACTCTTCCTGGTATGGTTAATAATGTCATTAGCAATTGGTATGGTTTGGCTCTGTGTCCCCACCAATTCCCATCTTGAATTGCAATCCCCATAATCCCTATGTGTTGAGAACAGGACCTTGGATCAAGGGGGTGGTTTCCCTCATGCTGTTCTCATGATAGTGAGTGAGTTCTCATGAGATGTGGTGCTTTTATAAGGGCCTCTTCCCCCTTTACTTGTACTTCTCTCTCCTGCCACCTTGTGAGGAAGGCACCTGCTTCGCCTTTGTCTTCTGCCATGATTGTAAGTTTCCTGAGGCCTCCCCAGCTATAGGGAACTGTGGGTCAATCAAGCCTCTTTCCTTTATAAATTACCCAGTCTCAGGGAAGTTCTTTATAGCAGCATGAGAATGGACTAATAAAGCAACAGATGCTAAAAAATGCAACTCAGCAGGGTAAGAAATAACACCTAACGTGCACCTCCCTTGCACCTCCTGCTTAACTTCTGCAGTTTCTTCTCAACTTAATAGCCATGCACTTTATATTAATAGCCAAAGATTTATATTTATTTTTGTAGAGACATGGTTTCACAATGTTGCTCAGGCTGGTTTCAAACTCTTGGGCTCAAGCTATCTTCCCACCTTGGCCCCCCAAAGTGTTGGGATTACAGGCGTGAGCCACCGCTCCTGGCAACCACACACCTTCTTGTTTCCTTTTGATCACAGCTGCTTCATATGCTTGAAACTGCTCAGTCAAGCCCCAGAACAGACTCCCCTCTTAGCATCTCCACCCACTGGTCAATCCTCAAAGATCCCTTGAGTCCAATTTACCAGCTACTTTACCCGCTTGCAACCCCATTGCTGAGGGCTTTGGCAGATTCCTGTCCTCGTGTCCTGCCCTGCCTGCCAACTCCCAACCAGTCCTCCCATCCAGCCTCCCCACCCTATGAAAATCCAGGCCAAGCCCGTTTCTGGGCTGAATCAACAAATTCAGAAATTCCATATCAAGTCCCCACAGCACTGGTCAGCAGAGCAGAATGATGAAAACTGCTGTCTCTTGTCAGGAGGTTCCGATGGGACTTCCCAAAGTGTGTTGCCTATTAGAACCATTTCTCAGTGTCCCTCAGACATTTTCTGTTACGTTGCCAATGAACACTTCAATTTTTTTTCCAACAAGAGTGAAAAAAACAGTTGAATTTTCATTTCCTATTTAACTTTTGATGAAAAAAAGAGCCCTGGAAATTTAACTATGGATAAAAATAACTTCAGTATCTTAAAGCCATTAAGTGAACATGAAAGGGCTCTTTGTGATCTCAGGGTATCTGAAACCTGGCATCTGCCACCATTCCTCTGTCCTCATCCAGAGGCAAGACATTCTGAATGAGGATTCCACGCTTAATGGCACCTTAAGAGTAAGTGCTCCCAGGTGCCCATCAAACCTGTCACTCTCAACAGCTGTTGCTAAGTGATGACTTGTCCCTCCACCCTCTGTTGCTTTTTGCATAAACAGGTTTGTAGAGTTGTGCCAGGAGAGTCTTCCAAGGCTGGGTGTGCTGTGCCCCCATCCATGCACACATCGAGTCACCCTCACCTGGCTTTGCTGTGCCCGTTCCAGCATTCCTCCTCGTTGGACGTGCCCGCTGTCACGCTCTCGTCCTTGCAGATAGTGTAGGGTAATGCTGACCAGACCTTTTTAGAGAGCTTCAATTTCTCTTTTATGTCTGTGACCTGATCAAGAAACCAAGGAAAGCAAGTGAGTATTCTGCTCAGGCTTTCCCCATTTCTACACAAGGACGTACGCAGGCGAGGGTTATAGAACCTGTGATATGACCAGCAGGAACTCTTTAACAGTTTTAAGAGAGAGACACTGCACTGCAGGGTTTATTGCCCGGGAAAGCCTCCTTTCCTCTCCCTCAGTCCTCCTCTAGACGAGAGTTCTCAGGTAATTGGCTTTTTGTTTTCCATCTTTTCTGTCCTTCAATCCTTTGAATTAAAAACTTACGAAGCATCACGCCTGGCTTCGGGTCCCTCTCCTGCTGAGAGTCCCTATTGTGAACACCCCAAGTATAGTCTCTAGAATTCATTTGCTTGCATGTCAGACAACTGTACCAAAACAAATGCACCAAGAGATAAATACTTTTCCCAATGGACTCCTTGTTTCTGCAAAAAATAAATATTGCCACTAATTCAGCTGCTGGTACTTATGCTCTAGTGCAAATGACAGGCCCTTAGAGCACACACATGGGTGGTAAGCAATAAACCAAACCCTCTTAAAAATCTCTAGAACTGAAAGAGAAGTCATTCTAAATACGGGTAAGTGTAAAATTCACAGCCCTGTGGATGGATGGCCAGGAAAAGCTTAGTGCCAGCATCTTAAGTGTCTTCAGGCTGAACACTGACTTTTCACTTGCAGAAAGGGTAGGAAGAGGAATTTAATTTCATTTTGGCTTCATAATGAACATTGGGAAAGTCCAGAGATGGCTGGAATGCATCTGTTATGAATTGAATTCTTTTCCTCCCCTTAACGTGTTAAATTCCTAACCCTTGGTACCTCAGAATGTGACTTTATTTTGAGATAGGGTCATGACAGAGCTAAAGAAGTTAAAGTGAAGTCATGTGGGTGGGCCCTCACTCAATATGATATGTGCTGATAAAAAGGGGAAATTTGAGCACACAGACACACACAGAGGAAAGAAAATATGAAGAGACACAGGAAGAAGATGCCCATTTACAAGCGAAGGAGAGAGGTCTAGAAGGGATCCTTTCCTCCTAGCCCTCAGAAGGACCCAACCCCGCCGACACCTTGATTTCAGACTTCCAGCCCCAGAACTGTGGGATAGTAAATGTCTGTTGTTTTAAGTAACTCAGTTTGTGGTACTTTGTTATGACGGCCTTAGCAAACGAATACAGACGTAAAAAAATGTTGAGTCAACATTTGATGGGGAATGGGATATTTACAGAATCTCAAAGTACCTAGTAACACAGATTATTTATTAATTACAAAAGGAAAACTAGTAATTTTACAGTGTGGAAACTTGGCAGGCTGCCACCTTCATCAAGTGATGAAGCAAGGGGACAAATTGGTCACTTGTTCCTCCTGATGTGATGTCCCAAGATGGACACATCACTTAGGCAGCCCCAAATTTATAATCTGAATCTAATCATGAGGACATATCAGACAAACCGAAACTCAGGGGCATTCTGAAAACCAGCTGGCCTCTACTCATCAAAAATGTCCATCATAAAAGACAAGAAAAAGCTGAAGAGTCCTTCCAGATGAAGAATAAGAGACATGATAGCCAAATGCAGCAGAGGGCTCTGGACTAAATGCTAGGTCAGAAGGATAATTGCCAATAAAAGACATTATTGTGATAGTGGGCAAAATTTGTATGCTGGCTCTCTATTAGATAATAGTATTATGTAGTGTTAAATTTCCTGGACATAAAATCATACTGTGGTAACACAGGAGAATACTGTACTCTTGGGAGACACACGCTAGAGGATTTAAAATGAAAGGGGTATAATTTCCACAACTTGCTCTACAACAGCTCAGTAATAATCAAGAATAACAATAAATATACAGATGTATAAAGAAAAAGAGAAAAGGTAAATGTGGCAACTTTTTAATATCCGGCAAAGCTAGATGAAGAGTATAAAATTTTTCAAAAAATGCAATTTTCAGTTAAGTTTGACTTTTTTTTCAAAGTAAAATGTGAAAATGTGAAAAACAATTTCTCACATTTTATTTGTTCTACGTAGTGTCCACTTTGGTGCCCTAACCTCCATTAAAGGCGTGCCCACAATAGGCCACTCATTCTTACTCTTTTCAAAACAATCCTCAGAGAAAGAAATACATGTTTTATATTTATATCTGGTTCAGAAAATGACCACGACCTTTAGGACTGAAATACTGTCAGGTTTATTCTGTCCCATAATAAAATAAACTAAGAATGAGCATTCTCTTTCTTCTGATTTTGTACTACAATCCTACCTCCACGTTATGGGAATCTAAACCAGATACACAGATTTTGAGACTCAGATAAAGAACAAAGTTGCATGCCGCCCCACAGGTGTCTCCTTTCAGTATGTGCAGAATTTAATGGTGGATGTTGCACTACTCATTCTTTAAATTATTCTCAAACGTTGTCTTCTTCGGGGTGCGTTCTTGGGTCCCCAGCTTAGATTTAGATTCAGCTTTCTGCGCTGCGCTATGCCCTCTTGATGATTCTAACTACTGATCACTCCAAACTCTAATAATTGGCTTATTTTTCTGATTCTCTTTTAGACAACATGCTTTTTGTTGGCAGAAATAGGGTTGTAATTTATCTTTATCCACAGTGTCCAGTATGGGTCAAGTGACTAATAGTCCTATTTGCCACAGCTTAGGGGATTCCAGGGTGACGAGTTTTCAGCACTAAAATGGGAACGTCCCAGGTAAACCAGGATTAGTTGGTCACACAGGTCTAAGCACACAGTACATGCTCAATAAATGTTGGTTAAGATAATGGATTGAATTGTCCCATTCTATTACAAGGTCATAGACTGTATGGTTAACACAAATTAGCTGGGGTCACAATACTGTGTGTTCATCGTCCCAAGAGGGGTGGGAGAAAACTGTGGGGTTGTATTTGGCTAAGTGAGGAGCCCGTCGCGATGATGGGGATGTGGGTTTTCTCTCATTGTTTACCCCAGCACATTTATAATCAGAGTGTGTTCCCTCTGGCATTTCAGTAGCTGTGCGTTTTCATTGTGCAGTTGAAGGAGATAACATCAAAGGAGCAGTGAGAAATGTAGATGCCGTTTTAACATTCTGCACGGAAACACTGGCCAATTCACCTGCAGACGGTGATGGTGAGGCAGACGGCTGAAAAAATGGACACTATTAGCCACTGGAAAAGAACATGCCTTTGATTCATTTATATCTGAATGATGGCAGTTTATTTTTCAATATCAGGAAGGCCTTTCAACTTGCACATCATTTAGAAATGTTTTTCTCATTTTATTTATTTATATTTCTGAATAATATATGTAACTGCTCTGCTGTAGCTCCGGACCTGAGGTTTTTGTTTTTTTGTTTTTTTGGTTTTTTTTCCTGGAAACTTAAGTGCACACAACTGTGAATTAAGCTTTATGTTAACAAACACTCTTAGTACAAATATATTACTGACAATGACAGTGAGCCCTAATTCATTAATAACACACCAGATGGGAACAAGGACTTGGGATAAAATACAAAATTTAGAACAATTTCCTTTCTCTGATTCCTGGATGAGCTATTCTAGGACAAATGAACTCTTACCAATACTTGTGAACAGTATTTACGATCGCTCCAATATTGTATTAGTAATGCTGTAATATTAGTAATCCCAGTAATATTTAAGTATTACTTTTTTCATCTATGCTATTGATAGATTCTGGAAGTTAAACAACAACTACTGTTATGTCTCTGGAAACTGATCCAAACATATACTGTTGGGGTCCATAGGAAAAACATGAGCCCTCTTTTAGGATTTATCTGGAGCTGATTCTGATTTCTGATAATTGCAACTTCTGATGTCAGTAGAGACAAACACTCTTAGTTTAAGACCTGTCAAAAGGACCATGAACACTTGACTCTATTAGGAAGAGAGGGCATCCTTCTCATACCTACCATTACAGTACTGTAAAATTAGACAAAAGAGGGAGGAAGGTGACAAGGTGGAATGATTGCTAAAAACAGAATAGCAAAGCCAATGACCAGAAAGAACTATCTAAGTACTCTTCTGTGACAAATTCACCTAAGAATTAATCTTGCTCCAAATATTTCACCTGAATCCCATCAAGTTTCTGACTTAAAAAAATCAGTTTACAGGAAATACTGGCAATAGAGGAAAAAACTAAGTAACACCATAAATAATCAGACACATCCAGTGATGAGATATTATTATTATTATTATTATTTTATTATTATACTTTAAGTTTTAGGGTACATGTGCACATTGTGCAGGTTAGTTACATATGTATACATGTGCCATGCTGGTGCACTGCACCCACTAACTCGTCATCTAGCATTAGGTATATCTCCCAATGCTATCCCTCACGTCTCCCCCCACCCCACAACAGTCCCCAGAGTGTGATGTTCCCCTTCCTTTGTCCATGTGTTCTCATTGTTCAATTCCCACTTATGAGTGAGAATATGCGGTGTTTGGTTTTTTGTTCTTGTGATAGTTTACTGAGAATGATGATTTCCAGTTTCATCCATGTCCCTACAAAGGACATGAACTCATCATTTTTTATGGCTGCATAGTATTCCATGGTGTATATGTGCCACAATTTCTTAATCCAGTCTATCATTGTTGGACATTTGGGTTGGTTCCAAGTCTTTGCTATTGTGAATAATGCCACAGTAAACATACGTGTGCATGTGTCTTTATAGCAGCATGATTTATAGTCCTTTGGGTATATACCCAGTAATGGGATGGCTGGGTCAAATGGTATTACCAGTTCTAGATCCCTGAGGAATCGCCACACTGACTTCCACAATGGTTGAACTAGTTTACAGTCCCACCAACAGTGTAAAAGTGTTCCTATTTCTCCACATCCTCTCCAGCACCTGTTGTTTCCTGACTTTTTAATGATTGCCATTCTAACTGCTGTGAGATGGTATCTCATTGTGGTTTTGATTTGCATTTCTCTGATGGCCAGTGATGATGAGCATTTTTTCATGTGTTTTTTGGCTGCATAAATGTCTTCTTTTGAGAAGTGTCTGTTCATGTCCTTTGCCCACTTTTTGATGGGGTTGTTTGTTTTTTTCTTGTAAATTTGTTTGAGTTCATTGTAGATTCTGGATATTAGCCCTTTGTCAGATGAGTAGGTTGCAAAAATTTTCTCCCATTTTGTAGGTTGCCTGTTCACTCTGATGGTAGTTTCTTTTGCTGTGCAGAAGCTCTTTAATTAGATCCCATTTGTCAATTGTGTCTTTTGTTGCCATTGCTTTTGGTGTTTTAGACATGAAGTCCTTGCCCATGCCTATGTCCTGAATGGTAATGCCTAGGTTTTCTTCTAGGGTTTTTATGGTTTTAGGTCTAATGTTTAAGTCTTTAATCCATCTTGAATTGATTTTTGTATAATGTGTAAGGAAGGGATCCAGTTTCAGCTTTCTACATATGGCTAGCCAGTTTTCCCAGCACCATTTATTAAATAGGGAATCCTTTCCCCATTGCTTGTTTTTCTCAGGTTTGTCAAAGATCAGATAGTTGTAGATATGCTGCGTTATTTCTGAGGGCTCTGTTCTGTTCCATTGATCTATATCTCTGTTTTGGTACCAGTACCATGCTGTTTTGGTTACTGTAGCCTTGTAGTATAGTTTGAAGTCAGGTAGTGTGATGTCTCCAGCTTTGTTCTTTTGGCTTAGGATTGTCTTGGCGATGCGGGCTCTTTTTTGGTTCCATATGAACTTTAAAGTAGTTTTTTCCAATTCTGTGAAGGAAGTCATTGGTAGCTTGATGGGGATGGCATTGAATCTGTAAATTACCTTGGGCAGTATGGCCATTTTCACGATATTGATTCTTCCTACCCATGAGCATGGAATGTTCTTCCATTTGTTTGTATCCTCTTTTATTTCCTTGAGCAGTGGTTTGTAGTTCTCCTTGAAGAGGTCCTTCATATCCCTTGTAAGTTGGATTCCTAGGTATTTAATTCTCTTTGAAGCAATTGTGAATGGGAGTTCACTCATGATTTGGCTCTCTGTTTGTCTGTTGTTGGTGTATAAGAATGCTTGTGATTTTTCTACATTGATTTTGTATCCTGAGACTTTGCTGAAGTTGCTTATCAGCTTAAGGAGATTTTGGGCTGAGACAATGGGGTTTTCCAGATATATAATCATGTCGTCTGCAAACAGGGACAATTTGACTTCCTCTTTTCCTAATTGAATACCCTTTATTTCCTTCTCCTGCCTAATTGCCCTGGCCAGAACTTCCAACACTATGTTGAATAGGAGTGGTGAGAGAGGGCATCCCTGTCTTGTGCCAGTTTTCAAAGGGAATGCTTCCAGTTTTTGCCCATTCAGTATGATATTGGCTGTGGGTTTGTCATAGATAGCTCTTATTATTTTGAAATACGTCCCATCAATACCTAATTTATTGAGAGTTTTTAGCATGAAGGGTTGTTGAATTTTGTCAAAGGCTTTTTCTGCATCTATTGAGATAATCATGTGGTTTTTGTCTTTGGCTCTGTTTATATGCTGGATTACATTTATTGATTTGCGTATATTGAACCAGCCTTGCATCCCAGGGATGAAGCCCACTTGATCATGGTGGATAAGCTTTTTGATGTGCTGCTGGATTCATTTTGCCAGTATTTTATTGAGGATTTTTGCATCAATGTTCATCAAGGATATTGGTCTAAAATTCTCTTTTTTTGTTGTGTCTCTGCCTGGCTTTGGTATCAGAATGATGCTGGCCTCATAAAATGAGTTAGGGAGGATTCCCTCTTTTTCTATTGATTGGAATAGTTTCAGAAGGAATGGTACCAGTTCCTCCTTGTACCTCTGGTAGAATTCGGCTGTGAATCCATCTGGTTCTGGACTCTTTTTGGTTGGTAAGCTATTGATTATTGCCACAATTTCAGATCCTGTTATTGGTCTATTCAGAGATTCAATTTCTTCCTGGTTTAGTCTTGGGAGAGTGTATGTGTCAAGGAATTTATCCATTTCTTCTAGATTTTCTAGTTTATTTGCATAGAGGTGTTTGTAGTATTCTCTGATGGTAGTTTGTATTTCTGTGGGATCGGTGGTGATATCCCCCTTATTTTTTTATTGTGTCTACTTGATTCTTCTCTCTTTTTTTCTTTATTAGTCTTGCTAGAAGTCTATCAATTTTGTTGATCCTTTCAAAAAACCAGCTCCTGGATTCATTAATTTTTTGTGTCTCTATTTCCTTCAGTTCTGCTCTGATTTTAGTTATTTCTTGCCTTCTGCTAGCTTTTGAATGTGTTTGCTCTTGCTTTTCTAGTTCTTTTAATTGTGATGTTAGGGTGTCAATTTTGGATCTTTCCTGCTGTCTCTTGTGGGCATTTAGTGCTATAAATTTCCTTCTACACACTGCTTTGAATGCGTCCCAGAGATTCTGGTATGTTGTGTCTTTGTTCTCGTTGGTTTCAAAGAACATCTTTATTTCTGCCTTCATTTCGTTATGTACCCAGTAGTCATTCAGGAGCAGGTTGTTCAGTTTCCATGTAGTTGAGCAGTTTTGAGTGAGATTCTTAATCCTGAGTTCTAGTTTGATTGCACTGTGGTCTGAGAGATAGTTTGTTATAATTTCTGTTCTTTTACATTTGCTGAGGAGAGCTTTACTTCCAAGTATGTGGTCAATTTTGGAATAGGTGTGGTGTGGTGCTGAAAAAAATGTATATTCTGTTGATTTGGGGTGGAGAGTTCTGTAGATGTCTATTAGGTCCGCTTGGTGCAGAGCTGAGTTCAATTCCTGGGTTTCCTTGTTGACTTTCTGTCTCGTTGAACTGTCTAATGTTGACAGTGGGGTGTTAAAGTCTCCCATTATTAATGTGTGGGAGTCTAAGTCTCTTTGTAGGTCACTCAGGACTTGCTTTATGAATCTTGGTGCTCCTGTATTGGGTGCATATATATTTAGGACAGTTAGCTCTTCTTGTTGAATTGATCCCTTTACCATTATGTAATGGCCTTGTCTCTTTTGATCTTTGTTGGTTTAAAGTCTGTTTTATCAGAGACTAGGATTGCAACCCCTGCCTTTTTTTGTTTTCCATTTGCTTGGTAGATCTTCCTCCATCCTTTTATTTTGAGCCTATGTGGGTCTCTGCACGTGAGATGGGTTTCCTGAATACAGCACACTGATGGGTCTTGACTCTTCATCCAATTTGCCAGTCTGTGTCTTTTAATTGGAGCATTTAGTCCATTTACATTTAAAGTTAATATTGTTATGTGTGAATTTGATCCTGTCATTATGATGTTAGCTGGTGATTTTGCTCGTTAGTTGATGCAGTTTCTTCCTAGTCTCGATGGTCTTTACACTTTGGCATGATTTTGCAGTGGCTGGTATCGGTTGTTCCTTTCCATGTTTAGCGCTTCCTTCAGGAGCTCTTTTAGGGCAGGACTGGTGGTGACAAAATCTCTCAGCATTTGCTTGTCTGTAAAGTATTTTATTTCTCCTTCACTTATGAAGCTTAGTTTGGCTGGATATGAAATTCTGGGTTGAAAATTCTTTTGTTTAAGAATGTTGAATATTGGCCCCCACTCTCTTCTGGCTTGTAGGGTTTCTGCCGAGAGATCCGCTGTTAGTCTGATGGGCTTCCCTTTGAGGGTAACCCGACCTTTCTCTCTGGCTGCCCTTAACATTTTTTCCTTCATTTCAAATTTGGTGAATCTGACAATTATGTGTCTTGAAGTTCCTCTTCTCGAGGAGTATCTTTGTGGCGTTCTCTGTATTTCCTGAATGTGAATGTTGGCCTGCCTTGCTAGATTGGGGAAGTTCTCCTGGATAATATCCTGCAGAGTGTTTTCCAACTTGGTTCCATTCTCCCCATCACTTTCAGGTACGCCAATCAGACGTAGATTTGGTCTTTTCACATAGTCCCATATTTCTTGGAGGCTTTGATCATTTCTTTTTATTCTTTTTTCTCTAAACTTCCGTTCTCGCTTCATTTAATTCATTTCATCTTCCATTGCTGATACGCTTTCTTCCAATTGATCTCATCGGCTCCTGAGGCTTCTGCATTTTTCACGTAGTTCTCGAGCCTTGGTTTTCAGCTCCATCAGCTCCTTTAAGCACTTCTCTGTATTGGTTATTCTAGTTATACATTCTTCTAAATTTTTTTCAAAGTTTTCAACTTCTTTGCCTTTGGTTTGAATGTCCTCCCGTAGCTCAGAGTAATTTGATCGTCTGAAGCCTTCTTCTCTCAGCTCGTCAAAGTCATTCTCCATCCAGCTTTGTTCCATTGCTGGTGAGGAACTGCGTTCCTTTGGAGGAGGAGAGGCGCTCTGCTTTTTAGAGTTTCCAGTTTTTCTGTTCTGTTTTTTCTCCATTTTTGTGGTTTTATCTACTTTTGGTCTTTGATGATGGTGATGTACAGATGGGGTTTTGGTGTGGATGTCCTTTCTGTTTTTTAGTTTTCCTTCTAACAGATAGGACCCTCAGCTGCAGGTCTGTTGGAATACCCTGCCGTGTGAGGTGTCAGTGTGCTCCTGCTGGGGGGTGCCTCCCAGTTAGGCTGCTTGGGGGTCAGGGGTCAGGGACCCACTTGAGGAGGCAGTCTGCCCATTCTCAGATCTCCAGCTGCCTGCTGGGAGAACCACTGCTCTCTTCAAAGCTGTCAGACAGGGACATTTAAGTCTGCAGAGGTTACTGCTGTCTTTTTGTTTGTTTGTGCCCTGCCCCCAGAGGTGGAGCCTACAGAGGCAGGCAGGCCTCCTTGAGCTGTGGTGGGCTCCACCCAGTTCGAGCTTCCAGGCTGCTTTGTTTACCTAATCAAGCCTGGGCAATGGCGGGCGCCCCTCCCCCAGCCTCGCTGCCGCCTTGCAGTTTGATCTCAGACTGCTGTGCTAGCAATCAGCGAGACTCCGTGGGCGTAGGACCCTCCGAGCCAGGTGCGGGATATACTCTCGTGGTGCGCCGTTTTTTAAGCCCGTCGGAAAAGTGCAGTATTCGGGTGGGAGTGACCCGATTTTCCAGGTGCCGTCAGTCACCCCTTTCTTTGACTCGGAAAGGGAACTCCCTGACCCCTTGCGCTTCCCAAGTGAGGCAATGCCTCGCCCTGCTTCGGCTCGCGCACGGTGCGCGCACCCACTGACCTGCGCCCACTGTCTGGCACTCCCTAGTGAGATGAACCTGGTACCTCAGTTGGAAATGCAGAAATCACCCGTCTTCTGCGTCACTCACGCTGGGAGCTGTAGACTGGAGCTGTTCCTATTCGGCCATCTTGGCTCCTCCCCCCAGTGATGAGATATTATATGAGACAACTGGCCTTAATGCTTCAAAAGAGGGCAAGTGAAAGAAGAAAGCAAGAAAGTAAGCAAGCAAGAAAGAAACAAAGAGAAGGAAAAAAGAGAAAGGAAGGAAGGAGGGAGGGAAGGAAAGAAGGAAGAGAAAGGAAGGAAGGAAGAGAAACTGACTCCTGGATTTGGAGGTAGGGACCCAGCTGTAAGTAAGAACTTTGATAATTTTGAATGTTGAATAAATAGTAGTTGATATTATTGAATAAGTGCTAATTTTCTTAAGTGTGATCATGATGTTGTGGCTGTATAGGAGACTGTCCTTGCTTTTAGGAGATTCACGCTGAGATACTTAGGGATAATGTGTCACTGCATCTTTTACTTACTTGAAAATAGCAAAATAGTCAACCATTATTGAATCTGTATGGGGGTTATATGGATGTTCATTTTACTATTTTTTTCCCCACCATTTCAGTATTGAAAAAGTTAAAAATAATGAAAAGTTGGGAAAGAGACAAGACTTTGTTGTCAGGGCACATGGCAACTGCTGGGTTCAGCAGAGGGCAGTAATTGACTCAAAGAAATGGGGATTAACTGTGAGCTTTCACTGAGCTGAGGCCCTCACGTGCATTCGATCTTCACAACTCTGACGGTGCTAAAATATTATCATTACACCCTTATACAAAAAGGAAACAGGCCTTAGAAAGGCTAAAAAACTTGCCACACATCTAGTAAATGGTGGAGATGAGATTCAAATTCAAATGCAGATGCTGGAATCATTACTCTTAACCACTAGGCTTACTATGGCCATAGTTGATAACTATGGTTTTTGAAGTGTGTGTGTTGGGTTGGTGACAGGAGTGTGTGTGCATCTCTGGGGGTGTGCAAGAGATTCAATGTGATTCAGGATTAGAATTCCTATTTCTATCTTTATAAAAATACAAGAGGAATTAAGCTTTCCTAATATTTAATCTAGAGATTGATATTTCAATCAGTCCGTACAGGGATCGCCATTTCTCAATTATCTTAGGGACAGAGTAAGACTTTCATAGTGGGGAGGGGCAGCATTGGCACCTCCACCACCATTAACTTGCTGCTGGTGTATTGATCCAGCATATGTACTGGCTAAGGCATTTATGGATTAGATTAATTAGTTTTAACTAACTCATTCAATGGAATAGGACTTAAATAGCTTTTGAAAAGAAACTTTGGATTTCTTTCATTTCAAACAAAGCAAGCACAAGTAAACAATATAATGGCAGGCATCATATTCCTCTTATTCTTGATACATCTGGAACATTACAAAATAGAAATAAAAAAGAATATCTTTTTCTCATCTTTCAAAAGTTTCTGTTTTTATGTAAATTTCATGAGGTACTGAATGTGTTAATTCAGTAGTGCTTATGTTACAATTTATGTATAAATATTTATAGGTACTCTGGTTGTTTATCATTCGGAATATTTTGCTGATAGAGGTGCAAGACCAAAAATGTTTGCAGATCGCCAGTCTATAGCACAGGGACTCATACCATATATTTTAAATCAGTGACTTAGCAAGTAAAAATTCAATAACATTCAACGAAATCGATTTAATGAGACAAGAAAATGTAGTACAGTTCAGAAAAAGTTCCAAAACATTGGTTAAATAAGAAAAAAGGCTTTTGTGGCTAGTATTCCTTCATTAAACACTTCTAACGTGCCTTTTATAAGACAGGTTTTATAGTAGACTCTGGGAATGCAAAATATGACTTGTACACAGTCTCTATCCTTGAAGGGTTTGTAGCACTGCCTAGTAGGGGTAACAGACAAGGAACAAACATTATAGTCCTAGCTAAGCAAAGGGCTATGGGAGCACATATTAATTTGTCTGGAAATTCCCTCCCTGGGAACACCACCATATTCCTTCTCAAGCAAATAAGGCTTCGCTGCTATTTGTTCTTTTGTGGTTGCTGAACTCTTGTCATGGGAAAGATTAGGAAGCAGAATAATTAATAAGTTTCACCCAGGGATCAAAAACAAAAATAATGCATTACAGCCTCCCAAGTTTTAGCCTCCAAGAACAGGATGATTTTGTCCATGTAGAAGCCATGGCTTTTAGCCACCACTCTAATCTTCAGCTACTCATTTGCTAAAGAACAGCTGTACTTCTTGGCTCCCAGGGAATAACTGCTCCACAGCCAGAGACTCAGTAAACAGAGCTTTGTGTGTACCAGTGCTTCATAAATATTTGTCAAATGAATAAATACACGAACAGCATTGCTGATGATCTGCTAAGGGAAGTAAGATTTCAAAAATGATTGATTACCTGCCAGCGACTTCTTTCCAAATGTAACTTTAGAGAGTAAAGGAGGCATGGACAAATTCATTCAGGCTTTTAGGGAAAAAAAACCCCAAAAAACAAAAAAACACCAAAACTCATTTTCCTTGACCCGATTACCCCCAGAGCAAGAGAGAGAGAGAGATCTCAGATGATCCCCCCAATCTTCTAATTAGGATTCCAGACTACTATTGTCTTAAATGTCATTCCAGTTGTAATTTACACAGGTAAGATGGACACCTGGGGGACCTCAAAAACCTTGGCTTAAGGAAAAAGCATGAGAAATTAATTAAAAATGGAATAAATCCCATCTTAAAGGGTCTTTGCAATCCTCATAAACACATTCCAACACCTTCCCTTTGGTTTTCTAAGGAGGTGACCTGTTGAATTCTGAGTTGTGTTTGTGAACTCCATTATTGCTTTTGTATCCCATGTGAATTCTCTGATGAGACATATTTGACTTTCTCCTTCAGCCCATGGCTGTCTACCTACCCACAGGAGGCCCCAAGTCCATCTACCCTGGACCCTTTATTTCCTCTGGATCTTTCCTGAGTAGTCACTGTGAGAAGGCCACCTGCCATTTTCCCTCAATCATCTCTGGACGCAAATCCACCTCACTGGCTACCTGTTGTGTGCATCTGGCCCAATACCCTATTTGTTCCTGACTTCAGAAAGATTCCAATGTGTCCATTTCATCACTATGAAAATATAATGTGACCAGATGTAAATAATATATACCATATCTTTAGAAAAATATGATGAATATTTAAAGGGCTACACTCTAAATAATAAATATTGAAGGAAAAAAACCAATGTGAATATTTTATAGGCTGGAGGTCATTTGTAAGCTTTGGAAAACAATCTGTTTAAAGACATGAAGGCAGGCTGGTTTTTGCTCAGGGACAAGGCCGTTTTACTTGGTCAAGTTAAGGGAAAGTCACCATACACAAAACAATTTTTGCAACCTAAGAATTTAATATAATCCAGTTTTGGAGACAGTGACCTCATCCAGCTTTACTCTAGAGAAGAATGGTCTTTTCTGACAGCACCAAATCATTTGATTCACTGTGTGAGCCTGCATCAGAATTCAAGTCATGCATACTCCTTCAGCAACCAAACAAGGTCTGTGAATGTACCTGTTCACAGCTTCTCTCACTCCCTCGGGAAACACATGCACTCTGGAGGAGAGTATTTAAAGTTCCTAAGTCTCAGGTAGAATATTTTTTTTTTCTGACATGGCCAAATATCTATAAACACAATCTCCCTCCCTCGTATTCTTAGAGGATGTAATCCATATCTTCTGATAATGGCTTTTAGCACTGTCTTCACTAGAATATCAGTTTTCCCTTTATTCTGTGTTTATGAAACTCTTTGGTGTCATTTTTCATGTCTCAGATTGGCCCCTCTGTAATGTAATGTTTGGGTAGGTTTTGTAATGCTTGGTGGAGAAATTGCTTGTACTAATAACATGTTTTCTTTCAGGAAACTTCTAAATAAGTCTTGGGGATGATAGCAGGGTTCTGTTGAATGCAGTTTGTCAGTGAATCTAAAGCCGACTTTGACCATATGTTACACCCAGCATTTTACAGAGCCCTCAAGACACTATTCAACCTAAAACCACTCCAACATTTTGGGCTCTATCATATGTTCCCAGGGAGTTCAATGATAATTTCTAGTCTGTTTCCACATGACATATATTTTCGCGGTGGTGTGGTACTTTTTTTTTTTTTTTTTTTGAGACAGAGTCTTGCTCTGTCACCAGGCTGGAGTGCAGTGGTGCGATCTCGGCTCACTGCAACCCCCGCCTCCTGGGTTCAAGCGATTCTCCTGCTTCAGCTTCCCGAGTAGCTGGGACTACAGACGTGTGTCACCATGCCCAGCTAATTTTTGTATTTTTAGTAGAGATGGGGTTTCACCATGTTGGCCAGGATGGTCTTGATCTTTTGACCTCATGATCCGCCCGCCTCAGCCTCCCAAAGTGCTGGGATTACAGGTGTGAGCCATGGTGCCCGGCCGGTACTTTTAACATTACTCCCAAGTTGACAAACACATGTTTTGTAGGAAAGACTAAGAAGGATATAAATAAAAATTTTAAAAAAGTAGGAAGTGAATCTTTGAAGGTTTGAAAACACAATGCTTAGTTTTGTTGAGTTTCGTAGGGAATTGAGAATGTGTTGAAAAGTTCAGTCTGAATAATCCTGTCTGGTTTTAGGCTTGGAGTTTCTTGGATAGCTGATCACACCATATTAAGGGCATGCATGCCCCTGAAAAGATAGATGGGGTCCTTTTCAGGCAAAATCCTGGTCCTCAAATTGGGATAAATGTGGGAGACATCAGAAATATCTTCCTACTGCTGTTCAGGTTAGATTTTTGCAGCAGATTTTAAGAAAACAACAACAAACTTTCAAATCTTCATGTTTGTACCTGATGTTCTGATTGTGCCTCATTCCCTATGGCATTAAGTGCAGTAGGCATCCTATACGTCCTTGAGAGATGACACAGTCTGACATTGAACTAATATCTATTGAATTCAATAGTGAAAAGAAAAACACAAGAAGTCATTTGTTCTTTGGGAATCCAGACCAAGTCAAAGTATTGCTTTGCAGCAAGGTACCTCAAATGTGGCACTATTTACTTTTCAAGACTGAGAAATAGCAATGATTTAAAGGAGTAGTTTTATTGCTGAATTATGGAATTTAAAGGCTTAGCAGAGCTCTCACAGTCAGTCCAACGCTTCTAGAGCATTCTTGACAGGCTCATTTAGACTCTATTTAAATGTTTCTAATGACAGATATCAATGAAGGAGGACTTGGGATTTGTTGCTTTGACCTAAGCCAAGTCATCTCCCCTCGCTAGGCAGTTCTGGGTCTTTATGAACAGGGCTTGAGCACATAGCAGAAACACATTCTTATTCTTCCTCCTCTCTTGGCATTGAGACTGAGCCCTCAACTTTTCTCTCTTGCCTGGCTTTGTTCCTTTGCAAGCTCTACCTGGTTTCAAATTGTGAGTGGATTCTGTTTTTCTCTGCCTAGCCCCTGGTAAATGCTCCTTTTGATTCGCTGCTGACCAAAGGTCTGTCCCATCTGCTCTCTCGCTCTCTGCTTTGGAGAACAGCTCTATTCTCCTTGGTGGCTAACTTCGGCCTCTATCTTTTCTCAGGCATTATTTTTGCTGTATAGAGGCAGAAATCCCCAAGGAACTTGCCATGATTTAGAGCATGGATTGTGACAAGTGCTGATTCTAAATTAGGTCATTAGATATGCGGTCTTCATAATGCTGGATTGGAAGATCTCAAGTGCGCTTTCAAAAGAAGAGAATGAATTCAGTATTTCTAGCAGTTATATAAGGCACCTTGAAGCATTTTGGATATTTTATTTTAAACCTGACCTCTGCTCCTACCATCATCTATTCTATCATCATTATGGAATGAAACCTTTTGGAAGTTCTTTGTGGTTTGAAAGGCAAATTTCCCCCATATTTCCTCAATTTCCTGATATAGCTAACAAGATGATGCTAGTGGCATAGGATTGACCCCTTTGTATAGGACTAACCTGGAAATTAGCCCTGATTTGGAAAACTGCCAGAGACCACTCCAATATTTAATAGCTCAATTTTGCCAATGTGAGAAAAAGTTTAATGTTTGAACATTTAGTTTTGCTGAAAAATTCAGATTCTTTGCCAACTCTTACTTCAAATGTACAACCCCTTCACAGGGCCTTTGATGATACTTAGGAAACTCATAGAGAATTTCCATCTCTATTTCTACCTGTGATTGGCATACCACAGTGATTCAGTTAAGCTCATAGCTACCTGAAGTTACTCTGAAAATATTGAAATTTCATCTTCAGGGAATGAAATCCAGGACAAGTAAGTCTGCTAATTAAAAAAGGGGGAGGAGGCATTGCAAAGCATTTCACTTCAAGTTTAGGCATTCCTGAATATTTTAGAATTCGTTATTTAATTCCAACAGTTTGGTGGCTTTATTCTTCCACACCGAAGCTGAGAAATAGATGTGTATTCTGGTCTGTTTCTCTGAAGCCTACAGACATTTGGAACTTACCAGGAAACAAGAAACACCTTTTGCTCACCCAAGAGTGGTGTCACTGAGCATGATATCTTACTTATCTTACGTAAGATATTGCAAACATGATTCCATCCAACAGTGAGAGTACCCACAAGGATGTACACACATTGGAAAAGTAATTTAGATGCAGCATAGGAAAATATTCAGCAACTAGTAGGTGGAAATCAGATTTATCTAAATTCTAAAGCCATTTAGGGTAGAGACGGATTGCCATAAATCTTTTATGGAATAGGCAGCCAAAAGCATATAAATGTCTTTTGGGCATATATGATTTGATTTGTACTTAACTATGTAGACTTGCATTGTGTGGTGCATAATAAATGCTACTTTTACATTTCTTGTGTTATATTTATGCTATAATGCAATGATCTGCCTTTTTTCTTCCTGGGTTTAACTGGGAACTGGTTCGAGTTCAAATACCAAAGATTTTAGCCTAAGGGAATTCTAGGAACAATAGGATGAGATACTAATAAATATGTCTAAGAATG
The DNA here is from genome assembly GCF_000001405.40 of Homo sapiens. Taxonomy (NCBI): domain Eukaryota; kingdom Metazoa; phylum Chordata; class Mammalia; order Primates; family Hominidae; genus Homo; species Homo sapiens. The sequence goes on along the minus strand of NC_000013.11, from coordinate 94,365,311 downwards.
TAAACCACAGCACCCAAGGCTGTCTATGAACTCTTACTCAAATGTAAAGTCTACACATTGGAGAGAAGAGTATGATTTAGCTGAAAGTCTTTCTATGGGTTTCAACTAGGACCTCCCCAGAATATGTGCTCACAGAGATCCGTTTGGTTTTACCTACCATAAAGATTTGCCTATTCATCATGGTTGTGGGCCTCCCTCCCAGCTGCAGGTGACATAGGGGCAGGGCCTCTGTCCTTTGTGCTCACCACCTCCTAGCAGATGTGTGTCCCATCTCCTAGCACAATGCCTGGTTTTTGGTTGTATTCAATAATAGCGAATGAATAAATGAACAATCGGCAGAGTAGGCAGAAGGGCAAGTTCAAATTCTGGGTCTTCAAATGAAATTGTAAATGACATGTAAATTCGACATGCCCTTATTTGCAAAATAAGTTTACTGCCATAGGGAGGGGCATCTTCCTTGTAAGCTTCCCTATATTATAGATAATTGGTTGCTTAGGGTCTGTTTATGGATAGTCACTCCAACTAAACACCCCCACCCCCACACACAGCTGCACACAGGCAGGCACACACACTTGATTCGTATCTACAATGTACTGGGCCTTTTTAAGGTCCTGGGCATACAGTGATTTAAGGGACGTGGTCCTGCCTTCAATTAACCACCCAGTGGAGGAAAGATGATATATACACATAAACGAGCATTAAAAATGGCTCACACATTTAAGGGTTGTAGGGTGTGAGAAGTAAAATCAATATTTTACAATAAGGGAGAAAGAAAGTTCATACATTGCTAGGGCACTTGGAACTGGAAGTACTTAATGAGTACAAATGTCACCATGGGGACATATGGCATTGGGGGACTAAACTGTATTCTTTCTTGCAAATCAAGTTCTTACCCCGGTGAGGTAAATTACCTGTTCCTGAGAGCCATCTGGTTACCTTAAAGATCCAATTTACCCCATGGGGCACCAACCAGGGAGTACGATTTACTCTGCTTATGATTAGACCCAGGTGACATAATTTTGCTTGACTTTCACCTTTGCATCATAAGCATCCAATAACCTAAATGGGTCCTCTTAGTCTCCTACAAGCTGCAGAAGTGTCATAGGCAGCCCACTTTAGCTCCAGTGAGAGAGAAAACAACTTGTAAAATAGCAAAATGGCCATCCTGTTCGAAGAAGCAATGAGAGCCTGAAGGCAGCAATATCCAGTAGAAACATCATGTAAGCCACAAAGGAGCTACAGGTGTAATTTTAAATTTTCTAGTTGCCACATTTTAAAAAAAGTAAGTTGAAGCTAACTTCAATGTTATGTTTTGTTTAACACAACTTATTCAAAACATTGTTTCAATACATAGTGAACACGAAACATTTAAATGAGATATTGTATATTCTTTATTATTTTCTGGTACTAAGTCTTTAAAGCCTAGTTTGTATTTTATACTTACAGTCCATCTCAGTTCATTCCACCGGACATCTCCATTGCTCAATAGTCACACATTGTTAATGGCTGCCATGTTAGATGGCACAGGTTTCAAAATCTGTTGTGGGTTTTTCGCTTAGAGCTCATCTCAGTTCTGTCTACAGCACATCCCTAGTGGTCAATAGCCATGTATGGCTGGTGGCTACCATATTGAGGGCATGGTCTAAGGTCCTTCCTAAGCACGTCAGGAGAGGGGGCCAGTTGCTACTGAGAGGGGTTGAGCATGGTTCCTAGGCTAGGGGTTGTTGTCTGAATGAACTAAAGGTGGGCTATTAGCTCAACATTAGAGAGTTCAGTATCTTCTTCTGAACTTTTTGAGTAGGTTGCATTTCAAATCAACAGAACTCATTTTTCTCTGACCTCACTCTCCTGCCCCTGCTCCATACCCCCAGTCAACTGTCCGAAGTACAGCAGGAAAGAACTGAATCGAAGTTAGGTTACAGTAGAAGTCTGTTTGAATCCAGCCTATGTCTAGAATTGCTTCAGTTTATATAAATGGGAACATGTTCCATCCAGCTTTGTGACAGCCATCAAAATTTTGCCTATGAACAGCTTTTTTTGGTTTGCATTTATTTATTTTTACTGAAGTTTAATAATCATCCAGAAAAGTAAACAAATCATATATCATCAGTTTGATGAATTTCTCACAAGATACTCATGCAATAAAACACCAGATATGTGGTGGTTTTAATAAAGGAAAATATTTTTTAAAGTTTTCGTTGAATCTAACGAGAACACATGGACACGGGAAGGGCAACATCACACACCAGGGCCTGTCGGGGGGTGGGGGCAAGGGGAAGGAGAGCATTAGGACAAATACGTAATGCATGTGGGGCTTAAAACGTAGATGATGGGCTGATAGGTGCAGCAAACCACCATGGCACATGTATACCTATGTACCAAACCTGCACGTTCTGCACATGTATCCCAGAACTTAAAGTAAAATAAAGTTTTTGTTGAATCTAATTCTTTTCACAAGATTTCATTCTCTTGAAAATTAATTTTCTCAAATCATGGATATGCAGGGATTAAAGATTACCAAAGAGCAGAGTTTATTATTGATTTACTGTAACTTTGAGATTATAAATTGCATCTAGGCTCTGGGCATGTACCTACATTTTAAAGGCAAAAGGCTATCAAAAAGTCGAACAGTGACTTGCTTAAAGCAGGCTGACGTCACCCTCTTTTCCTTCAAGATGGTCCAGCCTCGTCTCCAGGCATTTAGAGGCCACCTTCATTATAACCACCAGATGGCAGTGTTGTCCAGTCTTTGTCCACCTTTCACCCCCTTACCAGTCTTATCCCCGAGAATAAAACTGTAGATTGTTCCACTGCATATAAAACTGACAACCCTGTTATTTTAAACTTGAAACTGACAGGCTGTTATTTTAATGAGGTCTACCAGAGCCAAGGTTAACCAAAGCTTTATTTCCCTACAAAATGTTAAGGCCATAGTTCTAAAAGGGGGCTGTGAAATTTTATGTTATTGATACTTTTTCTGACTGTACAAGTTTTAAGATAGATATTTTCTGACAAGTAAAGCTACATGATGAATATAGACATATGTTTATGTATAATAGCCAAATTCTACATTACAATTGCTTCAAATTTCCCCCGATAGGTCCTTTTACTCTAAGTTAAACTCCCCCTGACACAAAATTCTTTGTATCCATTTCAGCCTATGTTGAAGCAAAAGTATGTATTTTTAGCACTTTGACTTTCCAGCTTAATGAGTCAAAGAAAAATTTAAAGCTTATTTCAGTCTCATTAATATTCCAAAATGAAATCAAGTGTAGTATTTAATTCTGTATTTCTATGAAATAAGCTTAGATCCAGAACAGTAAAACTTAGAAAGGATTTTTTATAATAGGTACTTCTACAATGTGTGATGGTTAATGGCATTACCATTTATTTCCTTTCCCTTGAAATGTCTTTTTATGTTGATCAAGGAAGGATTTAAAGTCAGTTACTAACTGTGCCAATATTAAAAACATTAGAAACCACCTTTCCCAAGTGATTTTGCTAACATTTTTTGCACCCTTTAATCTGTTCCAAACAACAATTTTAAACATTTAACCAACCTTCCTGTCTGAATTTATGAAGTACATCCTGCAAATACTCAATCCATTTCTACATTTACAAGATTTACTTGGAACGATTATTGTCACCATTGATTCTTGTTATTGGCCAAAGGCCTGTCCACAAAAGGACTTTATAAGCTCAGGAGGAGCCTGGATTTCCGAAAGTGGGCATTGAATAAATGATTTTCATGTTCAGTTATTATTAATTAGTGGCAATGCCCATTCACTTCAAGAAACATCTAATGCAAACCTACTGTGTATAAAGAACTGTGCCTGGAAGACAAAGTTTATAAAACCAAGTTAGAAACAGTCCCTGTCCTCAGGATCAGCTACGTAATTTGTAGAGCCCAGTGCAAAATGAAAATGCAGGGTTCCCTGTTTAAATATTATTAGGAATTTGAACGTGGCAACTACAGAGTGTCAGGTACTTCTAAACACTGGGCCTTGTGCAACTATGCAGGTAGTATCCCATGAAGCCTGCTTGTCTTCAAGAAGCTATGATCTAGTTGGGTTTTCTTGACCTGTACAACAAGGAGTGAGACAGGTGTTGATAAAAATTATGATAACAACAGTGATGGCTACCATACCTATTGGACACTCAGCAACCAAATCCATAATTGCCTCCAATTTGTAAAAAATGTTGAAAGGTAGCTGTTGATGTCTCAACTTTACAGATGCAATAACTGAGAATTGCATTTCTATGGTGACCTTTTTGTTTAGTGAGATGTCATCAAATCCTCACTAAGTGGCTGGCCCCATGCTACACCCATCACTCCTATCTTATTGTTTAATCACCACAACCTCACAAGAACAGTGAACACACTGAGGCAGTGAAGAGTGAAGTCTCTTGGCCTTGATCACATAGCACAAGTAGTAGGGCCTGGTTTTGAGCCTTGGCAGTGGGGGCCCAGAGCCTGCAGTCTCAAATTAACCATTACAACAGAACTGGTGAACTGGAGAGTGTGAATGCATTTGAAAAGCCCTGTGCCTATTGGTAGGTCTCACTCATTTCAAAAAAGATGGAAAATATATTTGGGGGGAGGAGGATAGCACTCTGGAAATCTTGGTACTCTTCCCTGAATTATCAGTCCATGCTAATGTTCTAGACCTTCTCCAACATCATTGTGATTCTAGCAGCCCTACAAACAATTTCCTAATTCTTGGCCTTTTTTTTAACGCCACTATGGTTTGAGTAGCCTTTCCTAATTTTCTAAACCATTTCTAACAATGCCTATGTCTAGAACCCTCCAAACAAATACAAGACTATACATTTTTCAAGATAACATTTTAAATCAGCCCATCTTCCTTTAGGAGGTCCAAAGACAGATGAATCAAATGCTATTTGCCCAATTATGCTTCTGGTTATGTATAACAGTGGATTATACTGTCCCTGAATCAATCAATCAATCAATCATCTATCATCGATCAGTCATCTATCATCTGTCTTAACTATCAGCGGAAATAATAATTTTCAGGTGGTGCTAAGAACATTCTAGATGCACAATACCATAAAACTTATGCCATTTCTCTAACAGGCAAGTGTGAAAAAATGAAAGTCCTAAAAACTCCTCCTGGCTTTAAAATGGAAAAAGAGTTCCCCTTCTGGATTTTTTATTCATAAAACAGCACAGACCAACTCCTCCCCTGGGTTTCCATGACAAAGGGAGAGTTTTCCCATAGGGCTGCATATGTAGGCTGGAAAGCCAGCCCTACATATTTAATGGTCTGTATCTAACAACATTGCATTAGAAATCCTCTCCTTGAGACTATTTCTCTTATGAAATGAAAAGTAGTAAAGAAAACAAAATTTTCACCACCCTGCCATAGGAACCCATGGGGACTTGAAAGGGCTTTGCATTTTCCTATTACATTGTACTTGGGAATAAGGTTGAGAAGCCAGACAGTAAATCTGATTCAACCAAATCCAAAGCGCTTGGAGGAATCACCTTTTTATTGCAGATAAGTATAAAAACAGTACTGGAAGCACACTGGAATCTGAAAGATCAAACGCCAGGGGCTTTCTGTTAATAGATTTGGTAGCTAAGCAGTGGTATTTAGAAAATAGCCTTTATCTCTTCAAAAAAAAAAAGGTCTCAGCAAAAGGAGCTCTGAATGTAAATAATTAGAATGATTTGTGTCAAGTTAGCCTCAATATTAGGTTGCTTTTCTATTACTTCTTTGACGAGCCTTATGTTTTATTCCTGATGCACTGGAAAGTCATAGTATAATGATCATGCTGGCATGTGAGGTTACACTGTGAGTCTTTCTGAACAGAATGGAACCCTAACCTCTCAATTTTTCCCCTAGATTAATAAATATAAAATTCACTGATATTATTTTTTGTATTTTTCTCATTAGAAGCTACTTCTGAATTTTTATACTATGCCATGGTGATCCATAAATGACAAATTCCAATATGCTTCATGCTCTTTATTATTCTTTTTAGTATAATTAAAGGAAAGTTAAACAGTCTTTTGAAAATAGTTTTCATTTTATTTCTTCAAATTATTTCCTATGTGGAAAACCGACCTTCTTTTTCAAGCCAAATCACAAATATTTAAAAAAGGCCTAGTGCATTTTCAATTTGCTTCTTTTGTCCTCAAAAAGGTAAGAGGGTTTCTCAATGTTTTTTCCAAAGATAACTGAAAGTGGGGTGTTATTTATCCAAGTGCCTAAATGAGATATACCAGTAAGTTCCCCTTCTCCATTATTTATATGGTCGAGAGGAAAGGACAAACTTCAGAGGAGCTAGAACTTTTGTCCAGAACTTGATTTTACTTTTTTTGGTCCAAAAAGGTGACTCCACAACAAGAAGAGACACTTAGAAATCTCTTTCGCTTGACATTTTAAAAACAGTTTTTTTCTGAAAACAAAGCCATTAGAACAGGCTTTCCTAAAACATGATGAAAAAGAGGATTTCAGGAAAAACATGCTGAGTATCCTAGAAAATCATGGAAACTCTGTAGTCATCTTTACAAGGAAAAGAGCTTTTCCCTGATCAAAAATGGTTAAGGCATAGGTGGTCCTGGGGTCACCATGCCAAGGTGTTCACACAATGTGCTCTCAGTACAGACACAGGTACTAGACCTGCAGTCTGGAGATTCGCACTCTTAACTTGTATCCCCAACTCATCCTGATACACGGGAAATCTGAAAACTCAGACCCATGGGGTTAAAGAGTAGACAGTGTGATCTCTCCAGGGCAAGCTCAACCCTGTGACTTCAACTTTGTTTTCTTTCTCTGAAAGGTCTTTTAATTTTCAGATTTAGTCTAGCTTTTTATATCCATCTTTTCACTTCTTCTAAGCCTATAGGTCAGGTTCTCATGACCAATGAATCTGATTGCAGTAATTAAAAAAAATCTGTCTTTATTTTCTTTACTTAGTTTTTTGAATATGTAGTACTGCTGCCATAACTTAATTCATGGTCCTTTTTCTTTTTTTCCTTTTTCTTTTTTTTTTTTTTTGACGGAGTCTTGCTCTGTCGCCTAGGCTGGAGTGCGGTGGCACTATCTCAGCTCACTGCAACCTCTGCTTCCGGGTTCAAGTGATTCTCCTGTCTCAGCCTCCTGAGTAGCTGGAACTACAGGTGCATGCCACCACACCAGGCTAATTTTTGTATTTTTAGTAGAGATGGGGTTTCACCATACTGGTCAGGCTGGTCTCGAACTCCTGATGTCAGGTAATTCACCCTCCTCGGCTTCCCAAAGTGCCATGGTCCTTTCTCTTAAAGACCAATGGCAATGGCTGTATCGCTGCATGTGTTCATGCATTCAGTCAACAAACATTCATTAAGGGTTTTCTCTGTGCAAGATACCGCATTAGGCATTGGGGCTACAAAGATGAAAAGACATCGGTTCTACTTTCAAGGAGCTTTCTCTTCTGTGGAGGTATAGACATAAAAACAGACAGTAGTACAACGTGATGTCAACATTGACAAGAACTGAGTTGAGAAGAATGAAAGCTGAGTGTAGAGTATGTATTTTCAAGAGCAGAAACCAGTGACCCAAAGTTAATTAAACTGAGATCAAATGGGAAAAGGTAAGGGCACTTACACCACAGTAAAGGGGATAGGGCATAACAGGTTAACTCAGGACCAGTGAAAATAGACACATGGTGGTGGTACCTTAGGGCTGTGACCACTTAATGAGAAAACCAATCAATTTCTAGGGAGGGTTCAAGGAGCGAGGGAGGCATTCTCAAGGCCTGGGTACCATCAGTTGGCCAAGAGTGCCGCAGAATTGTGTGTTCACGCTGTATCTTACAGGCGATGCATGCAGCTTCTGATGGATAAGTATTACCCGCGGAGCATCAGATGGTCCAGAGGTACAGAGTAGGGGTCCTGGGTCTGCCAAGTAGGGGCTCTAGGGAGAAGCTCCCACAGGGGTCTCTCTGTCTCTCTGAGCTGATCTTGAAGAGTGAGCTGGTGTTGGGGCTCCCAATCAGATGGAGCCCATGTTGAAAGGCTCATGTGGACCAAACCCACTAAGGGTTTGGAAAGTAGTTAGTTTGGTGCAACTGAAAGGCAAAGTGCATATGTTGGAGAGGCAGGAGTTGGGGCCAGAGAAGTGGGCCAGGAGATCCTACAGGGTTTTATAGTCTACTGTGAGCAGTTTAGTATTTTTTCTGGAGAATCATTGAAGGGTGCTAGAACAGCCCAGGTGGGGTCCAGAAGGATACACAGGTATGGCGCTGGGAAAGCCAGGTGGGGTGGGCAATGGTCCAGATTGATGACAGGGGACAGACGAGTGGTGTCTTGTTCACATCTATCAATCATGGATTCTTAACTGGCAACTCCATGACACATTTTCCATTTTAAATGCATTATTTCATTTTTACCTTTTCTTTTTTTGAGACAGGGTCTCACTCTGTTGTTCAGGCCAGAGTCCAGTGGTGCAATCCTAGCTCACTGCAGCTTTGAACTCCCGGGCTCAAACAACCCTCCCGCCTCAACCTTCCAAGTAGCTTGGATTACAGATGCATGCCACCATGCCCAGCTACATTTTTCATTTTAATTAGGCTCTACTTCTCACAGAGCCCTATTTCCCTTTCCACGTGCTCCCTGCCAGCTCAAGCCTTTGCTTATGTTACTTGCCAGAAGTAACTTCCTTCACCAGGAGTGATGGCTCTTCTCTTAGCCTATCCACAGCTGCTTCATCCTTTCAGGCAGATCATGCAGATAAAGTAAATTAGAGAAGCGAGCTGAGTTTGTTTGTTCATTCATCAAACATCTACTCTTTTTCAGGTACTCTCCTAGGTACCAGGGATGAAGTAGTGAACAAAAGAGGGCAAAAACCCCTTCCTTTATGGAGCCTACATTTGCATTACAAGATTCCAACAACAAATGAAATAAACCAGTAAAATATATAGCATTGTGGAAGAGAGTGTGGTGATTCCTCAAAGACCTAGAACCAGAAATGCCATTTGACTCAGCAATCCCATTACTGGGTATACACCCAAAGGAATATAAATCATCCGGTTATAAAGACACATGCACGCGTATGTTCATTACAGCACTATTTACAATAGCAAAGACATGGAATCAACCTAAATGCCCATCAAGGATAGACTGGATAAAGAAAATATGGTACATGTACAGCATGGAATACTATGCAGCCAGACAAAGGAACAAGATCATGTCCTTTGCAGGGACATGGATGGAGCTGCAGGGACATGTCCTTTGCAGGGACATGGATGGAGCTAACACAGGAACAGAAAACCAAACAGCATTTTCTCACTTATAAGTGGGAGCTGAACAATAAAAATACATGGACACATGGAGGGGAACAATACACACTGGGGCCTGTTGTGGGGGCAGGGGGAGGGAGAGCATCAGGATAAATAGCTAATGCATGCGGGGTTTAATACCTAGGTGATGGGTTCATAGGTGCAGCAAACCACTATGGCACACGTTTACCTATGTAACAAACCTGCATGTCCTGCGCATGTATCCCAGAACTTAAAATTAAGTTAAAAAAAGAATTATACAATAAAAATATACATGGCATGTGCTAAAGTGAAAACTAAAGTGGAGGGGGGGACTGGAAGCATGTGTGGAGGTGGATGCTCATGGAAGGCCTCACTGAGAAGGTAGCAACTGATAATGTAGGGAAGCAATTTCTGTTCTTTTCATAGACACATTTAGATTGATATTAATAGCATACAATTTCATCATTTCATTTCCTCATTCATTTTCACAAGAGATAGTCTCACACTTTTCCCTTGAAACATGACTCCCTCATGGACTACTTTTGCATTTTTACACTTTCAGTACGATGTGTATGGGGATTATTTTCTCTTCCAGAAGAAAGCAATAGTGCATGCATGAAAATAAAAGGTAACTGACACTTGGCCTTGGTTGGGAAGAAGACTGAGAGGGTGGAACATGGTGCAACCCTGGAGGACGATGGCCGAAGAAAGAGAAGAGCCACGGCCGGGCGCCGTGGCTCACCCCTGTAATCCCAGCACTTTGGGAGGCCGACGCGGGAGGATCATTTGAGGTCAGGAGTTTGAGACCAGCCTGACCAAATGGTGAAACCCTGTCTCTACTAAAAATACAAAAATTAGCCAGGTGTGGTGGTGGGTGCCTGTAATCCCAGCTACTTGGGGGGCTGAGGCAGGAGAATAGCTTCAATCTGGGAGGCAGAGGTTGGAGTGAGTTGAGAACATACCACTGGACTCCAGCCTGGGCAACAAGAGTGAGACTCTGTCTCAAAAAAAAAAAAAGAAGAGCCACTGGCCTTGGCATCATGCCACATGGACACAGGAGCCAGGAGAGGTAGAGTTTGTTTTACAATAGAAATATATGGATTTGAACATGGAATCTCCTGGTTTTAAAATTCTCTCTCCACTTCCATCCTTGTCTTCATCATGATCATCATCACCGTCATCCCCACCACCATCATCATCACAGCATGGGCTGAATGAAACACATCTGTATAGATAGATTAACACTGATGGCTGACAATTTGTAAGCTCTGCCTTGCAGCTTGGTTTAAGAGCAGTCTCAGGTCTGAAGCCTTCTCAGATAATGCCAATTCATCTTGCTGTCTGCATTCTTTTCATTTTGCACTCATTTGCATATCGATTCATTCAGCATTTGCCTAGAGCTTACCGAATAGCAGGGACTGTGCTGAGGGCATGCTCATGATGAGAACACACCTTCCAGAACCTTTAGTTGAATTCTTCGGCTATTTTTTGTGCTACACATAGCATTGGAAAGTGTTGGAGCTGGAAGGCACTCCTGAAAGTGAAATTTATTTTGATCATCCTATCACACAAATAAGCACTTTATTTTATCAGTATCTCATGCATTTGGTTTGTTTCTTGTTTCATTTGGATATAGATTATCTCTATAAAACATCTTGATGCCCCTGGGAAAGAATGGTATCTTGTTTTTTTTTTTGTATCTTTTTTGACAGTGAGCTGAGTGTTGAACACATGGTAGACACTCAATAGATATTCTTTCAGTTGACTGCTGGATTATGGAGAGAGCCCCATAATTTTCAGAAAAAATCTTACATAAAGACTGATGTGGAGTCCATCAGAACTTATTCATTCCTTGGAGAGCAGAAGTTTGACTAGATGAGCATGTGGGAAAAGAACAGAATATGTTATTCTGTACAAGATGCCTCCGAAGCTAAGCATCTGTAAGAGGAAATGTTCATTGTTGCAAAGAACCATGATGTTGTCTTTATCAAGCACATGTAGCCATGGGTGCAAATTCATTGTGCATGTTATTATATGACCACAGTGTTTGCACAATTAAAAAGGAAAGAAAGCATATTTTATGCTACTCTAGATTTGCATTTTTTTTTCTTCAGTATCACTGGATTCGTGGCATGAGTTGGATAAAGTTCTGAGTACCACTTTTTGGAAGAGTCAGCAAGCTGACACCTTGGTTATTGCTCTCTCTCCACAACTTCTTAATTATTGAAGCAAGAATGGCAGAGTTAAAGCTTTAGTTCCGTAATTTAATAAATACTAATCAACAGCCCAAGAAATTTAATTAGCTCTGTCAGGTGACTGGATGAAATTTTCAGCATTGAAGCTTTCCAGAATTTTAATTTTCAGTATGTGTGATCACTATTCCAATTTGAAGGGGTAAGTGCTATTTTACTGAATCTGAAATGGTGCCATTTAAAGAGGAATGTGTGTGTGTGTGTATATATATATATATGCTCCTCGCACACGACTTTCACTCTTTTTTCTCAGGAAAGTGTTAATTAGTGGAGAGGCCTCTTTACGCTGAACAAACAGGCTTTCTGCTGACCTAGATCCAGATTGTTTTGTTTTATTTTCTCTCCCAAATCCCCAAATGAGGTGCAGCATCTCATTTTCATGAGGAACTGGGGAGGAGAGAGGATAAAGCAATCTCATGTCACATCAAACACTCATGATTTGTTTAAACATTGAATTCTAAAAAAATTAGGTTTTGGATTAAATGATGAAATGGGTTTCCAGGCAGTAAATGCAAAGCCGCACTCATTTTTGCTTGTCGGTGGTCTTGAACTTCGATGCCATGCACAGTGTGTTCCCATTGCTGGGTGGTTCAGCAGAAGAAAGTCGCGCTCTGTGATGGAAGGTGACCCACAGGGGCAAACTCATGTCTCCCTCCCTTCCTTGTAAGTCGTATCTACTTCTTTTTCTCTCCTTAGCACTGAGGAAGGAAGGGAATCCCTCCCTGACACACGTTACTGTCAGTTATATCTCTTGGTGCACTGCAGAGACCACCTCTGCATGAGCTGTAAAGTGACTTTAGACCAAGAGAAAAGCACTTGTGTTTTCCTTAGCTAAAGGACATACAGTTCTCCAGATACTAAGCAGATTCCACCAGTAGCCACTTCTCTGTAGACATTTTTACATACAGGTGAATGCCCCAGTAGCTAAGCCACCTTGAAGGTTGCCCCACCATGGAAGAATAAAGACATAATTCTGGTCTATCTTGAGTTAGTGGGCTAGATCAGTTGGGTCTTAGAATGAAACTGACAGCACAAGTCAACTTGGGCAATAATTAAGGATAGTTCAATAAGGTACTTGATATACAGGTGACAGCAGAGTGTAGAAAAGCCATAAGGAATAGGGCAGAACCTGAGGTGAGTAACATGGAGCAAAGTTACCACCCTAAGGCCTGAAGGACTGAAGTATGGGGGAGGGAAAGAGCTCTGGACTAGCCAGCAGAGGGGAATTGTGACCTTCCGTTGAGGTGCTCAGCTAGTCTGAAGCAACCTCACAGTGAGGAAGCCCCGAGAATGAATGTTGGGGCCTCACTCTCCTCTAGGAGCTCCTACAGTGCCTCCCAATGGCCAAGGTTAACTGGAGTCAGCAGACATGGGGGCCCAGGGATGTAATTCATATCCTCAGCCCTCCAGCAATGGGCAGGCTGGAGAAGAGAGGAGAGTGGACTAGCAGGGGCACAGAGAAGACATGCAGCCCCATGAGGTTGTAGCATTTGGGGTTAAGGTGGGGTGAGCCTGGGATCCTGGAAGAGAGCCCAGTCCCACTCTCACCAGCCCTGTTCCCACACTGCCTTCTTCCTGCACTGACTTGAGTTGCTCCACCAGGCTCACGCAGACCTAAGACCTGGTTGGCCTCAGCTCACACCATTCTTTCTGTGCCTCACTGCTTTATACAGAGGCGAGCACACATCTCTTTCCAGGAGCTTCGTTAACACAGACAGAGAGAGGAGTGGGTAGAACATGTGAAAAAGCATTTCCAGGACTCTGGTTTCCTGCTTCTTCGTTCTATTTTCTTTTATTTTTTTTCTTTTTCTTTTTTTTTTTTTTTTTTTTGCCTTCTTCTCTCTCCTCTCCTTGCCCTTTGTTCTCTATTTCTAAGCCTTCCTGATTGGTGTGGTTTAATTACCAGTCTGCCCTTGCCTCCTTGAAGTCATCTGGAATGTCTCTGAGACATCACTGCTGACTCAAACCCATAAGGGAAATTCAGGAGTATATGCTCCGAGGATCCAATTCCCTTAAGTAACAGCCTCTTTCTGTTTCATGTCTAGTTAATTTGTTTAAATCCGAGACAGAAGGAGTTAGGGTGGGGGGTTAAGGTCATAGAAGGCAGATCAGATCCATGACATAGCCACAGATTTGCATTTCTCCAGAGCTGTGGGTAATTAGCAGATCTTCCCATCAAGGCAAAGGATGATTACTGCTCAGCTTAGTTTATGAGAATAAGGAAGTAGGCTTCTCAGAGAAGATTGTGGTTGAGTGAATCTGAGGTGCAATCACAGACCCCGATGTGTCATCTCATCTCTGTGGAGGCCTCCGTTATTCAAGTTCTTTCCTATTGCTTTGTTTTTCCACAAAAGGCTCTGGTACACTAGAAAACCAGTCTCTTTCAGAATCAGCATGGTGTAGGGGCAGCTTTATAAATTACTACCTCATGGGGACTCACTCTAGGCATACTTTGCTTTCAGAAATTCTCATTAGGCAGGAGAGTGTAGAGGGATCACCGTGGTTCTCTGTCCCCAGGTGGTGTTTTTTGTAAGCTTGGGGAAAAATTGCCACCGATATACACTTTTCCTCATGACTTTTTATTTTTACGAGGTTCCTTCTCCTCAGTTTCTTTTGGCTTTGACTGGATGCTGCTAACCTTTTTATTTAGGAATCTTTTCAGTATTGCTTTCAAGGCTCAGGAAGTTTAGTATAGCTGAGACTTTATTCCCCCAGGTCCTGGGTATTTTCTTACCCACTCATCTAAAATCTTCCCCTTCCCCTACCCAGTAATTAATTTTTGAAAATCAAAGTCTATAAACTTCAGAGATTCAGGGCAGCGTCATCCCTGGCCAACCTGAGAAAGCCAAGTTTGTTGGTGGAAGTCCTCTCCCAATGCCAATTTCCTTTACTGTGCCTCTCTTTCCCTCTCACCCCCTCATGTTCTACTGAGATATCAGATATTCCCACTGTGCTCTCTAGCTTCTCAGAACTGACTGGGAGGATGCCCTAATGCCATCTGTGTGCCCCAGACCTTCCTTTCCAGGGCCTCATCTTTCACAAAAGGGAATTTGCTTTTCATTCTGCACACAGCTGGAAGATGGATAGATTACTCTTTCCAGGGAACATATTTGCATATATAATATGATACATACACACATATTATGAGTATCATATTATATATATTCATATCTCATGTATTTATGTATGTATTTAACAATGCCTTCTGGAGATAATACTATACTCAAAAGAGAATTCTGTTTTCTCATTGTGGGTACCACAATGGGCAACCAAGAGAGATGTCTGGGGTCAGATGAGTCCCTTAAAATTGTCCTATATGCTGTGGCTGCTGCTTTGTATATTCCTATGACTAAGTCTGAAATTGAAATATTCTCCAGCACAGTAGTTTTGACCCTTGGGTGCATATTGGAATCATCTGAGCAGCTTTAAACATACTGATGCCTAAGTCTGGACCACAGAGACTCTGATGAAGTTAGTCCACCTGGGGTGCAGACTGAGCACTGAGATTTTTCGAAACTCTCCAAGTGATTCTAATATGTGACCAAGATTGAAAAACTCTGCCTTGGCAATTGGCTCTGACAGGAAGGACTTCCACTGACAGGGGCACGATGGGATGCAATCATCAGGCTGTATGAAGTTGGAGAGAGCCTATTTCAAAGATACCAAAGATGAAAGGTTTACACACACACTGCACACATAAACACACACACACACACAAAAGATATATATATATGTATATATATATATTTTTTCTTTGCACATCTTCCGAGAGTAGGATTTTGTGCTCAGCATTGAGGAATCAAAGAAGTACAATTCCATCATCCCAGTCAACAAACTCGAATTGTTGGGAACATCTTCCCTTGGATTTCGGGAAATTTTGTTCGTCACCGACTGGGTTAGATAAACATAGTCTTAACACCTAGTGGAGGTAAAGACAGATAGATACATAGTTAAGAATCACCCGAGACTGTGTGGCAAAGGGCATGTGACACAGTTACAAAGGAAATGCCATGGAAGTGGTTACTTATGGCAGAGGAAGCTTTCTTGGATGAGGTGGCTTTTGAGTTGAACCTTAAGGAACTGTTGCATTTTGACAGTTGGAGAATTAGGAGAGGACTTCTAGGTTGACCAAAGGCAAGCAGCCTTCAAAGAGCAGGGCCATTTGGAGACTAGCACATGTTTGCTCAGACACAGTAGAAATAGGGGATAGTGTGTGAGGATGGGAAGCTGGAAAAGTCAGTGGAGGATAGATTATAGAGACATTGAACTTGATGCTATGAAGGTGGGGTTTAATTCCACAGGCAATGTGGATCCATCTATCTTTGTAAGTCCATAAGTGCTGTGATGAGATGGATGTTTCTGGAGAATGATAACTTCAGGGTTGGTGTCAAAAAAAGTTGGAGATGAAGAAGCTGAAACCAAAAGGGATGAGTAGGGAGTAGGGAGACAAGTGCCATCACTGGAACCAGAGAGGATGGCCACATTTCTAGGACAGTGGCAAGAGAAATGGGAAAGAAGGGAGTGCTCATGTAGGAGAGGCATTTCTGTGGCGGCACAGATAGAAATTTATAACACAACAGATGGTTGTGGAAGGTAAGTTAGAAGGTGAAATTGGTGATGACCCTGCAGTTTCTACCTTGGGTGGTTGAGCCTCCAGAAGTGCACAGCTTTTAAGTTGTAGGTGACTGGGGCTTTTCGAGGTTCCACAGGTTTCAGACAAGCATCATGAAAACACGTCTGCTCCATTCATCACTATGTGCCTGGTCCATCGTAGGCACATGTATTTGTTAAAACAAACAGGTATTTGTAAAATAAATAAATGCAACTCTCTGAGAAGGGAGTACCTGAGACTGAACAAGTTTTCTGAGGAGGAAGATAGGGTGTTTCGTTTTTGCTCTGTTGAATTTGGATTCTAATAAGGCAGCAGGTGGTTGGAATTGCAAATCTGAGATTTAAGGGAAAGGCCAGGAGTGAACATGATGAGATTGTCCTCAAGGGGCTAAACATTTAATCAGGGATTCAAGATGTATGCATGAGAAAGTAGCTAAAGATAAAATTAGCAGTGTCAGAGGGTGGTCCAGCCACTGTGTGCTATAGGAGTTCAGAGGAGGAAGCATTTGTGATACAGAAAGCCCCATCCTAGACCACTTCAAGGAGTAGCTACTAAGGCAGGGTTTCTAAGGATGAATATGAAAATCTAGGAAGAAAGGGAAGAAATTCCAGGTTGAAGGAAGAATGTGAACAAAGATATAGGAACAGGAATACATAGGGGAGTTTCCTAGATCCTTCCCACTCGAGGAAACTAGCAGCATTGGCCTTATCTGGGAGTTTGTCAGAAAGGCAAAATCTCGGTCCTCACCTCAGGCCTCCTGAACTAGCACCTACATTTGAACAAGATCTTCAGGTGATTTGCAAAAACTCTGACTTTGGAGAAGTGCTGGTCTAGAAGATCACATTAGTTGTAGTGAAATACTTGTGTCACAAAGTATGTTATGCAGGGGAAGGTAGTGGGGACAGGTGAATGGCAAAAGGTCAATGCCATATACTGTGACATTACTCCATAAGAGTATATGTTCCATAAGAGGATATTGTACCATATACTCTTTTAGAAAGCTCATTTTGGTAGAAGTGTAGGAGAATCCTAAGGCCCTTATAGGCTAAAAGAAACCCATTCAACCAACCAGTCGGGCAGGGGAAGTTAGAAATTAGGACGATGTCTAACTCCAGGCTATATTTTATGATGCAGTAATGTCCTTCATGGCACTTGGCAATGACTGGAATCAGATGAACGGCTGCATAGAACCTGATCAACCTGGGCAGTGACGGGAGATAGATGCTGTCCGCATGCTTTTCGTAACATCTGCCTCTCGCACATCGGGTACCCACCCGCTTTGGTGAACAACTGAACCATTTAACGGGCCTCTTCAGGTTTCACCCAAACTATCCCAAACATGGTTGTTATGCAAGGAAGTAGCTTGATTAAATGTGGAGTATATTTCCACTGCAGTTTTTTGTGTAGCTTTATTTAAAAGAAGTCCTCATCCAAATCTCTACATTTATGTTTGATAACAAGGTACCTTTTCATCACTTTTGAATAAATCATAGTGAGTAAGGAAAACAAAAGGAAAGACCTTACTTCCAATGGCCTCATTCATATTCCTAAATTATTTTAAAAAATCATATTACATTATGTCAAATCAATTTCTGTCTATAGGTGATTTAAAAAATACTAGTGGATTCATTTTCATCTCAAAGAAAAATTCAATTTCTGTTTTAGTATGAAATTATTAGTCATGATATTTGGCTGGGTAACTTCTGAAAGGAAATTATGCTGACCAAAAATCTGTCTGTCAAGTATATCATACTCCATCAAAGCACATAGTCCTGAAAAGTTATATTTGAAAACTAGGGGAGCTTTCAGGACAGTTGTTTCATTTTGATCATCTTTCCTACAAGAAGTTGCAGAGGTTTTGGACTTTGTCACTTAATTTATTTCCAATCAAAAATCAGCAGGACTCCCAAAAGACCATTTTGGGTATGAGAAGAACATGATCTGGGTGGTTCAGAAGAACCATCCTGGATATGGGAAGAACAAGAGACCATGATCAACACTACAGTTCAGATAGCAGTGTTCAGGAACTCTCGAATCGTGCATCTGAAATGCTCAAATATAACATCACCCCCAGTTCCTTGAGCTCACCTCCAACGAACAAAATGACATGTAAACAAACTAGGTATTGAAGAAGAAAAAAGGAAAATTATACTCATGATGCTTCTTTCTGTTCACCCCTGTTAGTATTATGCTATGGGTGGAAAGGCTGCTGTGGAAAATAATGAACTAGATGAAAGTGTAGGATGTTGAGCAGTGAGAGACAAAGCTTACAGTCATCTCTGGAAGTGTCACTCTCTTTACTTCTTACTTGCCAGGTAAGCTCTCTTCATTTTTGTTTTCATGCTTAGTCTCATCCCTCCTTCACTCTCCCATCAAGACCTCCCCCTGTCTCCATGGTGTCCTACCTCCCACGCCAAAGGGTGACATAGGTATTGCAGTGAATTTTTTTTTTTTTTTTTTTGAGAGGAGTCTTGCTCTGTTGCCCGGGCCGGAGTGCAGTAGCATGATCTCGGCTCACTGCAACCTCCGCCTCCCAGGTTCAAGCAATTCCCTGCCTCAGCCTTCCGCATACCTGGGATTACAGGTGCCCGCCACTACGCCCAGCTATTTTTTTTGTATTTTTAGTAGAGACGGGTTTTATCATGTTGGCCAGGCTGGTCTCAAACTCCTGACCTTGTGATTCACCCACCTGGGCCTCCCAATGTGGTGGGATTAGAGGCGTGAGCCACCGTGCCCGGCCAGTGATTCTTGTTAGAAGTGAAACTTCAGAACATCCATCCACATGAGTGGAACATCATGAAGCAAGATGCTGGTTCCTATCAGAGGAATCTTACATAGCGCAGCATTCAACATGTAATGAGATTAAGAACTCACACTCCCCCCATCCTCAACAGTCTGCAAATTCATAAATGCCTGTTATGGGTTGAATTATGTTTCCTAAAACATTACCTGGAAGTCTTAATCCCAGGAACCTCAGTATGGAAGGTGAGAAATAACGTCTTTGCAGAGGTAATTAGTTAAGATGGGCTCATACCAGAATAAAGTGGGATCTTAACCCAATATGACTGGTGTCCTTATAAGACAAGACCACAGACACAGACATGCAGGGAAATGCCATGTGATGAGGAAGGCAGAGGCTCAAGTGCTACAGCTGCAAGCCAAGGATTTTCCAGGGTTGTTGGGAAATCCACTAGAAGCTTAGAGAAGCTTCTAGTTCTAGAAGTTTCACTAGAAGCTTAGAGAAGGCCTGAAATAGACTCTCCCCTAGATCCTTCAGGGGGCGCATGCTTCTGCTGCTACCTTAATTTCAGACGTCTAGGCTTCAGAACTGAGACAATACATTTCTCTTGTATTAAGCCACTCCGTTTGTGGTACTTTGTTGTAGCAATCCTAGGAAGCTACAGTGCTCTTTAGCAAAAATAATAATGATACCAACAATAACAACAACCTGTCGCATATGTCCAGGAGCCAGCCCTGACAGGTGGATGTTCTCAAGAGAGCTGAACAGCTTTCCTACACTGTACCTCTTGATTCCCAGAGCTGGGTCTGCCTGAGCCTCTAGCAAACTTAGACCCACGTGTTTTTCATTAAGCATGTAGATGGCACTATGCCCCTTTTAGAGAAGGATCGTAACTCTGCAATGGGCATGTTCTTTCATGTTCATGTTCTTAGATCTGAGGAGCCCTAAATAAAAGTAGATGAACAGGACATTCTCTGCCATGCACTAGTAACGATTTGGTAAATTGAATCATATTTTAAGTACTCAGAGGGAGCTTGCTATTTAAATTCTTTTGCAAAGTAAGTATGACTTTTTCTTTTCCCCCCCAAAATCAGATTTTTGGATCTCAGTTTTCTTAAAGTAGGGAGCACAGCCCTGTATTAGATACTATTACAGGGCAAGATATATATATAAAACTTGGTGTCAGGTTAAGAAAGACAGAAAAATATTGACCTGCAGGTGTCTTCTGAGACATTATAGTCTGACAAATTTGAAATAATTCGACTAAGTGCTTTTTGCTAGCAGATTTTAAATTGAGAAACAGGGTGAATTTTATTATCTGCTTCAAACGTTTGAGATTCTATAAATATAGACCAGTTAATAGACTTGTTTTATAAATGTAATAATAGTAGTGGTAATTTAAGAATATTTTATTTTCATATCCCAGTCCCACTTGACTGCTAGGAGCCCATATTTTTCCAAAAAAGGAAATTTCTTGGAATGTTCTGAGAGCTTAGGATAAAACAGGAACAACTTTAATTCAACAAAGAGAAAAGCCAAAGCAGAGGAATTTACAGTTAATTCATGGATTAATCCAGAATATATTGAATAAGTACCATGGGCTTCCACTAGTAGAATCTTTTCAAGTGTAATTTTTATCCTTATAGAGACAGAGTTGCCTATTAGTGACAAAGCATATCGACAAAGAAAGGGTTAAATAGTTGCAGATAGTGTCAGTGTCCAAATACTAAAAATAGTGTGCAAACAATAAATGCTCGGTGTTAGCGGGGGCTGGAGATACTCCTGGGAAGGGATTCGGTCTGTTGCTCTGATATTCTCTGCAGACATGTCCTTGACTCATTTCGGGGCAATGACCAGTCACGAAGAGTAAAATTATCAGTCATGAAGCTTCAGGATGCTTTTGCATGCACATATGTGCAAAAAAGCATTTATGAGTGCGGCAAACTCAAATTTCCAGATTCTGGGGAAAGAAAAGTCTGTGAATTGAAAATCATCCCTCCTGTGAGACTAAGACTGCTTCGTGGAGATTGTTGTTTCATTTCAAGCTCATGTGGAAGACTCCTTCCTTGGTTCCAAGGGGCTTTTCCTTCCTAATTCATTGTTAATTCAAACCTGAATGTTCACATTCTCCCCTTAACAAAACATTCTTTACATTTCTAAAGGTTCACACAGGGCAGGGCCTAGGAGGCATGGGAGGCATTTGCTTATGTGATAAATAAAATATCAAAATTTTCCATAAAGATAAGATCAATATTGTTGATTTTTTTCTTTTTGCCTCTGAGCCCATTTTAGTCCTGGGTTCACAAATTATTGGTTGTGAGAACACCGTCAATAAACATTAGCCCTGTGTTTAAAACATCCTTAATTCTTTTCTGAGGAGGAAAAGTTTTTAGTTAAAATAATAATGATGGGCCAGGCACAGTGACTCACACCTGTAATCCCAAAACTTTGGGAGGCTGAGGCGGGAGGCTCACTTGAGCCCAGGAGTTCGACACCAGCCTGGGCAACATAGTGAGACCTGGTCTCTACAAAAAATACAAAAATTAGCTGGGCCTGATGACACACGTCTGTAGTCCCAGGTACTCAGGAGGCTGAGGTGGGAGGATCACCTGAGCCTGGGGAAGTTGAGGCTGCAGTGAGCTGTGATTGCACCACTGAACTCCAGGCTGGGCCACAGAGCAAGATCCTGCCTCAAAAAAAAAGTTAACAACAATAACAAGTTTTAAACAAGCTCTCAAAGTTGATTCATTCCCTTATTCTTCAACAAATATATTTCCTGTGCCTCTGTTGTGTCCTGAGCCCCTTGTAACACATGCGAGACCACTTCATAAGCCTTAATAATCCTAGCCTTAATTTTCTATTTTCCCTATTTCATGCTCTTCGACTTTCATTTTCTTATTCCCAGTTTTGGTCCTGGAGGATGCTGACGTGAAAGGAACAGCATGAGTCTTATGCACTCAGTTCTTTTTCTGTCCCTGTATCTGGATTACCCTACTTAGTAAGCTAAACAACCTCGTGCTGATTCAGAGCCAAAGGAGGGATCAGCCCCATGAAATGAGAGGCCGTGTGCTTTTGTGCGGAGGCAAAGGCTGCGGGCTTCATTAGAGATGGCTGTGAAGGAATCCATGTAGCCGGTGTCACTTATGATGCAGCAGGCTCTCCTGGCAAAAGGAGAGTCATTTATAGTTCAGGGCTTCTCCTGGTGGGTTAAATACCGTAAATCCTTATGAGTAATGCCAGAGCCATAGAATCAATAAAAACCAAAATGACCTTCACTCAGCCTGCCCTCGAAGTGGATGATCCCGGAGTGATAGACACCTCGTTGCTACATGGGGGAAATGTAATCTGGCAAAAATGACAAGGATCACTTCTGTGTTACTTTATTCTCTGCCTTTCTCACTTTTAATCAGTTCTGGCAGGGCATGAGATTTTCAGATATGTTTTCCAGTTTAATTTGTGAAAAACCTCATACTTCAGGGTGACATTGGCCATCCAGTGAATCAGGAAATCCCTCAAATCTCTTTTGGGAGAGTGTCAGGCAAAATCAGCTGCAACCCTGGACAGCTGCTCTTTGAAGTATTGAACGGGGAGCTGGCGAGACAGTCTAGGACTGAGGATGGGCTTACGAGAGAGACAGGAGGGAGAAGCACAAGGGACCCCGAGGTGCAGGAGGCAACCTCCTGATAAAGTTCCCAACACTGAGGGCCAGAGAAGAAAGTGCACCAGGGAGTGACGGATGGAGAAAGAATTTCCCCGTGGGATTCCAGTTCTTAGCTTTGCGCACGTGTAGTTTCCCGGGGCTGCCAGGAAAGTCCCACAACGGGGTGACTTAAAACAACAGAAATGTATTCTCTCACACTTCTGGATGCCCGGAGTCTGAAGGTATTGACCAGGTTGGTTCTTTCTGGAGGTTCAGAGGGAGGATCTGTGCACTGCTCTCTCCTAACATCTGGTGGCTCCTGGGCATCCTTTGACCGACGGCTGCATCACTGCCATCTCTGCCTCTGTCTTTACACGGTGTTCTTCCTCTGTATGTGCCTCCTCTGGGTCTCCGTGTCCAAATTCCCTTCTTATTAGGAAGCCAGTCATTGGATTCAAGGCTCATCCTATTCCTATGCGACCTATTGGTTACATCTGCAAAGACCCTATTCTCAATTAAGGTCTCATTCGCAGGTAGTGGAAGTTAGGACTTCGACATATCTTTTTGGGGGACGCAATTCAACTCACAGTAGTGCTTTCTATTAAATAACCAAAAAGTATACTTTCAGCTACTGGAACGAAATAAATAGTAGTTCTTCAAAGTGCTTTATTATAGTGAGAAGAAGCATCTGGGAGGTTTATTTTAAAAGGCAGATGTTGATGCAGAATCCCTGTGGTGGCACACATGATCTGCATTTTACAGTATTTGAGTGATTCCAATGCAGTGATATGGGAACCCTACTTTGAGAAACACTGTTTTATGGTACACCTTTAACTCTCCCCGAATTATCAGTGTCTTATTACTAATTCCCAGATATTTCCTACATTACATAACTTATTTACCTTTGACTCAGTTTTACAATGTGAGGTATAAAATGATTTCTATTGTCAGTCCTAATGCATTATTAATATCATTCATTAATTGCTGGTCTGTGAACTGAAACCTTACTCGGGGAAATCATATGTCACTGTAATCCTTATCCATTTTCCAAATTGGTTTGAGATTTATTCAAGTTATGAAAGATATTTTCCTTTGAATTTTAAAAAATGAGCTGCCATTTTGTTTGAAAATATTAGACCAAATCCAATAAAAATTTAAGGTTCATCTTGATGATATATTCTTTAGCATAGTAACAATCTTTTTTTTTTTTTTTTTGAGACGGAGTTTTGCTTTTGTTGCCCAGGCTGGAGTGCAGTGGTGTGATCTCGTCTCACGGCAACCTCCACCTCCCCGGTTAAGCAATTCTCCTGCCTCAGCCTCCCAAGGAGCTGGGATTACAGGTGCACGCCACCACATCTGGCTAATTTTTTGTATTTTTAGTAGAGACAGGGTTTCACCATGTTGGCCAGGCTGGTCTCAAACTCCTGGCCTCAAGTGATCCGCCTGCTTTGGTATCCCAAAGTGCTGGGATTATAAGCGTGACCTACTGCACCCAGCCTATAGTAACAATCTTTAACATGATATTTACTGCATCATTAGGGAACAAGCTAAGAGGCAAAAGGAAACTACTACTAGCCTGAGTTGAGAAGGAGATTTCAAATAGGATTTTTTCATCTGCCCAATGAAGTTAATTACAGAACCTGTTAGTATAGAAGTGCCTAGAAGGAAGTCAATACTCAACAAATATTAGCTATTAGCTATTATTTTATCTTGTCGTTCAATAATGATAACCTGTGCATTTGGAAAGGATTTTCCCCTCATTTTACAAATTAATACCTAAGAAGCAAGAGGTAACAATAGAAGATAATGCCAGTGTTACCTTTCTTTCCTATTGCCTTCCAGATGTTTCTCAGTAATGAGGCCAGAGATACTAAAGACTATTTGAAGTACTAAATACTTTTAATATGATTTGGTAATGTTAGCAAGGGGCGCATATTAAAACCTTTTATACAGAAATGTATTAAATATTCCCGTGCAGCAAATATTTGCACACTGGATAATCCTTTTCTCATTTTTCATTGTAAACGAAAAGAAACGAGTGTTCTTTGTCTCCATTTATGAAACTGTTAATACTGTTAATATTTGTAATTGAAACTTAAGAATCTTATACAGTGGTTCCATTTAAGTACCATGACACTATTTAAAGTCTTATTTACGTAGAACCCTTCTTTGGCTTTATATACATAGTGACCTCTATAGTTACACATCATGTATACACATGTATCTATCACAATATATACATGCCTTTGGAGGTGTTCAGGATGAATGTAATTTTATAGCCTTTAAAGAAGAAGGATCTCCCCAAGGCCAAATAATTGTGTGATGCCTCCAGAATTTTGGTCTTTTAATTTGCACAAACAGAGCTGTGGGAATGGAATGATTTTAATGTAGCTCCATGGCTTTCCTTTGGGTTTTTTATTTTTTAATTTCTAATTCTTGATAATTGGTAGATTTTTTTTTTCTAAATTTTTGGGAATGTTCTTCAGAGGAGTTACATAGGTAACAAGCAACATCCACAGTTAGTGATGGATTATTTTCCAGTAATGCATGACTACTCCACAATTAAAATGATTTCCCCCAAATCCCAGTCCTGCTATTACCAGGAGTTTTAAGTTTCTCCCAGTTGCCGTTTAACCATTCTTTACCTTTTTGATACCTATAAGCAACTGAGTGGATACCACCTTATGGAGAAATGAGAATTTTCTCATGATTTATATCTTTAAGCAAACTTAGAAATTAGGCTGGTGCGCTGGCTCAAGCCTGTAATCCCAGCACTTTGGGAGGGTGAGGCGGGTGGATCACCTGAGATCGGGAGTTTGAGACCAGACTGACCAACACAGAGAAACAGTGTCTCTACTAAAAATACAAAATTAGCTGGGTGTGGTGGTGCATGCCTGTAATCCCAGCTACTGGGGAGGCTGAAGCAGGAGAATTGCTTGAACCCGGAAGTTGGAGGTTGAGGCAAGCCCAGATCGTGCCATTGCACTCCAGCCTGGGCAACAAGAGCAAAACTCTGTCTCAAAAAAAAAAAAAAAAAAAAAAAAAAAAAGGAAAGTATGCAGGTTGCAGACTTAAAAATTGTGCAGATTTTAGTTTCCATAGATCATTCCTCTTAGAAAATTTAGAGCCAAAGGACTACATCTCACTCCATTTCAGCTCACTTTTATTTTACTACTTTGACCTACAAAGATCATCCCCCTTCCACCCTTGATCTTTTCATGCATTCCTGTTCTCAGAGTTCTAACATAACAGTGACCCTAAGTTGCAAAATATTCACATTCAACTTATTTTCTCTTTAGCAGTAAATTTCCTGAGGCTGTATCCCTGACTATCACAGGCCCCGAGTGAGCAGTCAAAGAGATAAGTTACATCGCGTAACTTATGAATGACAGCGGGTGTTAGGAAGGGAGTGATTAGGAAAGAAAACTCCTAAAATAGGCCGGGTGCGATGGCTCACGCCTGTAATCCCAGCACTTTGGGAGGCGGAGGCAGGCAAGTTGCTGAGCTCAGGAGTTCAAGACCACCCTGGACAACATGGCAAAACTCTTGTCTCTATAAAAATATAAAAATTAGTTGGGTGTGGTGGCACATACCAGTAGTCTTAGCTACTTGTGGGGCTGAGGCCGGAGGACTGCTTGAGCCCAGGAGGTTGAGGCTGCACGGAGCTGTGTTTGCGCCACTTCACTCTAGCCTGGATGACAGAGCAAGACCCCGTCTCTTAAAAAAAAAAAAGGAAAACTCCTAAAATAACACTCCTTCACACTGAACCCTTGGTAATAGCCTTTAACTAACTGATTCAGGGTTTACCCAGCTAGGTCAATGGCTAGAGCACAATGCCTCATTCCAGACAGAGATCATGGCCTCACTCCCTTCTCCAGCTATGGGCAATGGCAAGATAGAAAGCTGACCAGCTCGATATTAGGGCCATTTCCAAAACATCAGCCATCTCCCACCATGACTCAGTCCCTAATTCAGCCTCATGTATGTGACAGAGAAACCAGTTCCTGCCTGGGCTCTCCTCGAGGCATTTTACATGGGTTTACTACAGACTTCTAAAATTCATGAAATTTCTTCTGGCCACTCGGACTCCATTTCCTCAACTGTAAAATTCAGGATTTTTATCTGGATTAAATGAATGAATATATTCATTCATGGCAGATGGTTAGGTCTCAGTAGAGGCTGGCCATCACCAGTACAGTTTTCTCAGAGCACACTTGCCCTCAATAGATTGCTGTCATGATGGAGCACTTGGGAAAAATGGACCATGGCTGGTCAGAAAACCTCAGGACCAAATATGGTGTAATTATTGAATCTGGTAGATGCAGTAACTCTCTGCAGGAGTGGCGTGAACTCAAGGATGTCACTTGGGGTAGAGGGAGGCAAGCAGAGGGAGCCAGGAGTTTCTGCTCTCTGCAGAGATGGTGCTGGCAAGCAGGATTGGTCATCTCTGCTCCTGAAGCAGTGGGTTCTCTGTCCCCATTTGCATTGGGTGCTGCTTGTGGGTTCCCCCAAACTTTCTGGTGTCAGCCACACCCAGAAGCAGATTAGGAATCTCTGGTAATTAGTAATCCCTGGAGATTACTAGGAATTGACTAATTAGTAATCCCTGGAAGAGGCTGTGATTATCTCCCACATCTGTGACCCAAAAGAGAGAATTTACCATCTAAGTGTGATTTCTATTTTTTAAAACGATTGTTGCTAAGGAAGAACCTCAATCACAATGCTCACGGAAAGAAATCCACTGCAATGCAGAGACAAGTGAAAGGATGCAGCAGCAATC
This sequence comes from Homo sapiens, assembly GCF_000001405.40. NCBI lineage: Eukaryota > Metazoa > Chordata > Mammalia > Primates > Hominidae > Homo > Homo sapiens. The sequence goes on along the minus strand of NC_000013.11, from coordinate 94,338,020 downwards.
ACTAGGGCAGAAAGTCTTCTTAACGTGTGCGAATTGCCTTTGTCCAAACTTAGCGTGTGCCCTCGAAGGTCATGGAATGCCTCAGGTGTTTCATGAGATGGAGGACTTGGCAGATGGCACAGGCGTGAAGAGGAGGGAAAATGGGTGTGAATGTTCACAGGTGCCTCACTGTGTACTAGGCCCAGTTCTGAGGGCTTTCTGTGTCTTCTCCCGTTGGATATTATTATTTAAATGTAGATCTGATTACTTTGAAAAACACAGCTAACTACCTTTTTAAGTATATCATGAATTACGCCTGTAATCCCAGCACTTTGGGAGGCCAAGACAGGTAGATCACTTGAGGTCGGGAGATCAAGACCAGCCTGGCCAACATGATGAAACACTGTCTCTGCCTAAAATACAAAAATTAGCCAGATGTGGTGGTGCACACCTGTAATCCCAGCTACTTGGGAGGCTGAGGCAGGAGAATCGCTTGAACCCAGGAGGTGGAGGTTGTGGTGAGCTGAGATTGCGCCACTGCACTCCAGCCTGGGTGAAAGAGGGAGACTCCACCTCAAAAAAGGAAAAAAAAAAGAAAAAAAATGTATATCATGAATTAAATGTACTATCTATGTTACTAGCCCTGGCAGCTCCAAGTCCTGACTCTGCCCTCACCCCTAACCAGGTTGTGAATTTAGATGAAATAAAATTTATATTTTTATTTGACGATGGCCCTTTCCTCATCAGGCGCTATTTACTGCATCCTACAGATGAGAATATCAAGGCTTCAATACATGAAAATCCCTGCCAATGAGTCAAAGCCCCCATGTGAACCCAGATCCAGGTCTTCTGAAGAGTTCTCTCCAAAGAGTTCTGTATCATTTCTCCTCATAAGAAATGAGGGCAAATGTGTTGGTTCAAAGGCTCAGGGGATGCTGAGGCTGGTGGCCACAGATTTGTCTCTGAACAGGGTGAAAGTAGAAGGAGGTGTAAAAATTCTTTCCTCCTTGTGGTATCTCCTTTCTAGTGGTAGACATTTAACCCACCAGTTAGAAGGGTTTCTATAAGCCTTTATTTTACTGAGATATCATAAAACAAATTCAAAAGAACCTCCTAGAAGCATTAGCATTTTTGATCCCCAATATATTCACACTCTGGATTTATTTATTTTTTTAATTCTTAAGAGAATGAAGTTTTGGAATGCAATAATAGTGTGAGTGATAAGTCTGCTTCGCAAATGATTTTTTTTTCCTTCTGTAAACATAAATTCAATGATTTTGGATTTTGATTACTTTCCCTAAAACATGCTCACATTTACTTTCCTTGTTTTTTCCTTTCTTTTGTTGTTGTTGTTGTTGTTGCAGAGAAAGCAGATATTCCACAACCTCTCTTTCACGGAAGGTCACTATATTGAGCACCAACCCTTCGTTCATAATTCAGAAAGGTTCTCCATCCTGGGAAGAGCAACAAATTAAAAAACCGCTACCGACGTGCAGATATTTTACAGCGCAATCCAGTGAGACTCTGCATTTTCATACTGAGAAGTAAAATATGACCTAGACAAGACCCAGACACAGGCTCATAAGAAAGACTACGGGGCTTTAAAATTATTGCCTTGATCATGGAAAGAAACATGAGGAATCACTGGCAGCCACAACTCAGGATGGTCTTTGGGGGCAATCAGTGTTTGACAGAATCAAAGAACATCTGGAAATCAGCATATTTTGAGCTAGTTCACACCCTGCTTGGTTCATATTTCAACAGCTCTATGTACTAAGGCAGTTATATGGCCCTGAGAAAAGCAGCCTGGATTTATCCTTTGGGATTAAACAATTTCAGCAAAGCTAGCAGGAGAACAGGAGGTAATCCCCCCTCACTGGACTCTAAATGCTACACCTGCGGCTCGGGTGTGTCATGGCTCATTTTAACCTGCCTCAACATTTTCCGAGCATCTACCAGCAAAATGCTTTGCAGGGCATTTTACTCACAAAAATGACTCTCCAATCTACATAAGAAAATGTCTAACTAATACTTCCTGGGCTTCTGTCCAAGTAAAGATTGACACACTTCTCTCTGACTCTCCTCTCTACACCCTTTATGCTGCAGATGACCAAACAAGAAGGAAAAAAAAAAAAAAAAATCACAACAACAGTGAAGAGAGCAGGGTCTTTCAGTAAGACAGGAAGAGAACGATGAGGGAATTTAACAGATGGTGCTGATTTTGGCATGGATGTTCTCCCTAAAGTTCAGATAATAACTCTGGAGTCTCTATAAGATAGTTGATTCCCAAAAGGTCTTTATTATTTCAGAAACATGCAGTTCAAATCCACACACATATAAAACAACAGATAGCTTGCAAAGTGTCTTGGTTTTCTTCTCACAAGAACTCAAGAATCAACCCACTGTTTGTTAGATCCTGATTCTTTCAGGATTGTATATTCATTCTAAAACAGTGTTTAAGGGACATTTTATGGCAACTATTTATCCTACTAGATGTCAAACCTAAAAGACTGTAAATTTGCCTCTGAAGTGTCCCAGATTGTCTAAGGAACAAATTATGTGTGTTATTCGTAAAGGTCTCTGGACCTTTTTGAATATGTTTGTGATTGTACCTGATACTACTTCTTGGCAAGGATTATATATCAAGGTGTACCACCCAGTGTGGCTCGGAGACTCCTGGAAAAAGATCCCAGGAGGATACATGGTTTACTTTGTCTACTTCCTATAAGGGTTTGTGGACATTCAGCATATCCTATCCACCTTAATTTGAAAGGCTTTTTCCTGCTTTCATATGGTAGTATCCTCTCTATCACCTTATCTCCATAGGGACTTCTTTCTGATCCTGTTTTCTTCCCTTTATAGCGTTGTTGCCCTCCAGAGGGCCAGAACCACCATGGTTTTGGTAAGGATAAGACAACTCACTCTTAAGTACTTTCTAGATTATGCTTAGTAGTAACCCTTTGGGCCGCAGCACACTCCTGGACTGAGAGTCATGGACCAAGCCCATGAGTAATAACTGCATGTACTTCTACCTCTGAAGGGTTAGTTACAATCACAATAAATAGTTGCATTTGCATGGTGTCTAATAGTTTGACTGCCTTCACATACCTTTAATCACCCAATCACCATCAATTAGCTATAAATTAGGTATAACTATTAATATTACTCTTTTTATAGATGAAGACTCTGGGGCTTAGGGAGGGGAAGTAAAGGGCAGAGCTTAAAGCTGGATTTCCGATGGAAGGTCCAGGGCTGGCTCTAGAACATTACGCCTGATGTGCTCAGGAAGACACTCAAGCAAGGGCTCTGGGGCTGAATCCTTATTTTCTAGGTCCCAGACTTGTGCTTCTCAAACTGGGTTGTGCTTTGGCACCACCTGGAGGGCTTGTTAACACAATTTTGGGGCCCCACTTGGAGTTTCAGTTTCCGTAGGTCTGGAATGGGGCTTGAGAACTCGATGTCTAACAAGTTGCCAGGGAATGCTGATGCTGTTGTCCCAGGAACCATAATGAGAAGGCCACTGTTTCAGAATCTAGGACAGTGGTCCTCCATCTTACTTTTACACTAGAATTTCATGGCATGCTTTAAACATCTATATTGATACCTGCACTCTACTTTAGAAAGATTTGGTTATTGTAGAGAAGAATCAGGGGGCACTGGTATTTTCTGCTGTTCCCCAGGTGGTTGTAATGTACAGCTGAGGTTGGAAGTCACTGTTTTAAGGCAGGAGCCAGCAAACAGTGGTCTCCAGCTGGCTGCTGCTTTGTAAATAAACGTTAGTGAAGCACAGCCATGCTCATGTGTTTATGCATTGTCCATGGCTGCGTTCAAGATAAAAATGTCAGAGTTGAATGGCTGTGACAGAGACCACTGGGTTGCAAAGTCTAACATATTCACCCTCTGGCTCTTTCTAGGTAATAAAACAATATAGAGGGAACTACAGAAGATACCCTATACCTTCCAAGTTTCAATATATCTTTCCAAATCTTGATAAAGGCAATGTGGGGAGCATCAGAAAACAGAAAGAGGGTGAGCTCTTCTATAAGGGGCTTGACTCAAAGTTGTCATTTCATTTTTTTAAAATGACCTTTCTCTCTCCTTCTCTGCTCTCTGTACACCCATTCTCCTTTCCCACCATCTTAATAGTTTCTCCATCCTAATAGTTGCACAGGCTTCTCCATCATGCATTTGGACTCAGCTTCACTGGCTATCTTCATTGCATGCTCCCCTACACATGAGCAGCCTGTTGCAGTGGAAAGGGAATGGTAATTGGAGTCAGAGGATCCGAACTTGAATCCTACCTCTGCTACTTAGTTGTGCAATCCCAGGGAAACATACTTAGCTTCCATGGACCTCAGTTTCCTGACTAGCAAGACAGAGAATGCCCTACTCTTAGGGTTATTGCAGGGATTAAGACAGATGACTTGAAGTGCATTGCAAAACTGCCCAATGTCTTACACATTTCATTTACTAATTTGGCCATAAGTTCTCAGGAAAATGTACAAAGTGCAACTAAAGGACAATGCATTGATGTATTGATTTCCTTTTAGGATTCACCAGGAAGGGATAGGAACTGTACCTCTTCTAAAATTGGGTTTATCTTAGTTTGACAAGAGGGGAAAAATGCAAACTTTCTTAAGCCGCTGTTTTTATGACTTACTGGAATCCCAGGATTAGCACAGAGAGCCTGCACACTCAGATGCTGACCATAAGATGCCGTACAGCACTGGCCATTAGTGAGATTTATGGCCATGACTGCATCTAATGCATAATCTGGAAAAGGGCAAAATATGAGTTGAGAAACTATCTTTACCTAAAACTTCAAAGTTAGAAATGAAGTGGAAGAAATTTATAGTAAAAAATTAAGGGACGCCCTGAGTATTTCACAGCTAACTTAGGTGGCTCACAAGACTTCCTGGCTCAGCACTATATTAAGAGGGTAATGTATACCGATATTAATTCATAAAGCAGATGAAGACCCTGGAATCCTTTCCCATCCCTGATGCACAGACCAATTTCATCTCTAAATCCCTCATCTATCGCCCCTGGGAAAATCCTGTCATGTACAGAATCCTCGCAATGATTTCCAGAAACTTCATGTAAACATACAGAGAAAAGAAAATGTTAACCTCTCTCATAACTCACAGGCAGTGGCCAAAGAGAAAAGTGTCTTTCTTGTAAACAGAGATCCTCACATCTGTTACTTCTCTTGCAATCTCCTGACATCAAATTCGCTCATAGCAAAACTCATTACTGGTCAATTCAGTGAAAACCACCAAACTGATTTTGTTTATAAAAAATTCCAGAACATTACAGGAAACAAAAACCTTTTCGAAAATAATCTATTTCTTGCAACAATTCGACACAACGGCATTATTATTTCTATGAAACTATCATAAGATTTTAAATCACATGTTTTGAGCTCTACTCAGAAGGCAGATTAGCTGCATTTTGGTATCTCCATGCCAGAGACCAACGGCTGAGCCAGCCCCACACCAGAGAGAATAAACTGGCAACAAAAACTATGTACAGAGACATTAGGCAAAGACTTCGCATTTTCCATTTTGATAAAAACTTGCAAAATGGAACAGCAAGAATATAATTTGAGCAATCCGTCAGACCCAAGACTGCTAGTATCTTTCTTTTGTTCTTTTATTCCCCCTACTTGGAACTTTCACAATTTATCACATTGCAGATCTAGGAGCACCATTTGAATAAGATTAGGTGATGGCTAATTACTACAGTTCAGCTGAATCCAGCTGCCATCCATGGGCCTTGTTAAAGCCCCCAGTGACCAACTTCTTGGCCTCATAAGCACTTATTGGAAGAAACCAAAGCCAAAAAAGGATGAGAAAAGGGGCCCAAAAGAATTATAAAAGAAAAAATTAAATTTTTGAATATCGGGTAATAGTCAAAGGAATGTCCAGTTTCTAGAACCTGTTCGGGGAGATTCTTCCAGCCTGCTCTTATCCACCTCTCCCTTCTTTAATTCCTGTTGCACAAAGCATTACTGCCTCATAGTTTGCAATGACTGAGACTCAGATGGAGAACAGAAATAAAATCTTACATGACTTTAGATTTCTCCATCGCTTATTGACGAGAAGAAAAAAAGAGAGAGAAGAGCACATGTTTTTAGTTGACGAACTCTTTGATATAATCCAAAATTGGCTTAATATCTATATTCCAATGCTTAAAACTTTCCCTGAGGAAGAAATCTCTTGCTTGAAAAAGACTGGTACCCAAATTAATTCACCTTTTACTTTTCCTAAGTAGTGATCCTTGCTTTCCATCTTGCCTAAAAATCTTTGTATTCCCAGGTTTAACTCAGAATTTTCATACTAGGATCCTTTCTCATACTATTTGGAAATGCATGAATTTATGAAGGGTCCATTTTAGGTGGACACTCAAGCAATACTTCCAACAACTTGACAGACAAATGCTGCTGTCCGTGGACAAGGATGAACCTCTCTTTGTTCTTATTTGTGGCTACAATGCAGATAGATCAGTTCTGGGCCCTCTGCCTGACTCCATGTAACCACACAGCTGCTTAAAATCTGCTTGGGATTAGGGGTGTACACTGGGCTATGGAACCAACTAAAAATATGGGCCCAGATGGTCAGCAATCACTCAACCCTGGCCTCATTTAGGGGTTGCTGTAAATCAGGGACGGGCAAACTTCCTCTCTGAAAGGATAGGTAGTATTATTTTAGGCTTTGCAGACCATAGGGTCTCTATCGAGATGACTAAGTGCTGCTATTGTACTGTCAGTACAGCATTAGACAATATCTAAATGAATGAGCAGGGCTGTGTTCCAATAAAGCTTTATTTATTAAAATAGGTGGCTCGGCCCGTAGGTCATAGTTTGCTGATTGCTGCAAAGAAACTTGTCTGACTAGCTGACCCCAACTCTGGTTTACCTATTGTACTAGTCCCCATCCTAAAAATCACTGCATACAGTTTCTTAAATCTGCCAGTTAGAGTTGATGTAGCACCCTCCAAATCAATCTAAAATGTGATAGAAAAAGGAGGCAAATTTTTTTATTAAATATTTGGAGGGAGGCCCAATTTCTGAGATCAGAGGAAGATACTAAACTCGTAGAACAGTCTTATATGGTTATATCAATGTAACAATCAGCCTCTTAAGAAAACCACATAAAAGGACAGCAATCAACCCAACAAACCCACTAGATCTCGTATCCAGAGCTTTTTGAAATAGGCTAAGGTCTCAAGAGATATATAGGTGAATATGCAGTTTCTCCTCTGTACCTTTTTGAGATTACACAGGGAAAAACATGGAGCACAGAGCTCATTGCATATTGACTATTATCATCCACCTTTAACAGACAAGGATTTGAGCTGTGCTTCTCTTAGCATGATGTACCTACGAATCACCTGGGATCTTGTTGAAATGCAGGTTCTGATGCTGCAGGCCTGGGGTAGGACCTGTGATTCTTCATTTTTTTAACAGGTGATACTGATGCTGCCAGTTTAGGAATCACATTTTGATAAACAAGGACTTGGGGAAGTGGCTAGCAACCTTGGCTGCACCCCAAGGACATGCTTTAGGAAGCTTTCCAAATACAGATGCTGGGTCAGTCCCAAGCCAAACAGATCAACATCTCTAAATACGAGGCCCAGGCATCAGTATTTAATGTTTCCCAGGTAATTTTCATGTACAGTCAAGACTGAGAGTTCCTGAGTTAGAGGCTCAGAGAAATTAACTGACTCGCCCAAGGTCACTTGGCCAGTGGCCAAACAGACTTTAAACGGTAAAAATTTTGCTGGCCCCAGGATCTTTGAAAATGATCCTAAAAATTATTACTAGGCAGGCATAACATAGGCAAGGGTTGCATCGTTTCCATAAGAATTGCTAATGTGAGAGAGAGAAGAAGAGGAAAGGTGGGATTAAACTTATGCAGGGAGTTATCAGTCCTGATCGAGGGAACACAGAGAAAGCAGGCAGCACAGTTGCTCTGTTCCAGTGTGAAATTCCCTTTCAAGGATCACTATTTCTTCATGAAAGCAACATGGTAGGAGCCTCTCAGAAGGCATATTCAAGTTCAGCAATGCGCAGTACCTTCAGCTCCTTTGATGAATCACTACATGATGAAACTTTAGAGGCTGAGTAATCACATTTGGCTTCGTTTCTGCCTCTTGGGAGGTTCAAAAAGTCATGTTTATGGGAAAGGGTAAAATTTCTGACCCAGGGATTTTTTTTTTGTCCCAAATAGGACCAAGGTAAGAGAAGAGGAGGAGGAGGAGTAGGAGGAAGGAGGAGGAGGAAGAGGAGGAGGAGAAGTAAAGCAATATTGGGAAATTATCAGACAACCCAAGATTTTCTGAATCTCCTAAACCCATTCAATCCCATGTTGTGAATGGAGGTCCATTTTCATCTGGAAAAACATGAATTTCAATTACATTTACACAATTGTTCAACCACAGTTTTCAAGATCAGATGCATTTTCTCACTGTCTGCAGATCCTGTGGAGAATAAACCTCCCCCCTGGGATGAAGACCTTGGCTGTGTAATTTGGGACATGCTACCTCAAAGGGAAAATGAAAGCGTGATTCTCTTCTGAGGGAGGAATTGGACATCTCCCAGACTAAGCAAATGGCAGCTGCAGACGGTACTGCGAGGCACAGATCTGCTGCTGGGAACGACATCCTTCGAGGTGGAAGATGTGAGGGGCCCAGGGTGCGGTGGGCCCTGGGAACACTGTGAACTCATGTGAAAATTCCTAACGTTGAACATGCAGGGAGAACCCAGCGTTTTGCCAAATGTTTTCAGGAGCTTAAATTTTAAGCATCATTTTCCTGCACTTCTGTTCTTTTTGGATATTCTTGAGGACATTTTAGTTTCTTTATTTTGTCCCTCTCTGGCTCCATTTTGGGCAAGAAAGAAATACAAATCTTACTCTAAAAGATACTAACCAGCTCTTTCAAAAGGGAAATAAAGCTGAGAACTCCAGTGTCAGTGGGAAGTATCTCACCAACTCCATTTCAGCCCCCCCCGGGGTTCTTCCTCAGGAGCTCCAGAGTTGATGGGGACCCATTGGTCAATGTTCAGAGGGGTCACAGCAAACACATTTCACACTCACACAGAAGCTTACAGTCCTGTCGCTCAAAGGGACTGCAGGGCCTCTGCAGTTCACCCCTGGTTTTAACGATGAGCAAACGAAGGCTTGGTGATGGGCAGTGACCTGTCGAAGGTCACATAGTGATGCAGGGGCTCCCCAGCCAGCATCTCCTCCCACAGCAGGCTGCCCACTTCCCCAGCGGACGTGGAGCAACAGACTGGAATGAGCCCCCTTTCCTTTCCCTGAAATACTCAGTGCAGTGACTAACATAAGGTTCAGAAATATTATTTGTTTGTTTATAATTTATATACAATTGCTTCCTAGAAAGACTTGCAGGAGGCAGGGCCATGCTGCTGGCTGTGGATGGGGTCTCTCTTCACGTCTGCTCCTGACAAACACAGAGCAGTGATGTCAGACGGCAGCTGCCATGAGTGAGACCAACGACAGGACAGCGACAGAACAGCCAGAAAGCAAAGCTTTGTTCCAGCATCCCCAGGAAGTCTTCGTGTGGCTTTTCCCTCTCTCCACTGGAAACCTCACTTTAGGGTGAATCCTTCCATGTAGGAGCCACGAAGTCATTTTACATGTCTAATTAAGAGTAGTCATTCTTCCAAGAAACATGCATTGAACACATTGGCATCGGGCATGGAAAGATGGAAAAGGTAGGTTCTCAAAGCAGTAGCAGTCCACTTAGCATGTGAGGTGGTATCTATCAGGATCACAGGCGAACTTGTTAAAAATACAGATTTGCTGTCCCCTGTACCCCACTGGCTGACTTAGTGTGGCCCTGGGTTGGCCCTTGGGAATCAGTATTTTAATAAGTTTCTCATGTAAATGATCCGAGTCCCACATATTCCGAATGCTGGTCTAATGTGCAGAGGAATCCTTTGAGACAACAGCCACAGATCCTTCTCTACTGTTGGCTTTGTAGGCGATCTCCAGGAAGCAGGAAAGATCACCCTTTCCTATTTTTTCTCCCAACAAAATCGGAGGGGAAGGGGGAGGAAGCATGCTTGGATGAAGAAGGCAGGTTTACCATCTCCAGGTGTGCAATGTGGCCCTGTTTCCTCTCCTAGAAAATCTCTCAGCTAAACTCCTGCCCTAAGAAAAGGAGGCACTGAAGCTGTTTAAGGAAAGAGAAAACTAGGTGAAACTCTTTGCACTTAGATTCCATTTTATAAGGGGCAGTGATTTTTTTTACTGGGTATCACACTTCCTGTTAATAAAGTGAAAAAACAAAGACGAAAAACCTCTCACAAAAATACTCCGACCCACTCACTTTTGAATCTATATTTTTAGTCAATGTGACCACCTCAGTGTTACTGTAAAAGTGAAACTCTTGAAAAGGGGACCTGGGTCAGAGTAAAGTGTCAGTTTCGTGAGCAGACATTCCTCCAAGTGCTTGGCATTTTTAGAATGTTTTGCTGTCGTTTTTTGCTCTGACTGCAGTAAACGAACCGTGATATGAAAACACCATTTTTCCTGTGTTGTGGCCTAGCATTTCCTGAGAGAAGCCACAGCTGTGAGGTAGAGATGGGGGACATGGTGGGTGCAGAGGATAGAGAAGAAGAGAAGAGCTGGGAAAGAGACGCAAAAGGCCCACAAAAGGGAGAAGAGAAAAACATCTGCAATGAGATGCTCTGTAATTAATCATCTCCACGAAATTCCAAGTCTCCAAGCCCCGTCCGCCATGCAGTTTGCTGACACAGAGGGGGAAAAGCACTTTTACAAACACACAACTAGTAAAACCGTTACAGCTACGTGAACAGCCAGGCTCCAGCAGAAGGCAGTGGCCCTTATTTTTAAAATTATGCATGAAATCATACATGTGGAGAAAAAGATAACAAATTCCCCTTTCTATGCCTTGGAATATGGGAGTCCCAAAAGTATCCTGAGAATATTTGCTGTCTCATGTTGGTGCTGATAGACGCTAAACTACCAAAATATTTAGCTGTAAAAGTCCCTTGAGAACGTTATTGTTGATAAAATACCAGTGGGGGAGCTGGAGGTAGACCCTCCTTTTCCCACGCTTGCATTTCTATAATAGATTGTCTCATAGGAGGAGGGAACAAGTTACTCTGACTTAATTTTCCTTACTCACAGAGTGCCCGTGTTTGCAAGCTGGAAAGACTCTTCGAAATCTCCTTTACTTTCACTCACTGTGTTGCTTCCCGCCATTTAACTAAAAGAGGAAAGGTTAAAGGACTCACTAAAGTTTCCAGCACATTTTCTGTGTTTTCACTGCAAAGTGACAACATGTAGGCCATAGAATTCCTCTTAACAGTGAATTTTAAATGAGTTTGGATGAAAAGGATAGTCAATGTAGGTTTATTGATGGTAACAAACCGAACATCTTGTGATGGTTGGGGAGGCTGTATTTACGTGGGGGCAGACTTTTGATGTGAAACTAAAACTGTTCTAAGAAAATAAAGTCTGTCAGAAAAGAGGATCCATCCTGTTTGTGAAAGTGGACAGTGGATCCAAGGAGTCTGATTCTACTTTTTTTCTTTGTGATTATAATTTTGTGAAATAATTTTATTTCTGTTCCAGAAATAAAAAACCTAGGTCTTGTTCTGGCTCCTTATCTCTGCACTTCTGATATGCTGTCCTTGTGCCATAAATCTTAACTTTGTGCCTCTGTTTCTCCTATTATTTTAAAAGGAGAGGAGTCAAGATGAGGGAAGATAAATAAGGTAAGATAATTCTCTATTTTGGAATATATGTGCCTGTGTGTGTGTGTGTGTGTGTGTGTGTGTGTGCACAAGCATACCAAAAATACCTGATCTTAGTGGAAGAAAATATAAATAAATACAGTCAAAGTGATTTTAGTTATTTCATCTTTCTGGATTCTAGTGTTCTCACTGGTAAAGTGAGGGCATGGAGATGGATGTTAACATCCCTTCCAACTCTAAGCATCCCTGAATGTAGAGCAAATTCTGGAAATGTTTGGAATTGCTTGTCCCTGGTAGTAATGTCAATCTGCATGCCTGGCTGGATGCTATCTTACTGGCTTCCCCATGTGACCACCACGAAGGAGCGTCTTTGAGGGAAGGAGGTCATGGTCAGAGCTTCTAAGGATCAGGCTCTGGTCTCATTGTCGTCTTGCTCTGCTTACCCAAACAAGTTATCTTGCTTTTAGCCTTGGCGTGAGTCAGCTCAAAGCCAAACATGGTAAACCAAAGAGCTCTTCGGGTCACACGGATCAAAAGGGTTGGGAAGGAGCTGACCTCAATCCAAGAAAATGCAATTATTTGAACCCAGAAGACAAAAATATGTAATAGGGATTTTAACCAAAAGCCAGTAATCCTGGAAGGGCTTTTTACAATTCCCATGAGCCTTTTAAATAACTTATGCTGAAAGCTTCTTATTGTTTTAAATCAATAGAGCCATAGCTTTTACTCCTAATCATCAGTTCAACCGAAAATAATTTACTTGATATTATACTATTAGTATATAGGAAGCGCTTATAAAATGAGGACCTTGAATCCCAAATTCCCATGATCAGCAGTCTTTGAGAATATAACAGTGATTTAATGAAAAGCAAACTCAGATGCATAGTTGATTTAACGTTCTGGGAACACACAGTAGTTACTGGCGTCCAGACTGACTGCCCTCTGCCCTGCCTTTCACCAAGTTCCTTTCTTTACTCCCCTTGGAGTGAGCACAAATGAGTGAGCCGCGTTCTTCTCCAGGCTTCATCATAGAATTCTCTGAAGTTGCTCTGGGCACTAAAAATAGTCCTGGTGTCAGAAAGGAACATATCTTTCTTCTTTCTTCTCTTCTCCTCTTCCTCCTTTCTCCCTCCCTCCCTCCTCTCCTCCCTTCCTTCCCTTTTCTTTTCCCCAAACAGAGGCACTTATGAAAGTACTGTGGACGACAAAGAAGAGACAAAATAGCAGTAAATCCCTAAAATGTCTGTTCACCTCTTGTTTGACCTTTGACGGCAATAGAAACATCACAGACACCACGAGGATTCTAACGTTAGGCCCCTGGGAACAGAACATTCGGCCCTGGGAGTCTCTTCAAGAGAAACATCAAATTGCTGGTTCCAGTTGTTTCAAGTTTTACAAATGAGATATGGGATGTGAAAACCCTTTGTCTATCCTCACGCATGTCACAAACGTGGCGTATCCTTATTAGTATTTGGTGAACGACTATAGGCTGCCACACAGATTCTGCTTCAATCTGGAACTATGCTGCATTTTCTGAGATAGGACAATGGGTGGACATAAATCTAGAACAGAAATTAAAAAAAAAAACAAAAAACCCAGGTCTTGTTCTGGTTCCTCAGTCCCTTATCTCTGTGCCTCTTATCTGCTATCTTTGTGCCGTAAGTCTTAACTTTGTGCCTCTGTTTCTCTTATTCTTTTAAAAGGGGAGGTGTCAAGATGAGGGAAGATAAAAATAGCTGCAAGATTCTTCTTGTGGCTGTCATTCCCCATAGTCAAACCTACTCTCGAAGCGCTGATCATTTTACAGTTAAATTACAGTTGGTAACTTGTCCCTGTGTTCACCTTCAAGGGAGTTTTTTTAAAAAGGCTATTTCAAATGCTGTTCACCTTCACATTCAATTCAATCACCTATTTTGGGGTTTTCATGTCCTCTACCAGTATTTCTACCTTGTCTGGCTTGAGTTTTTTTTTTTTTTTTTTTAAGGCTTTCATAGATGGTCCTCGGTGGTGACCTGAGGCCACAGGCATGTACGCTGCTCTCAGAAATCAGTCACTGGAGAGGCCATGGGTCCCCTGCCTCTCTGTGTGCCATCATTCCTCTAGGTTATTTTCATCCACCATTTAGCTGCATCCTTCCCAAATACCTTCATGTAACTTGAATCTCTTATCAGCTTCCCAAATGTTCACCCTGGGACTTTTCATTGTCATCTTGCTATGTGGCTGTAACTTGGAGAGAAGCTCCAGTGTTAACTTTATTCGACAACAATGCCGGAAGCCAGCATTAGCTTGCAGTTCTCTTCTAGTCCTCAGCGACTAGTCCTAAATGTGCCGAGAAAAGCTTTATTTAGTAGCTTTAGCTCATCTTAAATGCTGCAGCAGGAAGCCATATCAGCCACTTCCTGTAAAGACTAGGGCTGGGGCAAGGGTGTTTACCTACAGGCTTTGAGTTGAAGAGTCACTGAATAAATGAAAAATCTTTTAAAAAATCTACTTGAAATCCTATCGAATAATTTAAATCTTTGTACTTAAATGTTCTTGAGATTTTTCTATTTGTATAAGTTTAAAGGGTTCAAGTGCAATCTTGTTACATGAATACATTGCATAGTGATGAAATCTGGGTTTTCAGTGTAATTATGCCATGAATATTGTACATTGTATTGCACCCATTATATTCTCATCTCTTGGCACCCTCCCACCCTCCTACCCTTTCCCTCCAGTGCCTATTACTCCACACTTTATGTCCATATGCACACGTTATTTAGCTCCCATTTAGAAGTGAGAATATGTGGCATTTGACTTTGTATTTATTAATATGATTAATAAGAATAACAGCTAAGCTTAATCTATGATTGTTATTGCTATTATTATCACTGGTGTTAAGAATATCTAGGCTGAGTACAGACAATGGCTGAGCTAGGAGCTTTATGCACATTGGCTTCTATCATCATTACAAATAAGATTTTACAGATCCGAAAATGAGATGAGATTAGGTAATTAGCACACAATCACATAGTCAGGATTTTGAACTTGGCTTGTGTGCTTGCAAAGCTTTGAATTTGGCATTTATGCTGTGCCATGTGCAAATTAAAAGGGGCTGTGCATCTGGTGGGCTGGGGCAGGCTCCGCTCAGGGGTTGGGAGGGATGAGAAGAGGAAGTTAAGGGAGCCACATCCCTAGACTGTGTGGAGCCGGCTTCTTTCGCAATCCCGTCATCCTCATTTGGACCACATGGATGCAGGTTTTATGAGGCTGTTCTTTTCTCTCTCTACCTTCACTTGCTCCCTGTCTGTCTGAGGCAGGGAATAAATGCATGAATAAATAAATGAAACAAAATACACATGTGTGCCAGACCAGTCTATCTAGCTGCTATATACTAGATGCTTCACTAGCCCATCAGGTCCAGAGTTTTGGCCTGGGCAGACTTCTGGGTGGTCTGAAGGAGAAACTGCCAATTTCAGAGTTTAGTTCACTCTGGTTCTGCAACCCACAGCAGAACCGCACCGTGTGACCAACCCTGCTGCTTTTGTGGAGCCTAGCACCTGAGGCTGCCACAAATATGGCCAATTTTGTATCTCCATCTAAAAAGTGCTTTTCTTTTAAGAAAAATAGAATGCACATATTATTTTTGTTTTCTTATTTTTTAATTTCTATTTTTATTAAATTAAAAATCTATTTTTTATTACTATTGCTATTATTATAAAGCAAATTCCATAAAAGGGATATTTTAACTGGGCTGAAAACAGTAATCACCGCAGTCTGGAGCATAATATTCCACAATAGCAATTGATTAAGTAGTTGTACGAGACACACTGCCCATGAAAGGTATTCTGTAAAGACTCCCCCTGCCCCAGGCATTCCAGGGATTTGTCTAGTCCTGGTACCTCTTCTCTGCCTGATTGGCCTGGGTAGGTGTAGTCGTCTGCTTTCACACTGCTGCTAAGACATACCTGAGACTGGGTAATTTATAAAGAAAAAGAGGCTTAATGGACTCACAGTTCCACGTGACTGGGGAGGCCTCACAATCATGGTGGAAGGTGAAAGACATGTCTTACATGGTGGCAGACAAGAGAGAATGTGAGCCAAGCAAAAGGGGAAACCTCTTATAAAACCATCAGATCTCATGAGACTTCCTCACAGTCTCGTGAACAGTATGGGGGAAACTGCCCCCATGATTCAATTATCTCTCACCGGGTCCCTCCCACAACACGTGGGAATTATGGGAGCTACAATTCAGATGAAATTTGGGTGGAGATACAGCAAAACCATATCAGTTGGTAAGTAATGTACGAAGGAGAATCTTTCTAGGTGCCAGCAAGGAGAAAAAATAAAGGATGTACCTGAGTTTGCCTCTCTGAAGGTCAGTGTTTACGGATATAGGTGACATCTTTTAGTGAAAATAGTTCATGAAAGAAGCCCAACAGTAAGGGTTCTGGAGAAGTTTGCAGCACCAAGAGCTTAGGTATTGGAGTGAAACTATGTGGTGCCTAGGGTCCATAGGCTCAGGCCTGGGGAGCTCTGGGGCTGCTGAGATGGGCTATTGCCTTTGTGGACTGGAAGTTTAGGGCTGAACCTGGAACAATATTAACCAATAGTACCAACTACCACATGGCCCAATGAAATAGGGCTTCCTAGAATATTTATCAGAAACAGAGAACTCAAAAAATAACCGTTCCAATGCTCTGCTCTAAAATGGTATGACGTGCCACCAAGTCAAATGATGCTGGTGAGGTTGTGGAGAAAAGGGGATGTTAATACATTGCAGGTGGGAGTGTAAATTAGTTTAGCCATTATGAAAAGCAGCGTGGCAATTTCTCAAAGAATTCAAAGCAGAATTACCATTTGACCCAGCAATCCCATTACTAGGTATGTTCCCAAAGGAATACAAATCATTCTACCACAAAGACACATGTACATGTATGTTCATCGCAGCAAAATTCATAATAGCAAAGGCATGGAATCAACCTACATGTCCATCAGTGGTAGAACGGATAAAGAAAATGTGGTACATATACACCATGAAATACTACGCAGCCATAAACAATGAGGTCATGTATTTTGCAGCTACATGGATAGAACTGGAGGCCACTATCTGTTCCTATCCTAACACAGGAACAGAAAATCAAATACTACATGTTCTCACTTATAAGTGGGCAGTAAATGACGAAAACACATGGACACAAAAGAGAGGAACAAAAGACACCAGGGTCTACTTGATGGGGGCGAGATGGAGGAAGGCGAAGATAGAAACACTACCTATTAGCTACTAGGGTTATTATCTGGTTGGCGAAATAATCTGTACACTAAACCTTTGTGACATGCAATTTACCTATATAACAAACCTGCATGTGTACCCCTGAATCTAAAATAAAAGTTTAAAAAACAATCTTAACTCAGAGTTGGTGAAGGAAGTTACCTTGTACATGCCTCCATGTGTATTTTCCTGCACATTTCCTAAAATCAGCTAACACTGCAACATGAAATAGAGCATGTAGGAGTCAACAAGTTGGCAAGAAAGTAACAAACTTTCAAAGGCTCCAAACTAAGTGAAAATGGGGACCCAGAAAAGAAAACAAGAGTACTAAGAATGGATTTGGTCCAAAGGACATTCCTCAGACCCAGATGACCTTAAGCCTTGATGGCCTCAGATTTGCAGGGTGGGCAAGGACAGGAGAGTAAAATACAGGGCTTCCCTAAAGTGACGAGCCAGTATCACTAACCCACCACATACAGCCGGGGTTCCCAAGGGAAAATCCTTAGGATAAGATGAAATAGAAATACCTTTCAACACAGGCCACCCAGACTTTCCATTGATTAATTTCCAAGGAATATAAACTCACACAAAAAAAACCCACAACAGAAACCAAGAAAACATGACATCTATAAGGAAATAAAGCACCATTTGTAAGAAACTGCAGAAATACCAGATGAGACCAGCAAACTCTTCAGATATTAGAATATCAGACACAAAGTAAAAAATAACATGTTTAAAATGGAAAAGGTAGAATTTAGAAATGTGATGAGGAGGCGGATACTATTGAACACAGGACCAAGCATATCTGAAAATTAATTCATTAAGTACTAGAAAAATAAAATCATTGACGTTAAAAACTAAGTGGCTGGGTTTAATGCCAAATAAAATAATTTAATTAGCTGTTTAATAAACCTGAGAGACTAAATCAACTGAGAAGTAAATACATTATTACCAGCTAAATACATTATTCTGAATGTGGCAAGAAAGAAAGAAAGGTTAAGAGATGTGGAGGATGGAGTGAGACAGTCTCACATGTCCAGTCAGTTATTGGATGAGTAGAGAAAGAGAGTGAAAGACGGTGAAGCAATATTTGAAGACATAATGGCTTAGAATTTTCCAGAACAATCAAAGAAACCAATCATGAAATTCAGGAAGCCCAATACATCCTAAGCAAAATTAATAAAAAAAGAAATCTATACCTACACATTATGACGAAATTATATAACAACAAAGGAGACCCTAAAAGCAGCTTGAAAGAAAATACAGATTACTTAAAAGGGAGAACTGATAGCAAACTTCTCAACAGCAGCAGTGGAAACCAGGAGATAGTGAAATATAAGCATCAGTGCACCTGGAGAAAATAACTGTTGACCTAGAATTACAGTTCAGCACAAATGTCTTTCAAGAATGAGGGCAAAAAGACATTTTCAAATAAAACTCTCAGTAAAGGAAAACTTATAATGTGTATTCCAGACCAAGGAAGTCACTCTGATGGATGGTTTTACGCAAAAGGAATGATAACCAAAGAAAGTGGTAAAATGTGGTTGATTGTATATTAAAAGTTCCAGTATAAAATGGTAATAACAATCTTAACTTTTGTTTTGTGTAAAACACACACAACATAAGACAGAACGAAATTATCCCATAATAACAGCATATAAGTTGGGAGGAGAATTATCAGAATTAAGGTGTTCTAAGGTCCTCTTGTATTGTTACAAAAGAGGGAAAGGTATTGATGTATTAATTAAACTTGGACTTTGATAAGTTAGGATGCATGTTAAAATTTCAAGGGTAATTATTAGAAGAATAAAAACTACAGTATTAGGTTCCAAACACTAAAAGAAAAAGAGTGAAGTAAGAAAATATCCTCAATTGACCCACAAGAAAGAAGAAGAAAAAGAAGACTAAAAAGATGAGACAAATAGAAATCACAAAATGAGATGGAAGAAATAAATATCAATATTTCTAGTACATTTAGGTGAACTAAGTGTTCCAATTGAAATAAAAAGATTGTTATTCTGGATTTTAAAATAAATCTAGCTATGTGATGTTTATAAGAGACACATTTAAAACATAAGGGTTCAGAAATGTTGAAAGTAAAATGAAAAAAGATATTTCAGTTAAATATTTTTAAAAATTTGGTGTAACTACATTAATATTGGAAAGAAAGAGACTTTAAGGCAGCAGTTAGTAGAGAAAGGAAATCACTATATATACTGATAAAGCTCAATTCACAAGAAAAGTTTTAACTATAAATATAGATGTGAAATATATACATCATCCATAAACATTTGTTTCTAGAATTTTCCATTTAATATTTTCAGACTGCAGCTGACCATGAGTAACTGAAACCACAGCTTTCTGTGGTTTCAAATGCAGTTCAAAAATATTAAATGGACAATTCTAGAAACAAACCATTCACAAGTTTTACACTGTGCACCATTCTGAGTAGTGTGATGAAATCTCATGCTATCCTGCCCTGCCTCTTCTTAATTGCAAGAAGGGTGAGTATTACACAATAAGATATTTAGAGAGCGCACGCACGAGAGATGATATTCAATAACTTTTATTACAGTGTGTTATAACTGTCCTATTTTATTATTAGTTATTGTTAATTTCTCCCTGTGCCTAATTTATAAATGAAACTTTATCATAGGTATGTATGTATAGGAAAAAAACAGTATATATAGGGTTTGGTACTATGGGTGGTTTCAGGCATGCACTGGGGGTCTTGGAACATAGCCTCCATGGATAAAGGGGAGCTACTGCAAAACAAAGAAAAATAGGTCTACTCGCATAGTGAAAATCTCTCTTTCAGTAATTGATAGAGCAAACAGATAAGACAAAAATCAGTAAAAATACATAAGATTTGGGGCCTGTTCTGGAAAGGATACTCTTATCTTCTTCCCTCTACTCTTCCATGAAGCCGAGAGCGGTGCCAATTCATGTGTGCCATTAGGAGCTATTGGAAGCTGCTACTCACATTTTGTTCACAACAACTGAGTGTTCCTGAATTTTAAAAAGTAGTGATGAATCACAAACATTTATATAAAAATAGCATTCTTTGGCTACAATTTGGTAAATAATTGTAACAATCTCTGAGTTGTCCACCTATTGTTATTGGGCACAAAGAGTGGAGAGTAATTAAAAAAGAAACACACACACATGCACACACATGCACACACACACTCTCACACTCACATACACTATACCCTTCCTTGTCATACTACGATCCAAGTTATTGAAAGTCAGCTTCTTAAAAAAATTCCTAAATATTGATTTTACTTCTCATTCTCCAAAATCATGGAGAAAGGAAACTTTAAAAAATGATTATACTGTAAAAAGCTTTTAATTTTATTCATTTTGTCAAAAAAAACTTGACAAAAGAGAGCATGAGGATCCTTTCACTTGAGCCCTCACCATTAAAATCCTAATGAAATACTTCTTGTTCCTTGAAGACATTTTGCATAAAGAAGATTTGATTTTCCTGAGTAACTGGAAACATTTTTGTGCAGACATGTCTTGCACTAAAGATAGCCTCTGGGTTTTTGGATTTTATGTGAGTAGATCAATTAGGGCAGTTTGCTGCCTCTATGTTTTCTTCTCAGAGCTCTTCTGGACGCTTTGTGTTTACCCTTTTGTTCTAGCATTCAAGGAGCTGCAAAGAACAAGCAAAGGAAATGCTTAGCTTTTTCAAGTACAGAGATGAGTGTTTTTCACAGAAATGAATGCTGGCTGCTTTGGGGAGTTTTCTGAGGTCAAAATCCCTTAGAATAAAATTTACAAAGTCATTGGTTTCCTGCCTCATCATGCATAAATAATTTATGAATTTGTATTCTAAGTTTTCTTCCAGCTGAATCAAAGCTCTACAATTTTGCAAATAATTCCACGCAGAAGCCAATGACACACACATTCCTGAGACTATCACTGACATGGATAAGTTTGCTGTTGCTGTCAGCCAGTGCAATTTCCCTGATTAACCTGTAAAAAGTGTTCTCCTTCGATGAAGGCTGTTCAGAAATTAACTGATATTGTACAAGAAGACAACAGCAGGTTCCAGAATGTGAATTCTTGGTGATTTTAAATGATGATGTATGAAAGAGACAGAAAGGGAGAACAATTTGATTTGCTGCAGCCAGTTTGGCCCAGAAAGAAAAGCAGAAAAATCGCTTTGCCTAAGCAAACATGACATGAAGTCATACAAGAGCAGCTCTCACAATGTGCAATATCAAAGCCTCATTTAAAATACATATTGTCTGGATCTGAAAGACATCTACATGCCAGTAGTAAAAGGTTTTTGCTCATTCTTTTTTTTTTTTTTTTTTGAGACGGAGTCTCGCTCTGTCGCCCAGGCTGGAGTGCAGTGGCGGGATCTCGGCTCACTGCAAGCTCTGCCTCCCGGGTTCACGCCATTCTCCTGCCTCAGCCTCCCAAGTAGCTGGGACTACAGGCGCCCGCCACTACGCCCGGCTAATTTTTTGTATTTTTAGTAGAGACGGGGTTTCACCGTTTTAGCCGGGATGGTCTCGATCTCCTGACCTCGTGATCCGCCCGCCTCGGCCTCCCAAAGTGCTGGGATTACAGGCGTGAGCCACCGCGCCCGGCCCATTCTGTTTCTTTATTGCCACTTTTCTCCTATTTCTTGGCAACAACTTCTGTATCCTCCTTTGAGACACTGCCTTCAGATTTGGGGTGGGATCCTTTGCTCTGGTTGAATGATGATTGAACTCAAAGTTCAGGTAAGCTCCGTTGGCATCCGATGCTGAAAATCAGCCTGACCGAAAAAGGATGATGGTTTTGTAGGACAATGTAGATACCCCCTCTCTAATAAGAACTTAGATTTCTCCTAGGATTCTAAATTTTTTTTTTTAAGTTAGTTCTTTCAAAAGACCATAGAAGAGTTGGTTCATTTGCAGGGCAATCTTTACAAGAGCATGGTCTGATTTAAATTATAATTATTTTTGCCTGTCATCCTCTAAAGTGGGGGTGTCCAATCTTTTGGCTTCCCTGGGCCGTTTTTTGGAAGAAGAGGAATTGTCTTGGGACACACATAAGATATACTAACACTAAAGATGGCTGATGAGCTAAAAAAAAATCTCATAATGTTTTCAGGATGTTTACGAATTTGTGTTGGGCCGCATTCAAAGCCATCCTGGGCCACATGCAGGCCATGGGCTGTGGGTTGGACAAGTTTGCCCTAAAGTGTTGTGAGTTCTTCGATTATGGTCTAGTCACCTACGCATGGTTCATGTTAGTGCACAATAAATATGGTGAATAAAGGAAAGACTGATTTTTCTGTTCCTTTTCATGTAAGGTTTGTCTTAGGGTTGGAGAAAGTAATGACATGGATTTTTATCAATTTAAAAATCTTGCCTTCATCATAGTGTTTGTGGTCGATAATGTTACTGTTCACTAACATGTCCTTTTTCTCTCTCTATGTGAGGCACATAGGAACATATGTCCCTGACTTCCTGATGGCTTGATAATGTGACTTGCTTTGGCCAATGAGATGTGATCAGTATGATGTGACCCTTCCAGGTAGAGACATGAACAGCCACCTTTGCCACATTCTCCATTTCCCCTGCCATTGTGACAGGTGAACCTCCAGATAATGGCTGCTCTGTCACCCCGGATGCTGGAGTAAGGGTGATGACCACATGTAGCTGACTCACAGCCAATGCATAATGAACACTTGGCACATACAAGAAATAAACTTGTGTTGTTGTGGGCCATTTTGGGGACTGTTTATAGGTGTGGCCTTGCCTGGCCTGGTCCATCTGGATCAATACAGCATAGGAAAAGCTTCTACAGAGATCACACAAACCAACTTCCAACAAATTATTTGTTAGTAAGCAATATAATGGAGCTGCTGCTGGTGGTGGTTCATTCATTGACTATCAACCTGACTTTTTATTTTTCGATAGCTCAGCCAGTGTTATGGGTATAAGAAAATACCCATGAAGTCAGAGCCTTTGATGATAATGACTGTGAATGAACTTAGTAATAAAGTTATTGTGTATTGCAAATAGCTTTCTACCTTTAACAGTTATGAAGGGAAGTCAATTTTCACTCAGATGGGTTCCTTTTCATCTGTTTTTTCTCTACAATGTTTATGTCTGAGGTTTATTGCTAGCAGTAAAGAGTGTCCGAGTATGTTATGGGAATAGCCAAATTCCCAGTCCTTTAAAATGTATTCCATAGGCCCCAGAGTCTGTTAGAAGCTGATTGATTATACAGCAAATACATCAAAACTGGTATTTATGAAATATCCTATTTCTTCAGCTCTATCTCTCATAAGCATGAACATCACATTTGGGAGTTGTGGTGCAAATATCTCAGACAGCTAAGAGAAAATATTGTCGCAGATTTTCCATGACAAGGAAAAGGTTCTTTAATCTATTCAATAATTTAATAAAAGATCTATGTCAACTGATGAGGCTCATGAACAAATATTTTTAAAGGTATGGTTTGAGCAGTTTAGTGTGGCTTGTCTATCCAGACTTCCATAATCAATCTACCAAAACACCAATTACATAGCAGAATAAAGGACAGTTACCGTGAAACGAGTGCGCAGATGGACTTTTGCATCTGACTGGTTCATAACTGACAACAAAGCTTCTGTTTAATTTGTTCAAGGTTTGGGCAGAAAGTTCTGGCTTAAGAAGGGAAAATGAGCTATTAGACATGGCCTATATTAAGGACGCTACAGATGTTTAATGTTTTTAATTTGCATATTTGGCCAATGATTATTCATTTGTTAATATGCCTTCTACATATTCTTTTTTGGCATAGTCAATCTGAGATTGCAAAATCAAACTCCCACTTATTGTATGCTAATATTAATATTCCATGAGCCTCTATACTATGTACTGTTCTCTGGAGAAGACATAGCATGTCTAACTGACTTGGAAAGTAACGGCTTTTCTAAACAGTCACTTGCCTTTTGATGACGCCAGCACTAACAACATGCTATAATGTAGATTGTACATAGCAGCTAGTTTTACTAAGTGCTATGCAACAGAGAATAACTCAATCAATAATTTATTGATAGATTGATATCTACCGAATGCATCAATTTGGGTTTAGCTGAAGTCTAGGAATTCTGAAAGAAATTTTAAAGCCTGAAGCAGAAAATAAGCATATCAACATGCCATAAAATAGATATAAAATCTCTAATAGCCCTATTTTGGCTCTGAAAGTGTAACATTTCATTTTTTATGATACAGAGGTCACCAAAGCTCTTGCTTAAGTGTTTCTGAGGATAAAGGAGAGTTTAATCCAGAGTTGAAAAGAGTTTTGTTAACAAATCGCCCCCAATATGATTTAATATAACTCACACTTAATATTAAGTTGTGCAAAATTGTTCCCCTTCCAAAACATGTTGCATAACATTATTTCGTTGTCAGAATCCATATGATTCTCTGAACATGTCTTAAAGCAGTGATGTGGACTGGGCTTTAGTATCTCCCAGGGAGTTACGTAGCCAGAGTGAGTGTACTCTTCCTTCTCCCCAGGGTATACAGCCCTGTGCAATTAAACACAACTTTGCCAGGACTGAAAGAGAGGTCTATGTGCCTTCTATTTTCACTATTCTTACACATGCCCAAAAGAATAGCTTCTCAGGGATGTAAAAATAGTTCACTGCCCATTGGGTGTGAACTGAAAAATCCACATAAGGGCAGGAGTTCCATCCAGGTTTCCAACAGTGCATACCATTGAATTAGATTCGTGCATCCTTCCACTCCATGGAATAAGCAGAATATCCTGGAGATAAGCCATCATTTTATATATGTGTCTTATGATGTTCCCCACTTGGGCCTTATCAATCACAGCCTCCTAAATGGAAAGAAGCCTGTGACAGGCGGCTCTCTCTGCTACCACATGCTGCTGATGTTGCCCGGAGAAGAGCAGAAACCGAGACAGAATACGTTGGGTGGTTTGGTTTTAACGTTTTTTTATTTTCTCCCTGCTTTGAAAGCTCACTGCATTTTGCTGCTGTTATTACCAAGGGTTCATTGAAAATGAAACTGGGGTGTCTCAGTGGGGTTTCGCAGCAAATAGATAAAGCAGGTTCAGGCAAGACCGGGTCGTTCACAACCTGAAGTGGATGAAGCAGTAGCCATTTGTTTGCTGGGGTGAATGGGACATAATTTATTCAGCTGCAGCGGAGGCTGAAAGCCAATCTGGCCTTGACCCATTTATCTTTAGAAAACTAATTAAAGTGGAGAATCTAGCTTACTGTTGTTATTGAGGTTTTACTTTTTTTGTTCAGGCCAAGCGAAGACTGAGGGTGAGTGCATGTGTGTGTGTGTGTGTGTGTGCGTGCGCGTGTGCGTGTGTGTCTTCGTGTGTGTCTGTGTTGGGGTGGAAGGTGGGAAATATCAGTTTCACCTAAACACAGTGGCTGAAGGTCTAGATAATAAAGCAGTTTCTTAAGCACAGCCTGACATCCTTTTGAAATGCAAACTAGTGGATTTAGCTGGGTGCAGAATCCTTTGAGGTGACAATGAAATGCCATGGCAATTTAAAATGAACAACAGACAGTTTCCTGATTTCTTATAACCAACAGTTTCTAAATCGCACCAAAACAGCCCCAAAGAGGCATGGAAGAACATTTTTATCACCAGCATTTTACTGAAACTGGTACTAACCATCAGGCAGGAAATAATGCCAGAATGTTAGCTGCTTTGTCCATTTTGTTTCAGAACAATTAAAAAAGTTGCATATCTTGATGATCTTTTGTAAGTACTTAAATATGTATGTAATAATATTAACAACATGTTTGTCACCAGTGACCTACCGATGAATTTCAAAAGTTACAGTGTATTTTTGGAAGATTCATATACAAAACAGACATCTGGTTTTTGTGTTGTTTGTTTGTTTTGGCCTAGATAAGGTTATAGGGACAAGTAGGGAAGTCCAGCAGACACACAGGGATGTTATGATATGTATTCATTCCAGTATGTTCAAGGAAGTGATAACTCTTCAGGAAAGCTACAAGGGTCATGATAACTATTAGATAAGGAAACTGAACTGGACCAGCTGCAGGAAAACCTGGAGCTCCCAAGAGATTGTGTTGGAAAGGGCAGACACTACTGACTTAACTGAAGCCACTTTAGTTATCAATGGGACCAATCGAACAGAACCCTGACTTGTCCCACCCATGATGTTTTCCCCTCCCCTTTCCCTCTTAGTGTCAGGAGCCCTTGAGCTATTTGTCTTCCCTGTCCCCTTCTCAAGGTCTTCCTTTCTGCAGCGTTCCTGTTCCAGATTTACCTCCTAACTTTCTTCACCCAAATTGCCCTGGTCTCAGGGCATATGGATATGGGCATATGATCTCAGGAATAATGAATGGGGATAGTACTCAGGGGACAATTTCTTTTTAAAAACATGATTTCAAAGAAGGGATTTTAGACATTGTGTTATCACTGCCTGGATTTAAGGCCAAACAGTTAACACTATGATGTCACAGGTGTGCTGCACAAATAAGTATGTGCCCCTCAGGTGAGAGTCACCTTCCTTCCTCAGTCCATGATACCATGTAGAGTGCATGTATTTAAGAAGTGTTATCAGGGCTGGACACAGTGGCTCTCGCCTGTAATCCCAGCACTTTGGGAGGCCCAGACGGATGGATCACTTGATGCCAGAAGTTCAAGACCAGCCTGGAAAACATGGTGAAACTCCGTCTCTACTAAGAATACAAAAATTATCTGGGTGTGGTGGTGTGCACCTGTAATCCCAGCTACTCGGGAGGCCAAGGCAGGTGAATCACTTGAACCTGGGAGGTGGAAGAAGTAAGATTCCATCTCAAAAAAAAAAAAAAGTGTTATTAGCATGCAATGGTATTGTGGAAACCAGATTAGATAACTGATTATTTTGGTTGATATAGTCAAGTAAGATAGCCTGAGTGTTCTTGTCCTCAGCCCCATATTGGGGGTAATCTTTCAAGTAAAAAATATCCAATGTTCCCTCTCCAAATGCTCTGAATGCTCTGAAAGATATCAGGAAATTCAAGTAGAAAACGAAAAGCAAACAACCTATTTTTTAATCCCTTGAATTTTCTATGTCTCAGCTAATGGAAACATTAGCACCTTATGCATGAGGGCTGATGTTGGTTTGTTCTTATTAGCACAAGAAGAAAAAGGCCAATATATTCTAACAGGGAAGAGCTAGTTTTCCAGGCGGACTACGCATCGTCTGAACATTGGGACAGAATTTAAATCAGCCATTCGATGAGCTGGTCTTCCACCAAGATTAGATTGAAAACTTGGCCATTGGAAAAGAATATGAAAATGGTTGTTAACCATAAATCACAAGCAGAGAGGAAATGACTAAACAAGTTGGCTATGTGCAGTATTCAATCCACTCCAGATAATTTGGAAAGGGATAGTGGAGGAGGAATTTCTCAGGGACTCTCCGGAATGACTGTACAAAGACAAATGGGAATGAGAGGAAGAATAAGACCAATGCTTACACTATGCTGCATAGTCCGCCACACAGTCCTCTGGGAAGCAAGAGGAAAACAAATTTAAAGGAAAAAGAAAAAGAGATTATTCTATACATAATAGCACAGAACAGGCACAAAGTTGAGCTTTGTTGGTTGGCATTCCACCCATCCCCACCCCAAATTCCCTCAGAATGACCAGTAGGATATTTGAGAAATCCACATCCACAGTACAGTGTTGAATACTTACTGGAGATTTATGGCTCTAAGTCATCACCAACTTGTTGAGTTAATTTCCAAACCTGGCTTTTTTTTTAAATTTACTTTTATAAAATATATTCCTCTAAGATACACCATGCACAGTCCATTTTTACTCTAATGAATCAGCTGGAATAAAGTAACTGACACTCCCTGTCCAAGTGCGTCTGTGAGCTGTAGAACATGTTGTGCTCTAATTTTCTGAGCTGTACAACTAATTGCCTTTTACAGAGGCTAATTTGAAATACCTTTTGATGCTCAGATCTTAAAAATCGAGCTATTTTGTGCTGATTTATTTTTATACTTGACATTTCCAGTGAATTGGAACCGTCTTTTAAAAAATTATAGTTTCACATCAAATTATGTAAGAGAATTTGCAGAGTACACATTTAAGAATAAAGGAACATAACCAGTCTCTTCCTGAGTACAAACAATAATCTCTGGCCTGTTTGATTGAAAGTCATTAATAGTCAGCTAGGACAGAGGGGCTTCTAAGGGGAGTTTGTTGGTGACAAGAAAGCAACGTGATGGTAGGATGACTCTGTTAACTGAATTACTGCAGTTGATAACATTAGTATCCTCAACAAATCATGGCTGTTGGCGGTAGGGACTGCGATAGACTCAGATGAGTTGGCTTTCCATGAGCAGCTAAATTTATAAAAATACATTCACTCATTCTTGGATAACACAAACCACTTTAGGGTAGTATGTCTGAAAGCTTCTGACTACCTCAACTGCTTCTTATGTGTATATAACTTTAGAGGAGCAAATGGAAATGTTCCCTAGAGATACAAAAGAATTTATAAGTTCCTTATAAATATAATAAGATGTTAAATGATGGAACTGGTGTATTTTTTAAGAGAGAGTTTTGTTTTCAATTATTTTATATAAGGTATAGCAGCAGTTTACTCAGCTTGGGGTTGGTAGTTTTATTTTTAAAACAAACCCCATAACGACCAGTTCACATTAAAAAAATAGCTTTAGAATAACTGATATAAGAACATTTACCAACAGGGCCCAAAGTTATTACCACAGGTACTAATTTAAATGGCACTAAGAAGTAACTCTCCAAGTGCTTTATAGTTATTTTCATTTTGGCAAAAGGGGTGGGGTGATTGGAGTAGTGTTTTGATATCGTCCTTGGAAGCATTTTTCTGCTGAAACACTTCAAGAAATGAAGAGAAATCTTTTCCAATTATCCTCCTTTTCTCAGACACATGCTTCTTATAAATATTCAGGAAACATCTTTTCCAGGGAAAATTAAAACAGGAGTAGGTAATATGAGACTTGTTTATAAACAGCCTAAATAGGCTGTAATGGATGACAGGCCCATCTGGATAGTTTCGCAGTGCATCCTTCTTAAAGATGAGCGTGTTTGACTGTTGGACTGGAGTCTGGCCAAGGATAACTCCCCCAACTTTCCAGTGTTCAGAGCTATATTGGAACCCCAAAGGACGAAGGCCTCAGGAGAGCCAATGGCTGCTGAGACTCTGTTATTAGCTTTGGACCTAACTCGTGTCTCTCAGGAATAACCTCGGTATAGCTCCGTTTGATGCGCAAACAGTGCCTTGTTCTCAGGAGCTGAGCAAAGTGGGCTTATGGCTGGCTGTGCATTACACGTCACTAATTCTTACCATTTGGGAAGGGATCAGAATTTAATAAAAAAATCAGTAAAACTGCAATTTTCACTTACAGAGCCTGAAGCCACACCTTTGAGGAAGTAAATGCTACATGCTGTCTGAGAATGTTTTAGAATAAAATTGGCTTATTGATTTAAATACTTAGGCACAGAGTCTGGTCCTTGGCTTTTACTTGTGATGATACGTTTAACCATTACCAATCATTTTCAGAAAAAGATGGATAAAATATATTTTTGAGGGGTGCAAAAGGTAGAAGATTTTCATTCTGTTTGCTACTTGTCTATACTCTCGAGACCTTTATAGCTAGAGCATTTTGAACATTACCAATAAAGTTCCTTTATAAAAGGTTCAAATCTCAATTTTCATGTCCATCAGATTTTAAACACCAGAGAAAATTCTCGAAGTGTTGATGCTTTACTTAGTTTATGCTAAGCTGCAAAAACATTGTCTTTAGAAACATATTTTTCTTGCTCTACTTCCCCTGTTTAAGGGTGTGTGTTTATTTCTCCCGGGGATGAAGGAAAACGGCTTCTCTGTTTCAGAGGGAAAAAATTAATTAGTTGCCATACATATCATTATATTATTCAAATTCAGTGCAATTTTAACTAAGTGCAAAATGTACCCAGTTCTTTTAAAACTTCTTATTTTATTGTGGTAAGGATACTTAACATGACATCTACCCTCTTAACAGTTTTTTTTTAAGTGAACAATACACTATTGTTAGCTGCAGGCACAATGTAGTACCTCAGATCTTTAGAACTTATTCATCTCACACTGTACTCCTGTTCTTAAATTAGATTTTACAAAAATTCAGAAAAGACTGAATTGTTCCAATAACTAAGTTAGAGCCAGCAAAAATGGGAAAAAAGGGACCAAACCCATACTCACCATTTGTCCTCTGGTTAGAAAGATCTTGATATACAATGCAATTTGTAAAGTAAAATTTAAACAATATAATCTAATGAAAACCATCATTTCTTTAAAACAGCTGACTAGTTATTTGGTGGAATCTAATTGGTTGTTTAAAAGAAAAATGGTGACTATTTTTAAACTTTTCCTGAAACTGCAATAGAGAATAGATGTAAGCCGCTGAGCACGTTGGCTCATGCCTGTAATCCCAGCACTTTGGGAGGTCGAGGCAGGTGGATTGCTTGAGCTCAAGAGTTCGAGACCAGCCTGGACAACATGGCAAAACCACGCCTCTACAAAAAAATAAAAAGCTGGGCATGGTGGTGTATGCCTGTGGTCTCAGCTACTCAGTAAGCTAAGGTAGGAGGATCACTTGAGCCCAGCAGGTCAAGTTTGCAGTGAGCCATGATCATGACACTGCACTCCAGCCTGGGGCAGAGTGAAGCCCCGTCTCAAGGGAAAAAAAAAAGAATAGATATAAGCCAGGTAAAGTAGAAGGTTGCAGCAACTACAAATATCTACACTAGAGAGAAGGTTTTATTTGCTAATAAATGGCAATAAATTTATAACAAAATGTAACAGTTAGTTACCCCTTTATTTTGATACTTCATGGATAGGCCTTTAGGTTGTAAGCACATTTGATTTTTATAGACAGAAATGCTGAGATGTACTTACTTTGAGGCCAAATTCAACCAATATAATCTTATGAGTTCTACACTATAGAAGGATATTAACTAAAATCATAAAGCAATTTATAACAGTGACTAATAAAAGTATTTTCATAACTGGCAGTCTTTGAGATCTAAGTTTATATGACACAGTCAGATGTGGTTCAAGTGCTTTATGACATTAAGGATTTTATCTGTTAATTTTACATCAAGATAATTGGCAAAGCAACATTAATAGCACTAACAATTGTAGGTATATAAAGTGTTTACAGTACTACAAATGGAAGAAATTGAATTAAAAATAATCAGGCAGTATTTCTTTGAAATTATGAGCTTTTTTAAATGGCAAAATTTGGTCTTTAAAACACATTTAAAAATTGTATTTACTATGTTTATGGTTGTATTTTCCGAGTATTATAAACTGCTTTGATGATGGATATCACTAAGTCCCCTGACACACATCTAAACAGCTCAAAGAGTGACTAATTCTAAGGATTCCAACTTTTTAAAGACACATAAAAAAGAAAAAAAAATGATAGTAACATTGATTTGGGGTTTCCGGGCAAGGTCTTTCAAACAGAAAACTTTGCAAATAAGAAGTCATAATAAACTTGCATTATATCATAATTGAATACATAACCATTTTCAGAAAAGAACTGAAGCAGATGAGTAAGAAATGTGCTATTGCAATTATATCTCTGGAAGAACTGGCAACTTAGTTTTCAAATTAATATTTCATGAGAAATAAGAAGTTGAAAATGTGGTCACTGCATACATGCATTAATAGTTTCTTAATGGATTAATAGATTTCTTAAATAATCCAATACATGACCCAAAAGAAAGATCCCATTACTTTTCAATATTCTAATTAAGAACAGAGGCAGATATAAGCATGAGATGACTCTTATAACAAACTTTTCCAGAATCTCCTGGGAGTTTCAAAGAATGACCTTGGTAAAACAAAGCATCCGCCATGGTTATCAATCTGTGAATACTCACCAGCCGGTCCAAGCTTGTGCCTGCAGCAGTTGTTGGTCTTTCCTCAGGATTGTAGGGCCTGAAACGTGTATTAAAATTTTCAGGAGCTGAGCGGGCAGATCTGAGGGCTGGAGCAGGTTTGGGCTGACCACATCCCTGAAAGACCTGGAAGAACCATTGAAAAGTAAAAACAGCTATACAATGAGTTTTCTCCTAAATTCATGAAGCAGAAATGTGCAATGCAATGGTGTCCACATTTCTTATGAAACTTTTACCTCCAATAAACTCTAATTTTGAAATGTAAACAAGTATAACCACTAATATAACAGAAAGAATTACCCAGACAGATACACAGTGACCAACTATAATCCCTGACTCATAGTTTCAGCATACACAGTCAATCTTATTATTGGTAGATACATATTTGCAAATTTGCTTACTCATTAAAATTTATTTGTAACCCCAGAATTAATACTCACAGCACTCTCATGGACATAGAGACACAGTGCCAAAAAATCTGAGTCATGTTCCCAGCTGAGGTTGGAGAAGACACTCTCCTTATTTCAGCTCTCAGACTGTAAACAAGTGTTCTCTTTGTGGTCTATGTAGTACAATGTTTTTCACATTTTTGTGCTTTTTCTTGTTGATTTCAATGTTTAAAATGGTCCCCAAGCATCGGGCTGAAGTACTGTCAAGCTTTCCTAACCACAAGATGTGTAATGTGTCTTATAGCAAAAATATGTATGTTAGACAAACTTCAAGCCTGAGTTATAGTGCTATGAGTTCAATGTTAATGAATCAACAATATATATTAAATAAGGTGTCTTTTCACAGAAACACACATAACACAAGGCTACATATTGATTGGTTGATGAAACTGTTGTGCCCAGTGGCTTGCAGGAGCCTAACCTTGTATTTCTCATTGCTGCAACGGTTCAGTATTTGCTAAGTCAATGTTTGCAGTGACTTTATAGAACATAACTACAATAAAGAGAATCAACTGTACTAAAAATAGGGATTGCAATAGTTACTCCACAGGATGATTTCAGGATTAAATGAATTGTATCTCACTTTTACATACTTGAATTTGGCATTCTATAAACATCCGTTTGGGATTCCTGTTATCATGACAAATTATTTCATTGTATAGCACATAAAGCCAAATAATTTCAGTAACTCCCCTTTGAGTAATGAAAATCTCTACTGGAAGAATTCTTTAAAAACACTCTCTTGAGCAGTGGTATAGAAATAGGACAAGCAAATGTGGATGAAATCCATATAATAACAGCTTCCTCTAATTTTGTTGTTGACAGCTGTTCATGTCACAATTAAGATTGCTATGGGAAATCAAACATTGTATTGTAATGATCTTAGAGACTGAGCTGCCAGTTCTTTTCCACAGTGATTTCACTCAGGGTGGTGTGGAGACACTTCCTTTGCTGTTTTTAGAAGCTTTACACTCTGTGCTGGTTATCGAGAGATAATACCTTTACTAGAACTACAGGAAATGCAGTAACATTTTCAGGAAACTTTGATGAAGTTTAACTTTATTCTATTTCTTCCATTTCTCCATAGCAGATGATTTTTCTAGATATTTTTCCTTCAGTAAACTTTTTGGGGTTATTTACATGGGCTGATCCTTAACTTGCATGTAGTATACTTGCAACGCATTCGTTCCAGTTTTGTTATTTCATTCTGTGTTGTCTAACTCTAAAACAACCATTTTTCATCACGCATATGATGTGATTCCACTGAAGTACGCAGAGAGCTCCTGAGTGCCATTCACAATGACAAATTCCGTCTTGAGACACAATTCATTTTGTTTTACCACTACAGCTAATTTTTCTTTTGTTGTATTCAAAAGTTCTCCTTCAACTCAGCATTTTGCAGAGCGGCGGTACTTTGTCTTGGCATTCCTCGAGATTGGTCTTAACACACTATTGATTATTCTTCTCTCACACAATTTCTGAAGCTGATGGTGTAAACCGATGTGATAAAGATAGTGGGCCCTTTTCTCCGTAGTGCCTAAATCACTTCCCTCTGGCAAGGTCGCTGCTGATGGAGGGCATTAACATTTCCAAAGCTCCAGGGATCTGTTGAGTGTGCTATTCTGGATTGCTTTGAAAGTGACAGCTGACTTTTAAAAAATGTAAAGCCTAAGGCGAAACAATACTAACGGCCTTGCTGAGATTTCATGAAGCCATGTACTGAAAGAGTTAATGGACTTTTTAATTCACCCTTTGGGAAAAATGTGGCTCACTGGGTTAAGTTAAATCAAAGAAACACGAATGCCCTGAAAGAATATTAGTGTTCTAGGGAGATATTTCATCATAATGGAAAAACCTCACGTTTGCTGGAATTTTTTTTTTTTTTTTTTTTGGAGGGAGTTAATTATTACAGAACATAGGTTAGTCAATATAGCCTAGTAGCTTTCTGTTATTTAGGTCAGGTTTGGATGTTGAAGATAGCTTCCATGCAGAAATCACTGGGTCTGTGACCAAAACTGAGGAAAACACTGACTTCTAATTACTTTGGAAACAACACCTGGCCACATAATCAGGTGGAGACCTACATAACAATCTGTCACAACAACCTCACATCTTGAAAGCCCCTAAACAGAGATCCTATCATACCCTTAGAAAAACAGAAGTGCCATAAAAGAAACCCTTTAGTGTGGAAGTGAGAGACAGGACTAGCTGGATTTCCTAGGCCGATTAAGAATCCTGAAGCCTAGCTGGGAAGGTGACCGGATCCACCTTTAAACACGAGGCTTGCAACTTAGCTCACACCCGATCAGGTAGTAAAGAGAGCTTAAAATGCTAATTAGGCAAAACAGGAGGTAAAGAAATAGCCAATCATCTATCGCCTAAGAGCACAGGGGGAGGGACAATGATCGGGATATAAACCCAGGCATTCCAGCCAGCAAGGGCTACCCTCTTTGGGTCCCCTCCCATTGTATGGCAGCTCTGTTTTCACTCTATTAAATCTTGCAACTGCACACTCTTCTGGTCTGTGTTTGTTACGGCTGGAGCTGAGCTTTCGCTCACCATCCACCACTGCTGTTTGCTGCCGTTGCAGACCCACTGCTGACTCCCACCCCTCCGGATCCCGCGGGTGTCCACTGTGCTCCTGATCCAGCGAGGTGCCCCTTGCCGCTCCAGATGGGGCTAAAGGCTTGCCATTGTTCCTGCACGGCTAAGTGCCTCGGTTTGTCCTAATTCAGCTAAGCACTAGTCGCTGGATTCCACGGTTCTCTTCCGTGACCCACGGCTTCTAATAGAGCTGTAACACTCACCCCATGGCCCAAGATTCCATTCCTTGGAATCTGTGAGGCCAAGAACCCCAGGTCAGAGATCAAGAGGCTTGTCGCCATCTTGGAAGCCACCCGTGGCCATCTTGGGAGCTCTGGGCGCAAGGACCCCTCCATTACAGAAGTTCCCAGCCTAGGGATCAAGAGCTATTTTTCAGAATTTTACAAAACCTAATGAGAATGGTTTACAAAGGAGTACTTTGCCGTTGTTTTTGCTTAGAAATGATAAAAAAACTTTTGTATTAGTCTTATACTGAGAATATACCTTAACATATATCCATCATATAACTTAGATGACTTACAAAGTAAAAATTAATAATTTGATGTTTAATACATGTGTCTGAATATTTGTGTCCTCCAAGAATTCATAAGTTGAAATCTAATCACAGATGTGATGGAATTAGGAGGTAGGTCCTTTGGGAGGTGATTAGGCTCTACCCTCAAGAATAGGATTAGTGCCCTTATTAAAAAAACAACAACAAATGATCCGGACAGCACCCTTGTCTCATGTGAGGACACAGTGGGAAGGTGCCATCATCTATAAAACACCATGCAGGTCCTCACCAGACATCAAATCTGCTAAAGCCTTGATCTTAGACTTCCCAGCCTCCAGAAATGTGACAAATAAATTTCTGTTTTTCATAAGCCACCCAGTTCATGGCATTGTGTTATAGCAGCCTGAGCAGACTAAGAAGCAAGCAATCTGTTATCCTGAAAAAAGTATTTTTAAAATATGAGAGTCACGAGGTGGGTGACAAAGGAAATTTTTGGGCAGAAAATTTGGACCGTCTCAATTTTCTGAGTTTGCTCTAGCAGCAGTATAGTTAGGCACAGTTTTGTGGCTCATGAAGGCCATGGCTAGGTTAGTATAAGAGACCAGTTAGCCTTTTCCTCAGTGGCTTGGGTATCCCAACATTTTACATTTTGAATAAGGGAAAAAAACAATTGAGAAATAATAATGTGATGGATAGGGCCATAGGTTCAATGAGAGTCAGTAGATCAGTTGGTTATGGCTGGAGATGGAGATTGGGATCATCAGCTTAAAGATGGTACTTAAAGCCCTGAAACTGATTGCATTTACCAAGGACAAGTATATATAGGTGGGCAGATGGATGAGGCTGAGGACAGCCTATTGCCATGCCAACATTTACAGGGTCCTCTCTGAGCCTCAGTTTGCTCGTCTGTCAAATGGGAATAACAATATTATTTACCACACAGATACACTATGATGATAAAGTACAATATGTAAGGCAGAAAAACAGAACCATGTGTCTAGAAAAGTACATACCTGATAGTTAATTTTATCATGCCATAATCTGTATTTTCCAGAAGTTTTGCTTTCTAGATAAGAAAATTTGAAGAAAAAATGTCTGGTCTGATGTTTCTTGTTCTTTTCTTTCTTTTTTTAACCTTTTAAAAATCTTTTAATTTTATTTTAGAGACGGGGTCTCACTCCGTTGCCCAGACTGGAGTGCAATGGCACAAACACAACACCCTGCAGCCTCAATCTCCTGGGCTCAGGCTATCCTCTTGCCTCAGCCTCCCGAGTAGCTGGGACCACAGGTGCATGCCAACCACACCCTGCTAATGGATGTCTCTTAAATGTTTTCCACAAAATATTATTTTAAGGGCAAATGGCTGTTATATAAATCATAGATTCCACCTATTAAAGTTAAATTAGGTAACTTCACAAGGGCTCCATCATGATAACATGTGGTCAGACTCATTGACAGGGAGGATGACATCAGTAGTGTTTCCCAAAACTATTTGACCATGGTTTCCTCATGGGGTTCTCATAAGACTGGTGTTCCAAAGAACCCACCCTGAGATATACTGTGAAGGTGGTTGTAACCTGCCAAGGAGAGACGTGATTCAGATAGAACTGCATTTACTTAGAGGTATTTGTGAAGCTGTTCCACCCTCCTCTGCTTTTAATTCCAGAGAAGAATGCTATTTTAAGACACTAAAGGGCTTCTTTTTACAACAGAACAGAAGTTTTTAGAGGTTATCGCTGCAGGATAAGCCAACTTATTGTGGTACAAATCATTCGCTCTACCCCTTTAAGAAACAGAATCGGTATTACCACCTCCTGACCGCTGCCTGCTTCTCTCCAAGGGATGTTGAAAGTGATAATTAGATAATTCGGGAAAGTATTTGGAAGCTTCAATGCAGACAGATGCTACAGATGTACAAAGCAATTCTCCTTCCACCTAGCTGACTTGCAAAACCTGTGGATTTTAGGAAGATATCTGGCTCATGAATCCTCTCTCTTAAGAGGATTACTAAGATAATGTCTCAGAAGTCTGTTGGCATTCTGAGATTAAAGAAGCTGACATTAGGATAGGAAGGGCTGAAAGGAGAAACATTTTATAATTCTGGAGGGATGGGAAGGAAGAGGAGGTGTGGTGATAACAGGTTTAAGTGCTGTGTCTTAGGTTTCTAAATACAAGTATTTTTCCTTTAAAAATATTAGGGCATCTTAACGTATTTCTCTTAAAATAAACTAAGGTGCCCACTCTTTTGGAGGCACATGTAGCTTTATACCTTTACCTCTTTATCTTCTTTATCTTCTTCATTGTCTTTTGCAGCTTGATTATACATTTAAAAAGTCACTACTGGTAACCTGAAAAGCAGTGGCTGCAGGTAAATCCCGTCTCGGCTCCTGTGGTTTTTAAAAATTCTGTCTTCCCACTTTCTACTCAGCAGGTTTCCATAATGGGGGAAAGGTGCTGCTATTCTCATATAGGCAAATATTGAAATTTGCAAACAGAGCTCTAATCTTTTATATTAAATCCAGGTAACAGTTAATGTTACCTGGATTTAATTAGATTTGATGTTTTAAGGGTAATGTTTTATTTACCTATGAGATTCTAATTTATATTACAGTGTCAATGAATGAACTGTTAGATTACTACTTGGGAAATTCAAATATATTCCATTTATACTCAAGGAAATAGAAGCTATCGTATCTTCATTAGTGTGGATACCATATATTTGTCCAGGTGCAGCCATTATTTTCACAAGAAATGGCTGTGGAGTAACCAATAGGTGTTATCAGTGCATTCTGGTGGCTATAACAAAATGCCTTACACTAGGTAATTTATAAACAACAGAAATTTATTTCTTACAGTTATAGAGGTTGTGAAATCCAAGATCAAAGTGCCAACAGATTTGGTATCTGGCGAGGGCCCTCTGCTTTATAGATGGCACCTTCTTGCTGTGTCCGAATATGGCTGAAGGGCAAAAAGGACTAACAAGCTCCTGCAGGCCTCTTCTGCAGGGGCACTACTAATCCAGCCCATGAGGGCTTCACCCAGATGTCTTAATTACCTCCCACAGCCTCCATCTCCAAATACCATCACCTTAGGTGTTAGGATTTCAGTATATGAAATTTGGAGAGACACATACATTCAGAACATTGTAAAAGGTCAGAAACACAAGTCTATAAGTTTGGAATGTTAATATTAATCTTTCTCCTAATACTTGTGTGACCTTGGGGTTACAATGTTCTCCCCAATTCTCAAAGCTGTTGGGAAGATAGAATGATATGATGCATAGAAGAATACACTGAAAACATGAGGTATAATGGTGCCTTATTTTAAGTAAGTAATCTGTAATTAAATAGAATAATAATGGTTAATAAATCAAATCTAAGGATTACGCAGAATTACCCATGAATAATTTAAGCTCTATGATGAATAGGTTTTCATACATTTTGTTCATTACTGTATCCCAGTATCTGTAGGAGTTACCAGCACATGATATGTGTTTGAAAAAATTGAGAATGAAAGATTATGAAGAAATAAAATTTTTAGTCATAATCGTCCCCTTTTGCAAACATTTATTGAAGGCAATTAGCATGTAGATTTCTGTAATGAGAAAGAAAAGATAGGAAAGGAAAGACAATGAACACTCATCAAGTGTCTATGATAGGACAGACACTTCACTGTGCTATGTGTTTTATATGCATTATCTCAAATGATCAATTATCTCTTCAAAATCAAGGTTGAACATTTCTTCCTCAGACTGAAGGAATGAATCATGTATCCATGTAAAACAAATTATTTGCTATTTCCTTTACTACATTTACTGGGCTAAATTAAAGCAAAGCCAAATGGACAACTTTGTTTAAAGTGATAACGAGACCCAAAATACTGTTTCCTGATCAGTTGATAATAGCCACTCAGTGAGCTTGATAAGCCAGTTAGGAGGACCTTGCACACAAAATAGTTAGATTGGCTTCCTGATTGGCCCGTGGGAGAGCTATCAGAGCCGTGGGTGCTGGAGACAGCTGGGCTCAGAGCTCAGGCAATGGCCACTGCTTACTGCAAAGTGGCAGACAACTTGGGCTCTTTACTTCCTGGTATCACCAATCTGTCAAAATGATAAACAGCGGCACCTGTACATTGGAGCAGTTGTATCCTATCCCTGCCAATGATGGTCTAGGTTAAGCACAGAGCTAGGGCCTTTCTCAAAGTGGAAGTGGTGACTGAAATGTGTGTGCCTGGGAGCATTCACGTATCATTAGGAAGCAAATCAGAATTAGTTGAAATATGTTAAAAAAATTTCATTAAAAGTAGTAGCAAAAGGAGCTACATTATACTATTACATAAGATAACTGGCACCTTAGAAATTCATTTCACACACTTTTAGGGGATTTCTAACAGCATTTATCTAATAGCATAAAAAGTGGTTTCCTGAATATAAACTTAAAACATCTTGATGACGACTTTTTCTTTAGATATAAAATTATTATACTCACTACAAAGGCATTTTAAATGTCAGTTTTTTTTTTAATTAGTGTGGTAATTTTTTACGGGTTGCCTTCTAACAAAACAGTTATTCATCCTTAGATCTTAGAATAATCTCTTCTCTAGTCATCTTTTGTCTTCCCTTTCCTCTCATTTTGTTTTTCTCTTTTTTCTTTGCTCCCTGATTCATGCGTTTCTTTCCTTAAAGATTGATTACAATGGTCCTCAGGCCAAGTTCTCTGGCAAACTCTATGTCCCTGGATGGGTTCAGCACTCTGTTAGGAGAATTTTGGGTTCTACTGAACCAAGGCAAGCCATCAGTTTTAGTTTTGTCCACTTTTCATTGGCCTCAATTTTAAAAAGCCAGCTACTGTGTCAGTTTTAAGGTTTAAAAAATTTACTCCTGATGCTCACACAGCTTGGTTCCAGAATATCTGTCGGATGTATTGCATACTTCTTAAAATCTTTTCTACAATAAAAGAAATTCTTTTCATTTGCATTGCATGAGAAGATATTTTTCCCTGAAGGATTTGCATTTCTCAGGCAGCAAAACACCTTGATATTTCCTCCCAAATGGTGAGGAAGGAGGAGTTACAAGGAACTTTACAAAGCAAATTTTTGAGTGTGGAGAGGAAAAAAGCCCTAATCCTCTTGGCCTGACTACATGATTATTATTTCATATGCCCTTTGCTTGTAAGGTTTAAAGCAGTTCTGTAAGATCACTTTGCAGAATATAAGTAAGCATGTAATTTACATCAGACGGGCTCTACCATTCCTTCCACCTACGATTCAACAAATATTTGTTGAGTGTCACAAACATAAGTGCTGGGGATATGCCAATTGGACACGTCCCTGCTCCCAAGAGGGTTTGGAGAAGAAATCAGGCAATTATTATAGAATGTAAGAAGTGTGACGGAACACCCACAGGGGCAACTCACCCAGGCTGGAGCATCTGAGAAATCTTCCTAGAAAAGCAGTGGTATGCTGGACCCAGGTCTTACTGGGCCATGCAACTACATGTTAAGTTTTTAGGAATTTCATAAGCCAGTAACAACTGCGTTTAACAAACACATTGTTAATAATAATAAACACATTATTAATGTGTTTATTAACAAACGCATTGATTATTAAAAATTAAGTTGTATAAACTTACAGTTATATGAATTATATTAATAACAAAGTTAATAATTATACTAAAATCTCATTACTTTCTAATTATTTTACTGTTATCTATGCTCTTAAGGTTAATTGTGTCAGTCGTATCTATAAGGAGGAAATGTTACATCAGGGTGTTCTACTCTGTGTTCAGTGACATTATGTTGGTAGTTTGAAATATGCACGAGGGAGTAATTACACCACAGAAATGGGCAAACACTACAAATGAGCATGTTTCCCCCACAGATGTGACTCCTTCACATGTTTACATGTAGGCTGGCTGAGGCAATGACTCGATCAGAACCAAACCAGATTGCATATCACCACACAGAAGGGAAGTGCTGAGAGCTGGGATAAGGAGGTGTATTTATGAGACTGGGCAGAGGCCATGAAATTTCTCTAACACAATACTTCACTGCCCATGAGAAGCACAGTTCCATGGCAGGTGCTCTTCTCTTAAGTAGGAAGAAGTCAGAAGGAGACTTTTTTTCAGGAGACCAGGAGAGCACCTTCTCTTGTTCCTAAGAATACACATTGAGTGTTAAAGCTGAATTGTGTTTCAATCATTTATTCTTGAGTAGGCTACATTAAATGTAATCTTCTCATCTTACGGCCCTGAAGTTAAAGTGAAAGCAAATCTTCAGAAAAATCTCTAAAGATTAGAGAAAAAGGAGTTTTTCTTTATCATCAAAAGGAGAACACTTTTGTTGTATCCCTTTTACATGCAAGGAAAGTTAAAACTAGTTCGCGCTGGATGGGTATCACATAAATGCATCATAAGCATGTTTTCAAACCTTCATTTTACTTTCTAAAAAAAGGTGTGCTTCCCTCTTCCCTCTGCCCTAGCACCTGAAAAATCTGACCCTGTTATCCAGCAATATTACAAGCAGGAATAGAACAAACCCCAATTTTATGTGTGCTAGGTAATGAAGTCATCAAAGAATAAACGATGTTTCAAGGTCCCTGTTTCTCGGTGGAGCGCAGTAAGTGGGAACTGATAGGCAGAATACAAATAGAATTTGAATAGAGAAGATACTGTGAATTTAGAAATCATTGAGAACATGCTCTTTTCCTTTAAAAACAAAACTAAAGAAGTAGAAATAGAATGTAAAGCTTTATAAATAGTATGGCCATTCACTTTTTTCTTAGAAATCAGGCAGAAGGGACCAAACAACCTGTCAATGAAGCAGGCCAATTTTTCTCTCAATGTAAGAATAGTGTGGAAATTATTATTACATGGAAATTCCTCTAAAGCTCTTTGCTATGGAGGTGTTGATGTAGCCAACAGGCACAGACTAGAGTTGGATTGCTGACACAGTCTCCTGCACTACCCCTTCCCTTGAGCCTGCTTTCTCCTAAAAGCCTTGTTCATAGACATTTATTTAGAGATCCATCTCCCTTTCTAAGTGATTCCCTGCCATCAAAAATAACACCATACATCCATGGGTTTAATGAAGGGGTGTGGATTGCAAGTCTGATCTTCCGACCTTAGGTGCTAAAAACAACCCCACAGACTATCATAGGTGAGACAAGACCAATGAGTCAGTGCTCTTTAGAATTTAGGTACCATAGATATTTTTAATAATAGCAATTAAAATGCTTAGCCTTTGGGAGTGGTTTTGATTTGACTTACTCCATGGTAAACATTTTACATGGATTATATCATTGTGCTCTCAAACAACCTTATGAGTAGGTACTATAGTCATTCTCATTTTTAATGTGAGTTAATTTAGACAGATAAAAAATTTGCCCCAAATCACACAACATAGAACAACTAGATCCCATGTCAGTCTCATGTCAAAAATCTGACCTGGTAACTGCTATCCTAGTCTAAAGAATACTAGACTAACTTCAAGTACATTTTAAGGTATTTTCTATTCCTTATCGCTGGAAGTCTCTCTGGCATTATATTTTCATGTTCTGAATTCAACTCAGCACAATGTACTGCTTCTTCCATGTGTAAAACAATGTGTTAGGAAGACTCTTTGCAGAATGTTAGAATGAATAAGATGTAACTCTTGTCCTCAAATAATTTATAATCCTGGGCAGGAGAAAGTAAGCACAAAAATAACCGTAAAAAAAGGAATAATATGCTCACTGCCTTACAACGGACATGCTAATACAGGAGCTCAAAGGAAAA
Source organism: Homo sapiens (assembly GCF_000001405.40). Taxonomy (NCBI): domain Eukaryota; kingdom Metazoa; phylum Chordata; class Mammalia; order Primates; family Hominidae; genus Homo; species Homo sapiens. Next base: position 94,294,788 of record NC_000013.11, on the reverse strand, counting down.
AACAGATAAATGATACTGGAACAAAAATATATTTATTTGAACTAAATTCTAAACTAATCCTGATATCTGAAAGAAGATATTCTCTCCATCTGAATTTCCAAGATATTATTTTCCCCGAACATTTTGAAAGGAAAAAGATCTGGAGAAAAAAAAAAGATCTGGATGCTGGAAAAAGAAACCTGTAATAATCAAGGCTATAATGTTCATAAAACTATAAACTATTAGAGCTGGTAGGGGACATTTAGATTAACCCCTCCTTTCACAGATGAGGAAACTAAGCCCCAATAGCTAGAGACAGAAGTTATTACATTCTCTGTTCTGTTCTCTTAGGGTTTTTTTTTTTTTTTTTTTAATCTTCATTTGAGCTGTGGATTGGGAAAAACTGTCTAGAGAAAATTAAGTACCTGAAGGCCATCCTGCTCATCTTTAATGGGTTCTACCCTCGTCGGTAGTAAGAATTAATTGAATGGATGGTTTCAATTGGAATGTAATAAGTCTTCCTTCTTAATTTAGATTATCTCTGACAAACCAATCTTTTCCTAGATATTAGGTTTGAAATTATTCCGAATATAGTTAAATGATATCTAGTGAGATCAGTTTCATCTTCCCTGATAGGATAGGAAGAAGGTTATCAACACATCTGAAATTCAAAGGCAGAGATTCAGGTTTTTTCTCCCTTCCCTTGGGGAATTTCCACAAATCTGCAAAGTTCTGAACTGTTGGGTAACTGCGGTTGTGGAAGATAGTGGAATAATGAAGGCTCTTCCCTGCCTTTGATGAGGATTGAAATTGGTGAATGTAGTAAGCTTGGTTGGGGCTTGAAGCACTAACAACTACATTTCTTATCAATAGGTTCCCTATATATAGTACGCTGTGGGTAACAGTCCTCCCTTAAATGGCTGGCTCCTCAAAGGCTGAAGTCTATCTGGTGCTGGTGGGAAGGTAATTACTGAGGAAACAGCATGGCATGCTGGGAAAGTCTTTGTCTTTGAATCTGACAGACCTGGGCTGCAATCCCCGTTACACCACTTGTTTGTTACACGACCTCAGGCTTGCTACTTAATCTCTCTAGACTTAACATTTCTTACCTGTATAATAAGGAAATGAATGTTCTTTACAAGAGTGCTGTGAGGATTTGAAATAAATACATAAGGCATCTAGAAAGACCAAGATGTCACCAGAGCAAGGACTCTGTCTTGTCCTCTGTATTAGTCCATTTTCATATTGCTATCAAGAACTGCCCAAGACTGGGTAATTTACAAAGAAAAGAGGTTTAATTGACTCACAGTTCCCCATGGCTGGGGAGGCCTCAGGAAACTTAAAATCATGGCAGGAGAAGCAGGCGTGTCTTATATGGTGGTGGGTGAGAGAGAGTGTGTGAAGGAGGAACTGTCAAACACTTATGTAACCATTGGATCTTGTGAAAACTCACTCACTATTACGAGAACAGCATGGGGAAAACTGCCCCCGTAATCCAATCACCTCCTACCAGTTCCCTCCCTTGACATGTGGGGATTATGGGGATTACAATTCAGAGATGACATTTGGGTGGGGACACAGAGCCAAATCAAAGCATTCTGTATTGTATTCCTTGTGCCTGGTACTTGGTAGAGTATTTGTTGAAAGGATACAGCAGGTGTTCAACCAAGGGTAACCATGGTTGTCACTGTTACTGGGAGATTCTTTCCTCAAAAGGAAATTGGGAAAGTTTTAATATGCTCTTGCCCCTGGTCTTTAAAAATGTATACATACATATAATATTGTACAAAAAGTATACAAATGCAGTTTGAAATGAGCGTCATGTTATTACCAAAATATTCTAACTTGGTTATACAACTAGGCATAGCCAATATATTTTTTGGAAATAATCTCAATGCGCCTCATCCCTAATAGCTTCCTTGTGGGCCAAATAGGAGAGAAAATGGATCTGACAGTCCCTATAAAAACAGATCTGAGACAAGACTGAAGCATGAACATACTTGGTGAGAATAAATCTTTTCTTTAGTCTCTAAGTCCCACTTATTCATGATCTCAATTATTAGGCAGGAAAAGATTAGCTATTCCTTCTCCTAGATATGATGTGAGAGTTTGGGGAAAGAGATATCCCATCTGAAACTGTGTTGTGTTCACCTTTGGCCTTCATATACATAAGAGAGATACATAAGAGATACATAAGAGAGAAAAAAGATACATAAGAGATACATAAGAGAGAAAGAAGAATTTTATATTGTGTACTATCAAAACTCTAGGAGAGGTTGGAAGCAATGAATGACAGGGCTGGATAAGAGAAATATTTAATTAGAATTTATCATATGGAAGTACTAGGCATAGTTGTAAAGGGAATCAGGCAGGAGGGAGCTTGGGTCGTCCTGGCTTTGCTACCTTTTCCTTACCTTCTCATTGCAGGTTTTGCTGAAGGCTGTTGAACTTTCTCCTAATACTTAATCTATTCAGCAAATATTTACTGAACCTTGCCCTTGTGTGAGATTGACTCAGTGGGCACTGACATCATTAGGGTTAGGGTTAGGGTTATGCATCGATTAGCGAGATGGGCTTTGGAATCAGATGCTCTTCTACCCTTTGCACCGTGAGACCTTGGTAAGTCACCTAACTTCTCTATCTTGGAAAATAACTTTTCTGTCTTTGCGAAATAGGGAGCTCTATCTCATCACAAGCACTATTATAAATATTACACAATAGAAACCATGTAAAACACTTAGTATTGTCCCTGGCAGTAAGCACTCAATAAATACGAGTTGGCAGTTATAAATATTGTTGCTTTTCTGAAAGAGGCTCTGGGAATGACTTCTAATAGTAACTGCTTTAATAAAATAAATGATTTCCAAAGGAGAAGTTGCCAATCATATCCTAGAGGAAAAAGTTATTTTAATTTCTAAACTTTACAACTCTCAGGATATCTGGCCCTAATTAGGAGTTAGCTTCTGGCCTCACCTGGAGCTTGCCTCTCAGAAGTTAACCATATTTCTGGTTATGTAATTTCTCAGCCTCAGTCTGGAAATCCAGAACTTCAAATGTGATGAGACTGTTTATCAAGAGTGTCCCAGGGTTTCTTTGAAAAAAAAAAAAAAAAGATAAATTCAATCACCCAGTTCTTAGCTAGAATATAGATTTTAGACTCTAGTTCATGTGTATTATAATTTCATGGATGTGGCTTATATGGAAAATGAAACTACAGATTTCTAAATTTAAAAGAAAATTCCATTCCCTTGATGAAATAAAATCTCTTTTCAGAATACATCTGTTCCACCAGCAAATCCTGTTGGTGTTTCCCATGGAATTTGTCTAAATTCCAACCACTTTACCTCTCCATGATATTTAAAGCTGGCTTTAGTTCTTCCTTAACTCCGTCTTCCACATTAGGCTCCTGGCTTCCTTTCCCTCTTTCCTGAAAAGTTTGGCTGTTCTCTCCTCTTCCTTAATTCCTTGCGTCCTCTTTTCTCTGTACCAGCCGTACCAGACACACTATTTTGTTTCTGTCATTTTTTTGACCCTTGGTCCTGTGTCCTCTCATGTGAGTGGACTCTTACATGCCCTATATTATCCCTTTTTTTTTTCTTTCTTTTCTTTTTTGTTTTGAGATGGAGTCTTGCTCTCTCGCCCAGGCTAGAGTGGAGTGGTGCAATCTTGGCTCACTGCAACCTTTGCTTCCTAGGTTCAAGAGATTCTCCTGCCTCAGCCTCCTGAGTAGCTGGGATTAACAGGCATGCACCACCATGCTTAGCTAATTTTTGTAGTTTTAGTAGAGACGGGGTTTCGCCATATTGGCTAGGCTGGTCTCGAACTCCTGACCTCCGGTGATCTGCCCACCTGGGCCTCCCAAAGTGCAGGGATTATAGGTGTGAACCACCATGCCCGGTCTCCCTATATTATTTCTACTCTTGATTTTAACATTTCTTACAAAGATATGTATCATATTAAAGTACATTCTTTATTAACAGCAATACTATAATAATGTAGTTGGAAAAATTCCACAAAAATGTCTAATTTGCATTCTAGTAATAAATAGCCCATCTGATCTCTTGAAGAATTTTTAATACTTGACCTAAACTATAGTTAATAACAAGGTATTTTATACTTGAAAATTGCTGAGAGAGTAGATTTTAAGTGTTCTCACCACAAAAAATGATAAATATGTGAGGTGCAATGCATTTGTTAATTAGCTTGATTTAACCATTTCACAATGTATACATATTTCAAAACAATCTTGTAACATCACATGTATATACAATTTTATTTGACAATTAAAAATAAATTTAAAGAAGATAATCATTTAGTTAGCAGATTCTTTGCACTGGGCCAATTTCTTTTTTTCTTTTTCTTTTTTTTTTTTTTTTTTTTACCTTTCTAGAGCCAGAGTCTCATCCTGTCGCCCAGGTTGGAGTGCAATGGCATAATCATAGCTCACTGTAGCCTCGACCTCTCTGACTCAAGTGAACCTTCTACCTCCGTCTCCCAAGAAGCTGGGACTACAGGCTCATACCACCACGCTGGGCTAATTTTTATTTTTTATAGAGATGGGAGTCTGTCTGTGTTGTCTAGGCTGCTTTTGAACTCATGGACTCAAGTGATCCTCCTGCCTCGGCCTCCCAAAATGCTGGGTTACAGGTGAGAGCCACCACACCTTGCCTCTTCTTTTAAATTAATGATTTTTATTACTTCATTAAATATCTCTTAAATAAAACTGTTTTTATGCCACTGACTTGATTCATACTAAACTGCTAGCATTGTTTTTGTGCCATCAATACAAACATCAACATAGTGGGGAAAGGCAAATCCTGTTTGTTTTATCATAAGGAATAGTTTTGATTTCTCAGACAACTCAAAGTGGTCATGGGGGCCCCTAGAACACCATGAACCCCAACTTGAGAACTGCCATTTTAATTTGCAAAGATATTCCATAAAACCGTATTATTTCTTCTTTGTATCTAGCTATTTTATAGATGAGGATGGAGCACTAAGGGATATTTCAACACTTAGTATATATTAAGAACTTAAAATCTGTCTTTGTGATATCAGTGAGTAAACTAGACATACCTAAAATCCAGGTCCCCTGATATCTGGTCCTGTGTTCCTTTTATTAAAGATTTATTTATTTTTCTAGGTTTGGATGGACATAGGGAACCAGTAGCAATGTAAAGGAGGAACATCTAACTGTCTAACCTCCACACTGTGCCACAAATTCCATGGATTTGTATGGCGGTGAGTGACATTAGTTACCCTGACTTGTTACACTACAAAACTTTGTGGGAGTGATTTCAGACATTGGATTCCATGTATGTAGACTATGCTCTCAGAAATAACATTTTTTAAACTTGAAGCTGGCCTCCCAGTCATCTCCCTGTGTGAACAGGCCAACTCTCCTAAAAAAGGAGCTCTTTTAGTTTTAAGTGAAGAAATGTAACTCCACTAAGAAAGCAGGGTGCAGGAGTGAAATGACCAGCCATGCAGCAGACTCAAGACAAACTGGTTGAGGACAAACAGTGTAACTATTACAGAAGTGGTTTCTTTTTTTCTTTTTCTTTTTACCTTTAAGCTCTGTCGGACTTGAGAAGGCATGGTTTCTTTGCTTGAAATGGGTCCATTTCTTAACAGTTGTTTGCAGCTCACTCACTGGTGCATTTCCTTTTTTTCTTCATTATGTATTCAACAAGCATCTGCCTACAATTTCTATGTGCCAAGTGCTGGGCTGTGTTCTAGCTACACAGCTGGGATCCCAGTCACTCATGGAGTTTTAGTGAGTGAAGTCAGGAGAAGACTTGTAGGGAACAAACACCAAACAAATACATATATATATTATCTATCTATCTATCTATATATCTATCTATCTATCTATCTATATTTGTTATATATATAACAAATATATATATATTTGTTATATATATTAGTTATATATATAACAAATATATATATTTATTATATATATTTGTTATATATAACAAATATATATATTTATTATATATAACAAATATATATATTTATTATATATATAACAAATATATATATATTTATTATATATATTATATATATATTTGTTATATATATATAACAAATATATATAATAGATGCTGTGACAGATTTCTGTGATAGAGAATTGCAAGATGGACATACTGAAAGGTAAGAAGAGTGAAAAACATTACAGAAGAGAGGAGCTACAAGTATACTCAAGGAGCTGAGAGAGAGAGAGACCATGTTGCTGAACAAGTAAACAAAAGGACCAGTGGTATTAAACAAGGTTAGAAGGTAGGCAGGGGCCAGATAATGCAAGAGCTTGCAGGAGTTTTATTCCATTCTAAGTACAAAAGAAGCCACTGAAAGGCAAAGTGGGAGACTGGGGACATGGAGGGAGGTGGGTGTGGTGCATGACCGTATTGATGTTGTAGAAATACTTTGGCTACTGGATGAAGAATAAATTGGAGGGGGTTCCAGAGTGGAAGCCAGGAGACCAGTGAGGAAGCTGTTGCTTTTAGAGAAACTGAGGTTCCTTGAAAAAAATATATAATAAGTGATAGAAACTTCCTGTTCAAATATGTCCAGGCCCTGGGGGAGGAGAAGCTTCTTCCTATTACTTATTATTGTCTGGTGCTATGTTATGTTAATTAATTTATATAATTGCTGATCTGTTCAGTGTCTTGTCTCTCCTTTTAGAAAGTAAGCTTACTGAGGGCTGGAATGGTGCCTTATTCACTCCTGTCCCCAGTACAAAGCCATGTCTTCCACATGGATTCCCAAAAAATATTTGATGAATGAATGAATGAATGGAATGAAAAGGGTAGAAAAGAATACTTGACTTGGAAAATGTATGCACACGCACCAATGGAAACAGACACCTACTTCTAAGAAGTTGTGATGGTCTCAAACTGCAGATAATTTTGTCCATGTGTTCCTCCTGTCCTAGTCTCTAGAGCTGTTTTTAACATTAGCAATCTTAGCACCTGATTACTTGAGCACCAACGGGATACCGTGCCTTTCAAAATAACATTAATTGGTTTCTAGGCATAGATTTGAGAGGAATGGATGATTGCTATTTTTTCCACAGGAAAGAAAGAAAATGGCCTTTCATGGAAACCCCAAATGTGCTATTTCCCCAACAGGTGATGGTAATTTGGAGCATCCTCCTTTACACAGGCTACACTGAGCTCATTAAAACCCCCAAAAAGGCTTATGAAACTCTAGCTCATCCATCTCCCATGGAGAAAAAGGGACCCAGGCCAGATTCTTTCTTCTCCTTCATCCTACCAGTTCACCCTGAAAAGCCCAAACCTAGTTTGAATCATGCTTAGCCAAGGAGACCTAGTAGGAATCCATGGCTCCTTTTTCTTGCTCTGCAATGTCTTCCTACTACCTGTCCCCTCCTCTGTGATTACATTTGAAATCTCTTTCACAAAGGATTTTAAAAATTAAAGAAAGCTAATCATGCAACTCTTTGCCTGACATATTTTAGTGTAAATGACTTTCAATTAAAATGCAATCACTCGGTCACTGGGTTTAAAGGACTGATATAGATTTGGTTAGTGTTTCATGAAAGGGATACTAGTCAAGAGAACAGAAGGGCATTGTGCAGTCATCACTATGGGAGAGAAAGATTGATGAAGGAAGAGGCGGGAGACCCACTGCAAACTTCTCAATTTTGCTTAAGGCGGGTCCTGTTTATCTTCAACTGGGTGGAGACAAATAAAAATTGTGCACCTGGCATTTGTGTTGTACAGCTGCAAACCCAGGAGCTCTGTCTCATATGATTTATGAAAATGTGCTACTTTTTTTCTTTTCATGTGTGCTTGACTTCATACAAAGGAGCATTTTCTCCTGAAGATTTGTTAATGAAAGTTACACCATAGTCTTAAAAGGAAGTCAGATGGGATGTTTAATTATTTACAATGGAAAATATAGAACATGTGCCTGGTCTGCACAGCTGAAGATATAATTAGAAGTTGCTAGACAGAGAACAGGGCGAGGGTGTGCAGACATTTCAAACATTAAAAAGAAAATTCCCCCCAAATTGCTCACAAATGTGAGGGATTAGTCAACATACTTGGGGCTCTCTGAAACCTTTTGGCAGCCCATAATTTCTTCGTGATTGAGTAGTTGCAAGCTAAAAAATTGCTTTCCTTCTCAATGCCATTTTGTTAGACATTTTTAATGAAGTAGCAAATTTGTGGCTCAACAGGAAAAGCTCGCTGACAGCATATTAGAATTTATAAGCCCAGCCGACATATCTAGTTACTTCGTTTTTAGGTTATTGCACCTGTATAACATACATGTATTGGCAGATACATTACTAATGCAAATACCTTTGCAGACACCTGCATGCTGTTTTCTTGCATGTTCATAATGGCTTCAGAAATCTTGACATCTATCGGGTCCATGACCGACTCAATGTTGAATGGCCCCTCCAGTCGCTCTGCCACCAAGAGCATTGCATCTGTTAAAATACAGGAACATGATTTATTTGCAAACTGGGAGCTCCAGGTTCCCAACCTGTGTTTAAACATTGTTAAAACAACTGGATGAAAAATAATGGTGCATTCACGTTTTTAAATTTGCTTTCATATAGTCCAAAATGAAATAGATGACTGAATCTTAGGACGATTGTATTTTGTTTGAAGATTCAAAATTATTTTATATGTCTAGAACCAGGGCTGAAAATAAGAAAATTAGTCCAAATGCAGAATGTTAAATATATCTAATGATTCCACATGAAGTAAAAACAGTATTAGGTCAGGGATCAGCTGCATTTAGAAAAGGAAGTCTCACCCATCTTCTTCTGGAGTCTGGGGAAAACTGAGAATATGAGGGAAGAAGTGCTGATTTGTGAATTTGGATGCACAAAAGTCAAGACCCAGTTGAAGCATATCTACCTGTGTGAAGCATTTCTGGATCTCTCAAGATGTACAGATCTGTCTGGATGTGATCACACTACTCAGCATTCCTTTCAGCATTTGCACTTTAACATCTTTTGGGGGACAGGGGAGCTTCTCTGATTTGGTTCTGTATATTCAAGGCCTATTATGGTACCCATCACATTATAAGCTCTCAAAAAAGTTGACGAAATTACACTGAACTGAAATGAACTCAGTATTGCTTGGAAAGATTTAGTTTTCTGTTGAAGACATCAGCTATATTCAAAGTCTGAAAGCTACTGTGGCCTGGGGGAAAAAGGACACGTTTTAAGGTTGGATCATAAGGACTTAACATAGAGTCACAGTTTAAAGTTATGGGGTTGAAATCATCTCTTAGCAGGTTCTCTTCTTGTTGAAATTAAAACACTCTCTCCTCTAGTAGAACTTATCTTCTATAGGTAAGGTGAGAAGCTGTTTGATTTGTACCATAAAGTGAGGAAGTTTCCCTTTGGTGATTTCAATGTTTCTGTTCCACGTTGAACTCTGACCATGGTACTAGGCTTGTAGGTTCTGAAGCCTTCAAACTCATCTCCCCCAACCACAATAAAATGCTCAAGTTAACCCTCTCCTAAGCAGGTGCCTTCTTGGCCTTGGGAAAAGGCAATCCTACTGATGACCCAGCACTATTAAACATAAAACTAAACGGCTCCATTTGCCCAAACTACCGGTTCCTGTATTTCTATTCGTTATCTCAATTCATTTGCCTTGTTATATAAACCAAGATAATACATTTTTGATATAAGTAGGCACCTATTTATTTTTCTTTTAATGTAGATCACCAGTCAGAATATGCTGCTTTATGTTGTTTCTTATCTGGTTTATGCCATTACTAATTTTTTAAAAACACAATATAAATAAAAATATGAAATAAAATTAGATTCTCCTTTGAGGACTCCAAAGCCAGTATACACTGGCTCAAAACTTCAGGATCATCCTTAGTGAGATCTTTTGCAAACTTAAAAATTTGCTGAGGGTAGATTTCATGTTATGTGTTTTTTTTTTTTTATTATCCACAATAAAAACACTAATGACTATTATACTGATTGATTTCAGTAGTTCTTATTAATCAAAATACCTGTTGATAAATCATTAAATAGTGTGAATGTATGCAAATACATTGAAACGCTGTATTCCTTTTACTAAAAAACACACAAATTATTCAAATTCTTAGAAAAGCTCAGATAAAATTGTGTGTGAAACATCTAGATAAAATAACATGGATGCACTGATTATAATGATACATAGGTTTTTGTGAAGAATAGGAAGAAGACTGACAAAGGACATAAATAGTGTGTTTTGGGGCTTATATTTTTCTGATGACAAAATTGTTTGAAAAAAAGCTACCTGATAGAAGGCCAGAGAAATCTACACAAATAACATGATGTCTAAAAGTAGAAAAAAATTAAAAAAAAAACATACATGTATTCATATGATATAATAACCCCCATCCCCAGTTCCCCATTTTGTTCTAAATATTCATGACATGAAAGGAAAAGCAGCTTTTCAGAAAACTCCTCCAATATTTTTTGAGGCCACTGTAAAAGGTCAGGTTCATAGCTACTGCCTGTAGAGGCCAAGTTCAAACATGATGAGGTGACAAAGCAGTGGAAGGTCAGAACTGTCGGCCCTGGGACTTGGAAAAGGCCTCATAGTGAATGGTGGCTCTTCTTTGACCCCAGGCCCCAGGCGGACAGAGGGTCTGCATGGCCCACTGAGCAGCCACGTGCATCTATTCTTGACTGGTTTTGTTCCCACCTGCCGGGCAAGCCTGTCATCAGTCAAGCTCCCTGGGTTTTAGGAGAACTTCCTTCCCACCTTGGGGCTAAGGAAAGCCATGCCTTAGGACATGACACCTCAGCCTCTCTCTCAGCTCAAAGTGAAGAAAACACAAAATAACTTTGCGACATCAAGGCAGTAGTTGGTAAGTTTCTCTGAAACCAGTGAAGTCACAACATAGCATAACTTACTCCAGAGGCTGCCATCCTGGGCTGTCTTAATTATCTCTCTGCCACTTATATTTTGAAATATTGGGAACATTATTTTTAACTCTGCTCTTGGAGCTGTTTTCTCTTGCCAATTAAACCAGGACAGTTACAGTATGTCAGCTAATGATCAGCAGATCCTTTCTGCTTACCTCTCCTGTGTTGCTCGTTTTGTTTCTCCTTAAAGAAGACTGTTGCCTCCCTAAAGCAGTATGTAATTTTTGTTTGGAAAATAAAATTTAGATATATTAGAAATAACTGATACCTCTGCATGAGGTGTGGAGGCACACAGAGAGACACTGACTCTGTGTTAGTACAGGGTTGGTGGGGGGCATGTAGCTGCTCCACCACAGGTGCCCAACCAAAGGCAAGGAGCCAGGATGCAGGTAAAGCCACGCCTCTGGGCCAAGGCCCTCTACTTGTGTAAGCATGGAGTTTCTGGTTAGGAATGAAGACTGTGGAGTCAGGTGCCCAGGTTTCAATCTAAACTCCTCCACTAAATGGCTGGGAGTTAATGTATAAGTCATGTAGTTCACAAAGTCCTATTTTCTTAATCTATGCAATGGAGATTATGACAGTATATACCTCAGTGGTGGTAGGCACAATGAAATGAAATCGTGCTTGTAAAGTTGTTTAGTACAATGTCTAGCACAAAATTAGCTCATAACAAAGCTTAGCTTTTATAAGTCACCACCTCCAGGTACTGTAAGGGGAAAGGAAAGGACCAATTTGTAAGATATTTTGGTGGAAGTATTGACAGCAATTGCTATGAGGAATAAGGGAGTAAAAGACACATGGATGACTTTAAGATGCAAAGCTGGTGATCTTTTTTATGTTAAATTAATCTTTTGATAATAGCTGCCTTTTGATGGATGAGTTCATTAGTGAGAGATACAAAGCTGCATTATTTTCTTATGATGTGCATCTTTGCCAATTAAAGATGACTGCAATATCTTCGACACTCTTTTCACGGAGAGGTGGGGTTTATGTCCTGTCCTCTGAATCTGGATTGGCTCAGTGACTCTTATGACTAACAGCATATGGTTGAAGTGACATTCTGCCAGTTTCCAGAGCTAGTATTTAAGAGACCACTTTCTGTCTCTTACAAGAATCTACTCTGAGATCACAGTGTTGGAGAGGGCATGTGTAGGGATTCCAGATGACAGTCCCAGTTGAGCCTAGATCTCCATCCACCCTTGCCAAGGTGCCAGACATATAAGCAAAGCCATCTTGAACCTTCCAGACCAGACCATCTGCCAGCTGATTACCACTTGGTGAACCCAGTCAGCACCACATGGAGCAGAAGAATCGACTAGTTGAGCCTTGCCTGAATTTCTGGTCCACAGTGATATGGTTTGGCTGTGTCCCCACCCAAATCTCATTTGAACTGTAGTTCCCATAAACTCCATGTGTTGTGGGAGAGACCTAGTGGGAGATAATTGAATCATGGGGGCAGTTATCCTGTTCTCATGCTGTTCTCATGACAGTGAGTGAGTTCTCATGAGATCTGATGGTTTTATAAGGGGCTTTTCCTCCCCTTTGCTCATACTTCTCCTTACGTTGCCATGTGAAGAAGGACATGTTTGCTTCCCCTTCTGCCATGATTGTAAGTTTCCTGGGGAAATGATTCTGCATTTCCCCAGCCATGCAGAACTGTGAGTCAATTAAACCTCTTTCCTTTATAAATTACCCAGTCTCAAGCAGTTCTTTACAGAAGCACAAGAATGGACTAATGCACACAGTACCATGATTTATAATAGTACGATTATTATTTTAACCTGCTAAATTTGAGGATAATTTATTTTGTGGTAAGAGCAAACTGGAACAGCCAAATGACAATATTTATAAACTACTCAGATAATTTCCCCTTTTTGTTTGACAGGACCTAAATGTTCAGAATTCTAGCCAATTAATATTTAACAGATTTAGCATTTATGATGTCCCCTCTGATTACAAACATTGGGATGGTCAAGAAAAAATAAAGTGTTGTCCAGAAGGGAACAGAGAATTTGCTTTAACTTCTACAAGGCATTATGGTACACCAAAGGCACACCAGCTAGCTTCAGGTGAGGAACCATTTCTCCCTTGGGATGTGAGAGAGATTCAGAGTAGGTTTGGAAGAAGGGAACAATTCTGATTTTTGTCTAAGTATTGACTTTATGAAGAGTGAAGTCTCTTGACACAGGGAGCTAGCCATTATCTGCTATGTCTGGATGGCATTGGATTAAAAATGATCTTACTGCTGTTTTCAGTAAGGAGAATCCTGAATGTTTACCTTCCCCTAGAATATAATTATTAAGTGTGACTCAATATGATTATACATACACTTGCAATTTGCTTCTTGAGAAAAAGAGACATAAAATCAGAAATGGCTTTGCTGAATGCCACTGACTTTAACCTAGAAGATAGTGATTTTCAAAGTGTTTTAGAGAAAGCAAGAAGAGAAACTCATTTTAAAAAAATGATATGATATTCAGGGAGAACACATGGACACAGGGAGGAGAACAACACACACCGGAGCCTGTTGGGGAGTGAGAGGGAAGGGGAGGGAGAGCATTAGGACAAATACGTAATGCATGTGGAGCTTAAAACCTAGATGACAGGTTGACAGGTGCAGCAAACCACCATGGCACATGTATACCTACATAACAAACCTGCACATTCTGCACATGTGTCTTGGAACTTAAAGTAAAATTTAAAAAATTTACAAAAAGATATGTTTTTAAGATTCTCCTAGGTAGAAAAATACCTTGAAAACTCAATTCAAATAAGCTCAACTTAATCTAATAACTATTTGTTATGTGCCAAAGAGGGTCACTATAAATTTGTAGGGGCACAGAAGCTGTCCATGGTGCTGCCTTCATGGAGTTTAGAATCTTTTTGAAGTGACATAGATGAAGCATATTAAAATTAAAAAAATAAAAAACAACTTTCCTTCTTTTGGGGGAAATTTGAATTAAGATGATAATGTGTCATTTCAATGTTCTCATTAAGTCATCTAAATTTGTCCTTAATGATCAACTCTTTGAAAAATGAAATCTGTAAGCACAATCTACCTTATTGTTGTATCAGAATTCCATGGCACCCAATTTTGCTCTTTTCTTTAGAAGCAATGCTCACCTACTCTTACCGATCTGCTGCATGTACATTTTAGCTTAACCAAGATATTTTCCCCACTGAGAAGCATACAAAAGAATTTAAAAAAATCAAGCAATTTAAAAAGCACTGTGATAAATGCACTCATTGGCCCCCAGTTATTCATTAAAAGAAAAAGAAAAAGAAAAACATGGCTGCAGTGTTTATGTATAGGCTGATTAATGCCCATGGCATGAATGTAACTAGGGGCACTGCTGTCTCCTGTGGAGTGCTGGAGACAGGCACGCTGAATATACATGTCCTTTGCTTTCACCCAAATCGATGAATTAAAATGCTTGTGAGATCTTGGGCTGGAATGTGTTTCAGGAGAGGCTGGAAAGAGAGCACAGCTAGAGGGGACTGAGGAGTACATAAGCCAGGATCTGAATGACCCGGAAAGAGGGCCAATTTAGGACTAGAAATTACCCAGGCAGAAGGTCCCAGCCCTTTTAGGAGCATTAAAACATTTTTATTTCTGATTTTAAAAATTATCTCTGGCCCAGTCTCTGAAAAAACAGGCTTTAAACCAACAAAGATCAAAAAAGGCAAAGAAGTGCATTACATAATGGTAAAGGGATCAATTCAAAAAGAAGAGCTATCTATCCTAAATATAAATGCACCTAATCAAAGAGCACCCAGATTTATAAAACAAGTTCTTAGAGACCTACAAAGAAACTTAGACTCTCACACAATAATAGTGGGAGACTTTAACACCCCAGTCAATATTAGACAGATCAATGAGATAGAAAATTAACAAGGATATTCAGGACTTGAACTCAGCTCTGGATCAAGTGGACCTAATAGACATCTACAGAACTCTTCACCCCAAATCAACAGAGTATACATTCTTCTCAGTGCCACATGACACTTGCTCTAAAATTGATCACATAATTGGAAGTAAAACACTCCTCAGCAAATGCAAAGGAACTGAAATCATTAACAAATAGTCTCTCAGACCACAGTGCCATCAAATTAGAACTCAGGATTAACTAACTCACTCAAAACCACACAATTACATGGAAATGGAACAACCTGCTCCTGAGTGACTCCTGGGTAAATAATGAAATTAAGGCAGAAATCAAGAAGTTCTTTGAAACCAATAGAATAAACAGACAGCATACGAGAATCTCTGGGACACACCTAAAGCAGTGTTAAGAGGGAAATTTATAGTACTAAATGCCCACATCAGAAAGCTAGAAAGATCTCAGATCGATACCCTAACATCACAATTAAAATAACTAGAGAAGCAAGAGCAAACTAATCCAAAAGCTAGGAGAAGGCAAGAAATAACTAAGATCGGGGCAGAATTGAAGGAGATAAAGACACAAAAATCCTTCCAACAAATCAACGAATCCAGGAGCTGTTTTTTTTTTTTTTGAAAAAGATCAACAAAATAGATAGACTGCTAGCTAGGCTAACTAAAAAGGAAAGAGAAGAATAAAATAGACACAATAAAAAATGATAAAGGGGATATCACCACTGACCCCACAGAAATACAAACTACCATCAGAGAATAATATAAACACCTCTATGCAAATAAATTAGAAAATATAAAAGAAATGGATAACTTCCTGGACACATACACCCTCCCAAGACTAAACCAGGAAGAAGTTGAATCCCTGAATAAACCAATAACAAGTTCTGAAATTGAGGCAGTAATTAATAGCCTACCAACCAAAAAAAGCCCAGGACCAGACAGATTCACAGCCGAATTCTACCAGAGGTACAAAGAGGATCTGGTACCATTCTTTCTGAAACTACCCCAAACAATTGAAAAGGAGGGACTCCTCCCTAACTCATTTTATGAAGCCAGCATCATACTGATACCAAAATCTGGCAGAAACATAACAAAAAAAGAAAACTTCAGGCCAATATCCCTGATGAACATCGATGTGAAAATCCTCAATAAAATACTGGCAAAGTGAATTCAGTAGCACATCAAAAACCACATCCACCACAATCAAGTCAGCTTCATCCCTGGGATGCAAGGCTGGCTCAACATATACAAATCAATATATGTAATCCATCACATAAATAGAACCAAAGGCAAAAACCACATGACTATCTCAATAAATGTAGAAAAAGCCTTTGATAAAATTCAACATCCCTTCATGTTAAAAACTCTCAATAAGCTAGGTATTGATGGAACATATCTCAAAATAACAAGAGCTATTTATGACAAACCCATAGCCAATATCATATTGAATGGGCAAACGTTGGAAGCATTCCCTTTGAAAACCGGTACAAGACAAGGATGCCCTCTCTCATCACTCATATTCAACATAGTATCAGAAGCTCTGGCCAGGGCAATTAGGCAGGAGAAAGAAATAAACATACTCAAATAGAAAGAGAGGAAGTCAAATTGTCTCTGTTTGCAGAAGACATGATTCTATACTTAGAAAAGCCCATCATCTCAGCCCAAAAACTCCTTAAGCTGATAAGCAACTTGAGCAAAGTCTCAGGACACAAAATCAATGTGAAAAGATCACAAACATTCCTTTATACCAACAATAGACAAGCAGAGTGCCAAATCATAAATGAACTCCCATTGACAATTGCTACAAAGAGAATAAAATACTTAGGAATACAACTAACAAGGGATGTGAAGGACCGCGTCAAGGAGAACTACAAACCACTGCTCAAGGAAATAAGATAGGACACAAACAAATGGAAAAACATTCCATCCTCATGGATAGGAAGAACCAATATCATGAAAATGGCCATACTGCCCACAGTAATTTATAGATTCACTGCTATTCCCATCAAACTGCCATTGACATTCTTCACAAAATTAGGAAAAACTACTTTAAATTACATATGGAATCAAAGAAGACCCATCCAAGACAAAGAACAAGAACAGCCAAGACAAAGAACAAAGCTGGAGGCATCATGCTACCTGAGTTCAAACTATACTACAAGGTGACAGTAATGAAAACAGCATGGTACTGGTACCAAAACAGACATATAGACCAATGGAACAGAACAGAGACCTCAGAAATAACACCACACATCTACAACCATCTGATCTTTGACAAACCTGACAAAAACAAGTGATGGGGAAAGGATTTCTTATTTAATAAATGGTGCTGGAAAAACTGGCTAGCCACATGCAGAAAACTGAAACTGGACCCCTTCCTTACACCTTATACAAAAATTAACTCAAGATGGATTAAAGACTTAAATGTAAGACTCAAAACTATAAAAACCCCCGAAGAAAATCTAGGCAATACCATTCAGGACATAGGGATGGGCAAAGACTTCAAGATGAAAATGCCAAAAGCAATTGCAACAAAAGCCAAAATTTACAAATGGGATCTAATTAAAGTAAAGAGCTTCTGCACAGCAAAAGAAACTATCATCAGAGTGAACAAGCAAACTACAGAATGGGAGAAAAATTTTGCAATCTACCCATCTGACAAAGGTCTAATATCTAAAACCTACAAGGAACTTAAAAAAATGTACAAGAAAAAAAAAAACCCATCAAAAAGTCGGCAAAGGATATGAACAGACACTTTTCAAAAGACATTTATGCGGACAACAAACATATGAAAAAAAGCTCAACAGCACTGATCATTATAGAAATGCAAATCAAAACCACAGTGAGATACCATCTGACGCCAGTCAGAATGACAATTGCTAAAAAGTCAAGAAACAACAGATGCTGGCGAGGCTGTGGGGACATAGGAAGGCTTTTACACTGTGGTGGGAAGGTAAATTAGTTCAACCGTTTTGGAAGACAGTATGGCAATTCCTCAAGGATCTAGAACCAGAAATACCAATTTACTTAGAAACGCAATTACTGGGTATATACACAAAGGAATATGTCATTCTATGATAAAGACACATGCAAATGTACATTTATTGCAGCACTATTTACAATAGCAAAGACATGGAACCAACCCAAATGCCCATCAGTGATAGACTGGATAAAGAAAATGTGGTACATATACACCATGGAATACTATGCAGTCATAAAAAGGAATGAGATCATGTCCTTTCCAGGGACATGGATAAAACTGGAAGCCGTCATCCTCAGCAAACTAACACAGGTGCAGAAAACCAAACTCTGCATGTCTTCACTCATAGGTGGGAGTTGAACAATGAGAATATATGGACACAGGAAGGGGAACAACAAACACCAGGGCCTGTTAGGGAGGCAAGGGGTGGGAACTTAGAGGATGGGTCAACAGGTGCAGGAAACCACCATGGCACATGTATACCTATGTAACACACCTGCACGTTCTGTACATGTATCCCGAAACTTAAAATAAAATAAAAATAAAAATGAGAAAGGCCCTTCATACGCTGGTCCCTACCTACCTCGCCAGCCTTGCCTAATGCCACCTCTGCCCCCTAAACAAGGATTCTCCCCTTTCAGCTCAAACAGAACTCTTTAAATGACATTGAACTTGGAGCTCTCCCCAACACACAATCCATCCTGAAACCAATGTCAGACACATTTTTCTAAACACAGCCTTGTTATCATTCTACCTGATCAAGAACTTCTAAGGATTCAAGTTTACAAAGAGATTCATAATCAGACTCCACTCTTGGCTTCTCATTCATTTCTCACTACTCAACATGTCCTAGGGTTTTCTGCTATTACAAATAATGCTGCAGTGAATACCCTTGTACATAATTCAACCCATGTACAAATAAATCTGTTGGATAAAGTCTTAGAAGTGAAACTGCTGGGTCAAAGATATGGGCTTATAAAATGTTGATAGTTTTGCAAAAATTCTCTTCATAAAGGCTGTACTTGTTTATATTCTCACCAGCAATACATGACAATATCTGATTCTTTAAGTCTCAAACGTTGATATGTTAAGATCAAACGTTTGGATCTTTGTCCATCTGATAGAGTAAGAAATTGGCATCTCAGTGTGGGTCTACCCTGAATTTCCCTTATTATAGGGAAGGTTGGACATCTTTTAATATGTTTAAAAGCTATTTGTTTCCAGTGCTTTGTCTCTTTCTCTTCTTTGTCTATTTATTTTACTGTTGGATTTTTTTTTCATTTTGATATAAATAAGTTTCTTTTTAAAAAAAATCAAGAAAACCAGCCCTTTTGTTTCATGAATTACCAATATTTTCCCTTAGTTATTGTTTATCTTTTCTCTTCATTCATGGTGGATTTTGCTATGCAGAAATTTTTGAATTTTTATAGTTAAATTTACCAATCATTTGTTTACATTCCCTCAGTCTTGTGCATACTTAACACAGGTCTTCTCCTTTCTAAGTTCACCTCCATGACCTAATCTATTACCATTTATATTTTCACTCACTGGCCTCATTAAATATAGTCCAGATACTCTACCGTCCCAGGGCCTTCTTCCTGGAATATTCTCCCTCTAGATGTAGACGTAACTCATTCTCTTATTTTCTTCAGGTCTCAACCTAAATGCCCTGTCTCAGAAAAGCTTTCTCTAACAACCCTACAACTCCTAGTCACTCTTCCCATTGCTTGATTCTTCATAGCAATGATCATCTGCTGACTTATTATATGTATATTTGTTATTGTTCCTCTTTTCCAAATATCATGGAATTTTCAAAAAGGCAAGGATTTTGCTTGTTTTGGTTACTGCTGTATTTCCAAACTCTAGAACAATACTTGGATCCTAAGAGGTGTTATTAAACATTCGTTAAAAGAATCATTGGAATAATTTTTAAAAATCTTTCTGTATTTTCTTCCAGAAAGTTTATAAAAACTAACTTGCTACCTTCTCCTCTGCACTAAAACTCCCTCTCCCTACTCTCCTGCCATGAACACCATCACAAATGCCCACAAAACTTTATTAGCACTGGTCTACAGGATAAATGGCCCCTTGGTGGCTTTTGATGTGTTATAATGTAGATGAAGAGTTTCTGTGGGAATTCAGAATCTTATTGTACTTTTTTATTAGGTAGAAATAACTTTTTAGTTCTTTTAGCTTGAAATTGAAAAGTGTGGCTGCTTTTGCTTCTGTCAGAGGTTATTTCTAGGTTAAGCTAAAAAAAAAAAAAGATGTTGATATTTTTGGCTTTACCAAACAAGGTAGTTCCTGCTGCTTTTCAAGACTCTAAGTTTGTCATTAACTTTCAAGACAATCTCTGTGATGAATGTCATTTTTGTTTCTTCCTTGTAATTTGTCCACATTCAGTAAACATCAAATTGTTGATTTTCTTTTTCTCATTCTGCCAACCCTGTATGGTGTTTAGGTTCATACAAAAAGATCACACCATGACAGGAATCAGATGTAGCTACAGAAATCATAGTACCCAGAATGAGGTAAACAATAGAAAATGGAAGCGAACCAATTTAATGCAATTTAAAACAGTGTACAGATATCAGATTCAAAAATAAAACAGGGACAGCCATCCAGAATAATGACAGTAACCAAAGAACTAAGGCCAAATAAAAGAGAATTTAATGAAAACAACTGTTTACTTTGAAACCAAATCCAGGAAGAGGAGGAGAGAACAAATATACAAACTAAATTAATTCTGAAACCAGTGCAAACAAAGAGGCTTATTTTGCTATAACACTGCAGAAGAAAATGCAAATTGTGGCGGAAAATAATTCACCAGTAGTCCTCACACAGTGCAGGAATTAGAATCTACAGGATTCATTTTCCGACATTGGCTTCTTTTTAGGAGAATGATGCCTTGTATTTCATAAAAACATAATATATTCATGTAAGCATCATCTCATTGCTATATTATATCTTTGAGATGTTTAGTTACATCATAAGCCAGGAAGAGTAGGCCTTGTAAATCATGAATGTGATGGACATCAAAGTATATACTACCAACCATAACTCTTTATTTAAATTTTTATTGTTGATTCTTCATAGGAATAAGTTTTTATGTCATTTGTAGCTTGGAATGTTCAAATAATTCACATCAACCTATCATTCCTTGCCTTAAAGATGAGTCATAGAATTTAAGGGGTAAAGAGTTCTTAAAGATCTTTCTGAGAGAAGAACTCTGTGTATGTTTCTAGTGCCTCCTACCGTGTTTTCGTAGCTAGTGGATTAATTTGGACCAACCCAAAGCAACTCATTAAATGTAAACAGCAGCTCCTGGAGCAGTAGCCCTCGTATCTGCTCTCACTCCATCTGGTACACCAAGTGCCTAAATTGCACAAATAGCATCAACATGCTTACCCTGTATCTTATTTACTTACTAAATTCCACGTGCTTCACCATTTTACAAGAGAATAATGAAGGAGAAAACATAGGTGATGGAGACAAAGCATTTTTTGTCCTATCTCAGAGTTTTTTCTTTCTTTCTTTGCTCCAATTAAGCTTCTCTTTAAGTCTCTCATAGTAACTCTGTTCTTACCACATGGGCACTGTGATCCTGAATTACCCTTCACAAAGCTATAAAAGCATTCACATTGCTCCTTCCTCTTTATTAACTTGCACATTTCACTTGAGTTACTTTGAATCCTTAACAGCTTAGATGGTCTTTCTGCTCCCCCAGAGAGACAGCATGGAGAGAGGCATGATCATAAGATGTGCGTCAGGCCTTGAGGCTTGGTGCCACCAGCCACAGGCTCTCTGACCTAGGGCAACTTACTTAACCTTTGTTAGTTCTGGGATTCATCTCTGCTATCAGGGAGACTGTTCCTACTTCACTGGGGGGTTAAATGCAACACCAGGCAGGCAGCACAATAAATGCTTATTGTATTAAGATTGTTATTTCTTTATGGATGGGAGAGTTCCTTTTATTTCCTCACAAAGTTTATGTGGAAGATATGACTTATCATCATCCCTGAAATGACAAAACCTTACTGAGAGGGGGCTGTGTCCAGTTCACCCTCTTCATGTGTGAAGAAGGTCACTGAGTTCCAGGGACACGAGGAGCCTGGTGATGTGGCTGGGCATGTGTGGCAGAGCTGTGACCGTGGCCTGAGTCTCTGTCTTTCGGCCAGGTATCTTTCTACTCCATCACGCTGCCTCCTTCTCTACAATCAGTCCATCTATCATCAAGAAACAGGACCAGGGCCAGGCGTGGTGTCTCATGCCTGTAATCCCAGCACTTTGGGAGGCCAAGGTGGGCGGATTATGAGGTCAGGAAATTGAGACCATCCTGGCTAACACGGTGAAACCCTGTCTCTACCAAAAATACAAAAAATTAGCCGGGCGTGGTGGCGGGCGCCTGTGGTCCCAGCTACTTGGGAGGCTGAGGCAAGAGAATGGCATGAACCTGGGAGGCGGAGCTTGCAGTGAGCTGAGATGGCACCACTGCACTCCAGCCTGGGCAACAGAGTGAGACTCTGTTTCAAAAAAAAAAAAAAAAAAAAAAAGAAAAGAAAAGAAAAGAAAAGAAAAAGAAGCAGGACCAGTCAAAATATCTCAAAGTGTCATTGAACTACAAAAGTCTAAACTTTTCACCAGCATATTGCAGTTAAGCAATTCTTCTATTTCTCCTCCTTTGCCCTAAAAGTTAATAAACCAAATCGCCCCAGAGACCATTTGTTCCTGTAGTACAAGGGCTTGCAACCTACATGGAATGAATCACAAACCTCTCCCAGAACCAATAAAAAATAAATAAATGAAAAGTCGGGTGTGTTGTGGAATTCCCCATTGAATTCAAACAGTGTGATTAGTGAGCAATTCAGTAAGCAATGGGAGCCCTTTTTTCCTACTTCTGTGCATACTGGTATTATTGAAAAGATATATATATTTTATTATTTTATTGCTCAGTGCCAGGTAAACCAAAATGAAAAACAAAACAAACAAAAATAAAAAAAACACAATATGACCCTGTAATCATGGGTCAGCAGACCCAAAGAAAAAGGTGGATTGTTTTAAAAAAATGAAAAAACTCATTTTAGGAAGTGAATGACTTCATCTCATCTCTGATTTACCCCATGAAATGGCAAGATGACTTTTGTTATTTCTTTTGCCTTTGCATCTTGTTTAAAGCTATCTTCAAAATGCCACATGGTGAAGATAAAGATCACTTTCCAGATGAGGAAGGAGGGAGAGAAAAAGGGAGGGGGAGACAGAGAAAGAGAGAAAGTGAGGGGGATGGAGAGAGAAGCAGAAGATGAGAGAGACACATCTTTTGTCATGTAGTATTTTCAATGGGCTTGGTACTGTTCTAATCACTTTAGGGCACTGAGATTAGTTTTATCTCCCCAACACTACAATGAAGTAGGAACTACTATTATCCTCTTTAATGGTTGGGGAAACTAAGACCCTAGAAGGGAAATAACTTGCCCAAGGCTCAAGGTTGTAAAGGGCTAGGGAAGGTCCTATTCAGGACAGGTGAAAAATAACATTAGTGAATTTGCCTGGACTTGTCATTCTAGCCAAGGAGACCTGCAGAAGTCTCAGAGAAGTGGGCATGATGGAGTGTGTGTGTGTGTGTGTGTGTGTGTGCGCGCGCGCGCGCGCGTGTGTGTGTGTATTTAACAAGTGTGAGGCAAGGGAATCACCGTCTGCTCCAGGGAATTAAAATTATACTTCTCTGTGGCCAGGTGCGGTGGCTCATGCCTGTAATCCCAGCATTTTGGGAGGTCGAGACGGGTGGATCACGAGGTCAGGAGATCGAGACCATCCTGGCTAACACGGTGAAACCCCGTCTCTACTAAAAAATACAAAAAATTAGCCGGGCATGGTGGCGGGAGCCTGTAGTCCCAGCTACTCGGGAGGCTGAGGCAGGAGAATGGCATGAACCTGGGAAGCTGGAGCTTGCAGTGAGCCGAGATTGCGCCACTGCACTCCAGCCTGGGCGACAGAGCGAGACTCCGTCTCAGAAAAAAAAAAAAAAAAAAAAAAAAAAAAAAAAAAAAAAAAATTATACTTCTCTGTCTCTGGTCCTTTATAAGGCTGCATTAAACAAACAAGTGCCCCTGGGAACTGCAGCCAGCAGCCCTCATCTTGAAAGCTGTGGGCCCATACTTTCTCTTTCTGCCACTTCTCTTAGTGTTCGGACTCTTTCAGAACTTCCCATGGAAAAGTAGCCTTGTTGATTTTGAGAATGCAGTGGTATATTCTGGTCTTAGAAGATGCATATGATTGGAGTAAGAACACTTCCCCCTAGCGACAAAGTGAAAAGTAACTTTGTTTTTCAGAAAGACATAACTACATTTTTATTAGATTTTTAAAACTTCAAATGTTTTCTTTGTATGTGTTTGTCACACACTATTTGGAAAAAGAAGACAAGGAGGAGAATAAAAATCATCTGTAACTAACCAAGACAGAGATACTTCGAATATTTTGTGATACTTCCTTTCAGATGTTAACTCTAATAGGCACAATATTAGGATCAGGCTATGTATGCAATGTTTACCCTTTGTTTTCAATTCAATAGCAATATAGTTAGATACTCCCCTCATTATTCTATGAAAGCATCCTTTTTACTGGCTGCATGATATTCCCTATCAGCAATGCACTATGACCTCTGTAGCAATTGTCTTATTGTTGGCTTTTTAGATTCTTACCTGATTTTGCACTATTATAAAATATACTCCTTATCTCAGATTTGTCCCTATTTCTGATTATCTACTTAAGATAGATTTCTTTAAATTGACAGTTATTTATTCATTGAAGAACAAAGTATAGTAAACACATTTTATTAATAAACATAAAAATTCAAACATACACTTAGGTATAGAATTCTCATAGAGAGATAAATGAAGGCAAAAAATATAGCTCTGATTCCACAATGTAATATATTTCCTACACTTGAAAAACAGACATTCAAGCAGACATTCTATGTGTAGATTTAAACTTTTAGGTTTTAAAACAGATCATTTGTTTCCCCCTTGCAATCATAAAGGGGTTTAATTACATAAGAAGGAGACAGAGGCTCTAGTCCTGCCTGCACCACAACATCAACATCTGACACTGAGCTCACGAATTCCCATCTGTAAAATTAAATGCTTAAATTTGTAGATATCTGATAGACTTTCTAGTTCCTAAATCATATGAATCTATGACTAGTTTGGTCAACTAGGAGGGAGCGCAGTAAAGCACCTGGGGTCAATCAGGTCAGGAGTATTGGGCAGGTGTCCAGATAGACCAAAGAGAAAGTGGGCAGAGGCAAACTGATCCCAGACTCAGGCTCAGGTTGGGGACAAAAGTGGACACAGGTGTTCAGTGTCAGAGTGAAAGACGCAGGTGGTCGAGACAAATGAAAGCTATAGGGATGCAGCCCACGGAAGCAAACACAAGCTGTGTGGGTTGGGACAATGTGCACCGGGGTAGCTGATTAAAAAGACAGAAGGACTGCAGAGATTTGTGCCCTGCCACAAAAATACTTGACCTTTACTTCTAGCTTCATTCTTAAGACCGTTTCCTCTCAAAATAATGTTAAAGCAAAGAAAAATTGGTATAAAAGGTAGGCTTTCAAGAACGAATAGGAAGACATCAATATCACAGGAAAACGGGTCACAGTCCCATGAATCCATCCTGAAACCACAATGCCAGTGAAGCAGGACTTTAACCATGGGGACAGCATTATCTAGCTGTGCGTGACATTGTGTTAATGATTACAGACATTTTGAGGAGACAATAATAAAAGATGAAGGTATAGATATATATAGGCTCATCACATAGTCATTATCCAGATTCAAAAGCGAACGTGTGGCTCAGTTGTTGAGGGGCCACCTGTTAACATCCACTTCCTATGTACCTGCAGGAAGTGGTACATGCAGTATTTCATTTAATCTTCTTGATTCTAAGAGGTCGATGTTATTCTTCGCCTCATTTTGAAAAAAATAAAAATAAAACAAGCTTAATGGAGTGAGAGGTTCTGTACTGAGAACAGAATTGGATGCCCTCCCAGCCCATGAGCCCCTGGCTTCCAAGGTTTCAACCATTAACATCTCTGCTTCTAAACACTAGTAAGTACGTTAAAATGTCCATACTCAAGAGGCAATGTGAAAGGCCAGGAAATGCTTCCAGAATTTGTCACAACGTTATAATAAGAGTCATGAAATATGAGAGATGTTCTTCAGTGAGGGAAATCTTTGTTGTCTTTGTCAAATAAAGCATCCCATGTCACAGGCCTTGATGTTCTTCTGAAAGATTTCCTCTTATTTTCTTTACGTACCTATGCCAGATTTTCAGACGAAAAGATGGAGAAAATGCCTCCTCACTTAGGAATGAAATAGAAAAAAAAATCAGAATATCTGCTATTTGATGATAGAGTCAACACTCCAACAATTGATTTACAGTGCCTTCCTATCTGTGTCCTCACCTGCTTTCAAGAGACTTAGGTAAGGTTATTTTTGCTAATACTCTTGAATTAACCTTAAGACACCTTTCAGTATTTAAAGATCAATAATACCACTTTTTCAAAGCAAACATGTACCTTAAAAACAGGCTAAAAGATTATTCTAAGAAAGGGAATAGATAATTTGGGGCTACTAAAAGACAATGAAAGGGATTAATTTTAAAGAAAAAGCATGCTGATGTGTTCTAGAAAGGAATTATATCTATGTATATTCAATGTGTTGGCTGCTACACTTTTCAAAAATGTGGCTGTCTTTTAAATGCTGCATGTAAATATTCAATAAATTTGCAAAAATTATTTATTCTAAAGTCTATGAAGCTCTGAATTCTGTAGTTAGTATGGACACATTTGCCTACCCTAAGTACCTCTTGGAACTACTAACATCATTTGCAATTTAGACCTTAGCAAGGTGGCAGATGTGCTGGAAGATCCTTGTGTAATTATTTTCCATTCTTCTTAATCATTCAGAATTTCAGATCTAGGTTTGAAGTTGCAGTTTAGCAACCCCACTAGCCTCTCCACTGTTAGCTGTTTAACTTCATCTGTGTTTAATTTTTGTTTCTTTCATATTTCTTCTACACATATTCCCAGATGCCTTTAGGAAATAGGTCCATTCTGAATATATCACATAAATAAACTGCAATGGGGGAAGGCCTCTTCATTTTGAAAATGCCACACTGCACAACAGCTGAAAGGAAGGCTCATTGAGTAATATTAGCTTGCGTTTCTACGGGAGCACTATAAGTGCTTTTTTCCCCAAAGCACTTAACATAACAAAATTGCCTCACTCATCACAGCAAAGCAGTCACCTTTAGAGTGGTGCATGAAGCTCTTTTTCAGGATGGAATCACACTTTAGATGGAGCAAGAAATGAAGAAGAATTCTGTGTCGAGTGGTAATGGTAGGGAAATTTAAGCAGGCAGAATAAAATTACTTAGCTGGAATTGGGTCAGAACCCCAAGACTAACAACTATACTGACACTAGACTATTCTGAGAAAGGCTAGTGGTTCTTTATTGAATAAACCCATTCTGACTCTTGGCAGAAAGATGTGTCTACTGCTTGCATATTATACATCCATCTATTTTCCTTCACATATATTTGTTATGTATAAGTCTTAAGAATATTTGAAACATTTTGACCCAGAAAAAATATATTTGTTCTTCTAAACTTGCATTAGACTGTACGTATTTACTAACACTATTCCACACATTTCCAAGCTAACCCTTATAGGTTACCATTTCCATATCAACAAACCAAACCCAGTGTCTCAGAAACCAGTGGTTTCCAAACGTTATTACAAAATTATATTGACTGGACAACCAGTCTCTTCCCCATTTCTCCTAAGTCATCTGCTGCACCCCTGGCCCATACACCTAGACCACAAGAAGACTGGATCTGGACTTCCATTTTTGTTGTTGGTGAGAAAACGGGGGCTTTAAAAGTCATTATTTTTAAAGGCTAACTAATAACATCATCATAGTGTAAAAAATTTAGAAGACTTAAAACTTTATAAAAAATATAATGCTCATAATAGCACCTTTGGGACTAAAAACGTATGGGTCAGACACTTAACCCTTCATGTTAGTATAACTTTTGAATGACTAAGCCGTTGAAGATCAATGCAAGACTCAGCAGAACTAAATATTCTCAACTCTTGACTTCACTGACAGTTAAAAGTGCATTATCATTTTCTGTACTCATTCATTTGATCAGCCAACATATGCTGAGTACCTGTGAGATATAGGACTCTGTACTTGATACCAGACTTCAGGAAAGACAGACAAGCAACACTTGCAATTATCATTCAGTGTGATGACGGCTAAATAGGAAACATGTACCAAGTGCAATGAAATCTTGAAGAAAGAGCATTTAAGTCAGTCCGGGCAGGGAAAGGGGAGCAGAGATAACTGGGGCTGCGTTTTTGAAGTTTGCTAGAATTGCTAGAAGTCAGTTAAGTAGAGAAGAAAGACTGAGGGAGGGTGGGGAAGGGTGGGGAAGAGTGTAAGTTGGACTATTAGACAAGGAGAACAGCAGTAAGAAAAAACAGGGAGATGGCTGGACGCGGTGGCTCACGCCTGTAATCCCAGCACTTTGGGAGGCCAAGGCGGGCGGATCACGAGGTCAGGAGATCGAGACCATCCTGGCTAACACAGTGAAACCCCGTCTCTACTAAAAATACAAAAAATTAGCCAGAAGTGGTGGCGGGCGCCTGTAGTCCCAGCTACTCGGGAGGCTGATGCAGGAGAATCGAGTGAACCCGGGAGGCGGAGCTTGCAGTGAGCCAAGATCGTGCCACTGCACTCCAGCCTGGGCAACAGAGCGAGACTCCTTCTCAAAAAACAAACAAACAAACAAACAAAAAAAAAAAAGAAAAGAAAAGTAAAGAAAAGAAAAACGAGAAAACAAGGAGACAGGGAAAAGTATAACAACTGCAGGTGATGAGAGGTCAAGTTCCAAGGGAAAAGAATAATAGGTTAGACACCTAGCGGAAACATCCAGTGAGCAGCTGAACATCCATGTCCTGGTTTAGAGAAGACAGTTGGGCTCTAGTGCAGATTTATGATGAAAAGGAGTGACTATTGCCTAGAAACTTTCTTTCCAATTCTGCTGATATGTTTTTCAGCATTCTTGGGAATAATGCCAATAAAACAAATTGATAATATAAATCATGTATGTGGATGGCATTTACTTATACAAATCTAATTTACAAAATCATATGTGGCACAAATTAAGCAACCAGTGATATGTTCTGACAGCCCTTTTCTTGTAATTTGGCCCCATACTATTTTGCTTAATCACTTCCTGCTCCTCAGTTTTCCTTCTCTGCAAGTTTTACCCACTTACCTTACCCTTTACACTTCTTGCTTTCTCTCCCTTCTCGCTTTCACCTTTCTCCCTGTGATGGTTAATACTGAGTGTCAATTTGATTGGGTTGAAGGATGCATAGTATTGATCCTGGGTGTGTCTGTGAGGGTGTTGCCAAAAGATATTAACATGTGAGTCAGTGGACTGGGAAAGGCCGATCCACCCTTAATCTGGGTGGGCACAATCTAATCAGCTGCCAGCATGGCTAGAATAAAAGCAGTCAGAAGAACGTGGAAAGACTAGACTGGCTTAGCCACCCAGTCTACATCTTTCTCCCATGCTGGATGCTTCCTGCCCTCAAACATCAGACTCCAAGTTCTTCAGCTTTGGGACTCGAACTGGCTTCTTTGCTCCTCAGCTTGCAGATGGCTTATTGTGGGAACTTGTAATCATGTGAGTTTAATACTTAATAAACTCCCCTTTATATATACATCTATCCTATTAGTTCTTTCCCTCTAGAGAACCCTAATACACTCCCTTTTCATATTACACGCCAGTTATCTAACCACCGGATTCTCCTGTTTTCATGTGCATCACATTAGGATCTTCCTAAAGTAACAAGTTGATATGGTCTGGCAGTGTCCCCTCCAAAATCTCATCTTGAGTTGTAGCTCCCATAATTCCCACGTGTTGTGGGTAGGACCCAGTGGGAGATAACTGAAACATGGGAGCAGTTTCCCCCATACCGTTCTTGTGATAGTGAATAAGTCTCACGAGATCTGATGGCTTTATATAGGATTTTCCTTTTCACTAGGTTCTCATTCTCTCTTGCCTGCTGCCATGTTAGATAGGCCTTTCACCTTCTGCCATGATTATGAGGTCTCTCCAGCCATGTGGAACTGTGAGTCTATTAAACCCCTTTGTCTTTATAAATTACCCGTCTTGGGTATGACTGTATCAGCAGCATGAAAATGAACTAATACACATGAGTTGTCATGTAATGGATTAATCTCAAATACCTCTTTTTAAATTTTACCATGGATTTGGAGAATTGCTAAGAGCTTCTTCCTCTCAGCTTCCACAATACTTGATTATCTCTATACTTGCCTTTTGTATATGGTGGCATTGAGCTCTTTGAAGCTAGGTACTAAAAATTATCTTTTACCGTCTAGTGACCAGAACAACATCTAATGCATAGCAAATACATATTTTCAACAACAAATATATGCTGAAAGAAAGGATGAGAGGACTTCAGATCCTTGTGTGCATAGCAAATGCATAGATGGAAGTTTCACAAGAAGGGTAACGACCTACTTCCAACTCCAGGATCTTGATTAGATATAAGGAACAAACTTCTGACCTTGTCACATCTTTATTTATTTATTCCTTAGCACAGGCTGCATGCAGACCAAAGAGATTCAATAAATGAATATCTAACTGCTTCTAATTATTTCACTCTTAACCCATTAAGAAATAAATTAGCCAAACATAGAATGCAATAGAAGCCTTGGTTTTGCCTAACATGTTAGATCCTTTGTCATATCAACAAGGGGGTAGAGAGGGAGGAATTGATGATATCTCTTCACTGCAGATGTTGGAACCAGGGTATGTGGGAGATCAATGACTAAACTTTAGGTCTCTACCCAGTCTTCTGCCCACCAGACCTCAATGCCTATTGATGGAGGTCCTAGGATGATGGTAGGTTGCCATGGGAGACAATAGTAGCAGCAGCCACAGACTCAATTTCAAAAGACAGTGACACATACACTCTACACGCAAGACACAGTTCTCTGGTGGTGTCAAAATCAATGGCGTTGACTATTCATCTTCCACCTGTGTCTTTTATTACAATAAAAGCTTACTCTAGATTGCCTGGTGCATTTTTTAAAAGCTTGCTGCCAGGCTGTAAATTTCAGAGCTGCCTTGCAGGGTTTCTTAGACAGGTTCAATACTTCCTAGAACACTGACTTCACACAAGTAAAGGAAAAAGGGAAAAGTAGATTTTCTTTTCTGGCTAAGAGCTGGAACTCTTCAATAGTAACCTGGGAATGTTTCTGCACTCCCAAAGGTGTGCCTAAGATGTCCTAAGTCAAAATGACTGCTATGATTAACCTATTTATTATTTTGACATGCTAGCAAAAATGAGAGGGAAGAGCCATTTTCTCTGCTTTTATCTGGCTTGGATAACCATGTTACTGGGATAGAAGAGAAAAATTGATCGAAAGCAGAGGCACAGGGGTATAAAAACCATCATGATCTTCACACAACCCTTTTGAGTTTCTGTCACCATTCCTTTTAATGGATTTGTGTTATGCTAAAGGGCAAAGGTCATTCTAAAATAATGAAATGTCAAAGTCAACAGAGGGTGAATTGCGTAGCAGGTGTTAAACAAATGTACAGTACTTTAAATATTTACATCTGCAAATGGAAGTCATATTTCTATCCTCTGATTACTTCCTAAGGCTTTTATCTACTGAGAGGGAGAAACTAGTGAATTCCCCTGATCCTGGGCTTCCCAACTCTTCTCCAAGTCTTCTGAAACTCCAGGACGCTGCCCTTCCTCTTGTTTACAAATGAGGCTACTTTCTGAGTCTTAGTTTAGAAATCGGTAAAATGGGTTGTTGAGAAGGTTAAATGAGACAACATATGAAGGAAGCAAATCCAATGCTTGACATGTGATTGGCACTAAGTGAAAGTTATTTTTATTTCCTTTTAATATGTTCTGTCAATGGCCATATAGTTAGGCAGAGAGATGGGCAATTTTCATTGTTAATGTCTGGTATATTACACAATGTTTTGTTATTACTCTCAATCTCTTTGTAATTATTTGTCTTTTGCTCTCTGTTTTACATAAACAGAATTTGATAATTCAAGGGAAATGAAAAAGAGATGTGATTAAATCCTATTTTACATTATTATAGGCAACAATTTCTTCCCTAGATCACATCTGTTAGCTCATTAAAAAGTAGCCTTTCCTTACTCTAAGCATGTTTCAAGTTTACCTTTAGACCAGTGATTCACTCCTTTTTTTTTTTTTTTTTCTGAGACGGAGTCTCACTCTGTCGCCCAGGCTGGAGTGCAGTGGCACGATCTCGTCTCACTGCAATCTTTGCTTCCCGGGTACAAGTGATTCTCCTGCCTCAGCCTCCCAAGCAGCTGGGACTATAGGTGTGCACCACCACGCCCAGTTAATTTTTGTATTTTTAGTAGAGACGGGGTTTCACCATGTTGGCCAGGCTGGTCTCGAACTCCTGGCCTCAGGTGATTCACTTACCTTGGCCTCCCAAAGTGCTGGGATTACAGGTGTGAGTCACTGCACCCGGCCCCTGGACCAGTGATTCACTCTTGACTACAATGAGAATCACTTAGAGACTTTAAAAATTCCCCTTGCTCTGACTGAACTAGGTAAGTCAGGATCTTGCCTGTGGACCCCTGGCATCAGTGTAGACCCGCTGCCCAACTCACTCTTGCCTCTGGACCTCTTATGCTCATTCCAAATCCAAATGTCATATACTTCCACCAATAATTAAATAAGCATCTGTTGAGCAAATACCATATGCCCAGCTCTGTGCTGAAACATTTCAGCTGATGAATTTGCTCTCTATTTCACAGAAAAAATAGGGGCCATTAAAATGCCTCCCAAGACTTCTTTGCCTCAGCTCCTTATAGATCCCACTTCCTCTCCTCCCTCTGCAGGGGACCTTGTTCCTTCAGTCACTCTGTTTACCTTAGGCATTTGAACATGTGCAAATATCTTCAATTTAAAAACAACTTGAAAATCTACCTCTTATGCCCTATTTACAGGCAAGCTTCTGAAAAAGAACAGCCTACATCCAGGTCTTGTTTGTCTCCCAATAATTTCTTAATTCATATTCATCTGGTTTTGGCCACAAACTGCTCTCACTAAAGTACCAACAACTGATTAACTGCCAGTGTCTGTCCTCTCTGTCACACTGGACGCTACTGACTTGTGCTTCACATTCTTCTGTGTGTCATGATGGGGCTCTATGTCTCTGTCTCCTCCTGCCCATCTCTGGTCACTTCTTGTTTATTTGTTCATTAGTTATTAACTATTAGTGTGCTCATTTCTTAAGCATTAGCTCCTCCAGGGTATAGGCCTGAGCCCTCTGTATATACCCTCTGGGTAGTTTCACCCATACCCATTAATCCATTTTTCATTGTGATTTTTAAAAATTTCTATTTCTACTGACCTCACACGTAAACACTAAATCCTTATTTATAGGTAACCAACTAGTAGACAGTCCCCCTCAAATGTCTTGTATTTGTCAATTATGACCTGTGCAAAAGAGAACATAGCACTTGCTCTTCCTGCTGAACCCATTCTTCAAATAGCTTCCTCTTTTTCAAGAACAGTGTCATACCCTGTTGCCCAAACCATTAACAAATGCTCTTTCCTTTTCCTTATTATTATTGCATTTTTGAGACAGAGTTTCACTCTTTTGCTGAGGCTGGAGTGAAGTGGCGTGGTCTTGGCTTACTGCAACCTCCGCCCCCTGGGTTCAAGTGATTCTTCTGCCTCAGCCTCCCAAGGCAGCTGGGATTATAGGCGCCCACCACCACGCCTGGCTAATTTTTGTATTTTTAGTAGACATGGGGTTTCACCATGTAGGCCAGGCTGGTTTCGAACTCCTGACCTCAAGTGATCCACCCACCTTGGCCTCCCAAAGTGCTAGGATTACAGACATGAGCCACTGTGCCCGGCGCCTTTTCCTTATTTTCATAATCAATCTAACACTAAGGTGTTGCTTTCCAAACTTTTTTCCCATACACCCACTATTTTAGTTCTAGCCTGAATCATATGATGATATCTGAACAATAATCATAACCCTCCAACTTGTTTCTAGTGTTCCGCCCTTCCTCCCTTCAACCCAGCCTCCACCATGCTCCCGACTGATAGGTAGAAAACTCAGATCTGATCTGACCCCTTCTCTTCAGTCAATCATTTAGATTGCTGGCAACTCCTTCAAAAGATCAGTAGTCAC
Source organism: Homo sapiens (assembly GCF_000001405.40). NCBI lineage: Eukaryota > Metazoa > Chordata > Mammalia > Primates > Hominidae > Homo > Homo sapiens. Next base: position 94,260,712 of record NC_000013.11, on the reverse strand, counting down.
CAGGCCCTATGATGTGGCTGTGGGCTCTTTTCTCCCTGCAGATTCATATGCTGAAGTCCTAACTTCCAGCACCTCAGAATATGGTTATATTAGGAGATAGAGTCTTCAAAGGGCTGATTAAAGTAAAATGTGGTCATATGGATGGGCCCTAATCCATTATAACTGATGTCCTTATAAGAAGAAGAGATTAGGATGCAGACACACAGAGAAGGAAGACCACAGAAAGACACAGGGAGAAGATGGCCAAGTATAATCCAAGGTTGGTTTCAGAAGAAACTAACCCTACTGACACCTTGATCTTGGACTTGCAGACTCCAGAACTGTGAGAAAATAAATTTCTGTTGTTTAAGCCACTCCAGTCTGTGGTACTTTGATATGGCAGCCCTAGCAAACTGATATACATACTACTCTTAACTGATCTTCAAAGCACAGCTTGCATACTTCTGAATCCTCAGGCTGAGCTAGGAATCCCTTTTTTGAGCTCTGCCTCTGTGTTCTAACAATAACAAACAAAACAGCAATAAAGACCAGACCATGGCAGCAGGTGTCACTTCTGAAGCACCTGTGATGTGCTCTATATTCAGTACTTTACAGATGCTTTATCACTTATAAAACATCTGCAACAGGTTAAGAACATCCCGTTTGTCCCTAAGTTTCAGTGAGATTAAAGATAGTACTAAAAAAAGGGACTTAAGTAGATACTATATACCCATGTACACCATAACATCATTCACAATAGCCAAAAAGTAGAACACAAAGTCTATTGGTAGATTAATGATAAACAAAATATCGTGTGCGTGTGTGTGTGTATGTGTGTGTGTGCATGTGTGTATACACACAATAGAGTATTATTATTCAACCATAAAAATCATAAGATTATGACACATGCTAGAATATGAATGAACCTTGAGAACATTTTGCTAAGTGAAATAAGCAGGACACAAAAGGACAAATACTATGTGATTCCAGTTATGTGAGGTAATTAGAATAGGCAGATTCATAGAGATAGGAAATAGAGTGGCCATTGCCAGGTACCAAAAGGAAGGGGAACAGGGAAATGGGGAATTATTTTTAATGGGCACGGAGTTTCTGTTGGGACAATGAAAAATTCTGGAATTGGATAGGGGTGGTTTACACAACATAGTGAGTATTCTTAATGCCACTGAATCATACACCCAAAAAATCGTTAAAATATTTTTGAAAAGTACAATGAAAGCTAGCTTTTAAAAAAAGATAGTGCTAAACCAACCAATGCTAGCATGTAAGCAGCCCAGCCTAGAGTTGTCTAACTGGATCACCTTAGAGACTACCAGCCCACTCAATAATCATTTCCCCCATCTTTCATGTTAATGGAACCCTAATTTGTTCCAATAACCAAATACACTTCAGCCCAGATAAATTCTGGTTAGTCTAACCCTATCATGGAAATCTCATTCTCCTTGTTGGTTATTGGTTTAGGGGCAGGCTTGTAGCTGTCTGGCCAATGACACATAAAGTAATGTTTGCTCGGGGCTTCTGGGAAGGTTTCCAGTGTGGCAGGGGCTTTGGGGAAAGCTTCCAATGAGAAGGGGGCTTCTGGGAAAGGTTTCCAGTGAGAAAGGGATTTCTGGGAACCGTTTCCAGTGTGCTAGGGGCTTCTGAGAAGGTTTCCAGTGTGCTAGGGGCTTCTGGGAAAGGTTTCCAGTGAGGAAGGGGTTTCTGGGAAATGTTTCCAGTTTGTGAGGGGCTTCTGGGAAAGGTTTCCAGTGTGGTAGGGGCTTCTAGGAAAGGTTTCCTGCCCCACCCTTGTTACATCTCTGTTTGATGCCTTGAGAAGCAACAATCATTTTGCAGGCATGATGGTAACCTAGCCTGAGGATACCAGAACAGAAAGATGAGAGGAGCCTGAGTCTTCCATGACATTGTGGAGCCTCAGAAATAATCAATGTTAATATCATTTTGTCTCCATTATCTTGTTTACTCTACCGAAATTATTATTGCAACGAAACCAGCCTGTGTCTGTGAATGGACATAGTTCAGTGTTGTGCCTCTAAGCCTTTGCCATGTTTGGAAAAAGGCAGTCAGGCCATAGATGTTTGCTGAATGCGTGAAGATACCTCTATCCTAACAAAGTTAGAAATATAATGTAAACGAAGAGGCAAGAAGAGTATGCTGAAAACCTTTGTGGGAGCAACAGAAGATACTGGATAGAAAAAGCAACATCATATTTAAATTTGCAATTATTGGTGTATGTTTTAATTGATCAAAACCCAGAGTCTTCTTTTGGTGTGAAATATATTATTTAAGGTAGCACATGGTAATTCAACTTTGAATTCTTATGCTTCACTTACATTTATTTCACCTGGAAAGTGAAATGATAGCTATGGCCAAAGAGCACATGTTTAATAATGCCCAAGAAATCAGTGCCAATTTGATTCCAACCAAATGTTTGTCGGCCCCGGGGAGTTGTTCCGTGGTCAGAAAAATGCAGTCAATCCTCTGCGGGGCTCACCTGCATCAATTATTACTTGCTGGGTGTAAAGACATGTTCTAGAAAACAAATATTTGCTAACTATGACACTTAACTGTCAACAAAAATTCTAGAAACAGCTATGGCTTTGTATATGATTGCCTATGTTAATCTTGGTGGGTAAAATTTCAAGTCTTTCAATATTTTACAGTTTTATCATATCTCTACCCTTCTAAAAAGTATTAACTTTCATATTCTTTGCAATAACCCAACTATATTGGGATTCTCTGCCTCATGCAATGTTTATTCCTTATTTAATATTTGTACTTAATGCTAAGGAAGGAAGTGTAGTGGTTATATGCATTTGGTGTGTTCAAGTCACTCTACCCACTCTTTGTTGTCTGTCTCTTGTTAGTCTATCTTTTCCTGTTTTTGACTTAGTTTCTCAATACGGGAAATGGGGTTAATGGTCTCTTTTGCCAGGGCGGTTGCAGTATTACAATAAAATGATGTATCTGCAACATTTAGCCTTATTTCTGCCATTCAATAAATGAGAAACCAGCTGGCTGGCCTCACAGGGGACCCTGCACTGGTCAAGTCACCGTGTTCAAGGGTCTGTGTGTTCCTCAATTTGCAGATCTAGAGGCTCGCTTTGGTCTATTTCTCAGGGTGGTTTGGTGATGAGGGAATACTAGGGGGAGAGCTGGTTGTCTGACAGAAATACTTGTGGGGTTCACATTCTAATTATTTCTAAGAGAGGGCTGACAGGTGGACCAGGGCCAGGGCGAGTTCTTGACCGCAGTGCCTTGTCCCTGGACAAAGTATGGACAAGCACTGTGAAATTAACAGATACCCAGGAGACTCTCATTTCATCTAAGATCTGATCTACCCACTCCTGCTCTGGATTGACAGATTTGCTGTTCTTCATATATGTAAATGACTTTGATTAGGACATAGCTCCCTGTTCTGTGTGCTTTGGGCCTAGGAAAATTTTGTTTCTAAAGTGCCTTTTGCATTTGTGTGATCTCCCATGTTATGTGTTGATTTTTTGTCATTCAGGATGCCCCTGCTGTTACTGCCCTAAACTCTCTGCAGGCCAGGGTGATACTGGAGCTGTAAAATCATAAGCTAATCTAAAAACTAAAAAGAGAACAAATCAGTTAGGGTCTCCCTAAACTCTCATAGTAGCTATATGTCAAAAGAAACACTTGTTAAATGAGCTTTTCTAGTGAGGAGAATGCTTGAGTTCTTTCAGATCAGAAAAGAAAGCCTAAAACACTTTTAACTTGCAGACTCAACAGAATCTATGAAAGAGAAACAGATGAAAGGCAGATCGCTGTGCTATCCTGGTGCTTTTTAGTATGTGATTGACACAAAGGAAAAAAGAAATTTTGTTCAGTCTAAAAAAGAACTTTCTTTCTTAATAATTACAGCTCCCTCCACCTATAATGGGTTGCTTGGTGAGTCATCAAGATCTCTGTCTCTGGAAGGATTTGGGGAGGAGATGGGAATTAGGATTGCACAGCCCTGCCAGGTCCCTTTCCAATCCACAAGTCTCTATTTTAAGACCCTTGAGGTTAAATCCTGTAGAATAGAATCTAAGAACTACAAGACTTTGCAGTGCGGCTGATATGAGTTTATGTCACTAGGAAAGATGTCCTGGAGAATGTAGTGCCTGAGCTGGACCTCAGAGGATGATGATGATGGAGATGGGAGGACAGTAGCAGATGGGCCATGCCATACATTGAGATGACACTGACAAAAGTACAGTGCTCTGCCCAGTCTCCTTGCTCTTGGTCTGTTCCTGGCATCTTGTAGCAAGATGCTTCTTTCTAAATCATTGTTCTCACTGTATTTCTCTTTAATACATCTTATGCACCCAGGAAAAACATGAACACTCTTTAGTTGTCTTTCAAGGGTCCCCTCATTCTGCTCCAGCCCATTTTTCAGAATTTAGTGCATACTACACTGAGACACAAATCTTCTTTACCACTTGAACTCCCCTGCCCTGTTACAGGAACTAAATATTCCCTGACATGGCCCACACTCCACAATATTTGCTCCTTCTTGGCTACTGTCAGATTTGGAAGAAAACATCAAGTTTTATGTCTGAGATCCAAAATCCAGTGTGATAATTATTTCAGGCATGATCCAATAGATGTGAAGTCTACACGTCTCTATCTTTACTGACTGTTTTTTTTTCCACTTTGATTTTGTCCAGCGCTTCTTAACCTTTTATATGCATATATCAGTCAGTTGCAAGTTTTGATTCAGGTGATCTGCGATGGGACCTGTGATTCTGCATTTCCTGTAGATTCTCAAGCAATGTGGGTGCTGCCAGTCCAGGGATCACACTTTGAGTAGCAAGGCTCTAGGGTCAAACACACCTTCCTCCCCTTCTTTGACCAAATGGCCTCACAAGTTGATTCCCTCTATGATCCAGGGCATTTATTTCTTATTTTCAATACAAACTGATGCCCAGGTCTCAATCCTTTTCCTGATAAGTTCTTCCGAGGCTGTAGAGCCCTCCTGGCTGATGAGGCTTCTGTCCTGATACTCCTGACCTTTCTGCTCCACTGCTGTCCTGGCTGGAGCTGAAGTTATGAGGATTGATGAGGCCCCAGAGCAGGTGACTCTATAAGGAAAAGAGCAGGAGGCTAAGGATCATGTCCCTTAGATAGAAAAAGAGGAGGGACAATTTAGAGAGAGGAAGGAAAAGAGAGAGGGATGCTGAAACCAAGTATTTCAAGAAGTTCAGGTTGTCAAACCATCCCTCAAGTCCTTCCACACATGGCTTCTCTTCTCTGTGACCTTTTCCTCCCTGTTTCTATAGTGGTAAAATTTTGAACTTGATTGTATACTGTATGTCATTTCCAAAATGGGATTTAAGATGCATTATAAGCTGAAGGGTCTATAAAAGAGGTCGGTATTTTTAATGAACCAAAAGTTGTCTTTTTATTCTTTTTAAGGAGAGAAATCTGCATGATTTGGTTTGATCACAGACATGAGCTTTGATTATTATAAGGTTCTTTGATTATAAGTCCTTTCCTCCACTGCGTTGTAAACGCCTAGCCAGTCTTAGTTTTGCACTAAAAGGATCAATTGCTTCCCTATTTTCCAGCTTGGACATGGCTGGGATTCTAACAACTGCTAATAAAATAATTTCTGACTTGAACTGGTAACATTTACTACCTGTTCTGCATAGCACTAAATTTTCAAGTGGAATAGGAATTTTTTGGGCTTCTTAAACATTGATGAAAATTACTGTTGACTCCTTTGATAACATCTCTTTGTTTCAAATGCTTTCCAGATGTTCTAAATGATTTCCTAATATTTATATGTAAAAACTTAGAGCATAAGGAGCTTTTGTGATGATTCAGGGTAAGCTTATGTTGCAGATGAGGAGACTACAGAAGGTTAAAATGTTACTCTGAAAATCACTGATGAGCAGAGTTTGGAACCCATATTTAATATATTACATATTTGACTACACTGTATTTCATTTTAAAATTTGAGCTAAGAATTTTGTACTTTCTGGGCCAAAAAAGAGATTTTTTTGAAAGATTCAAATTACATGTTTTTTTTTCTTTAGTAAAACATTCAGTGGCTTTGTATAGCAGTTTTTAAATTCAGCATTATGTTTCCGTTACTCCCAATCATTCTAAAGTGATCAATGACATCAATCAACTGTTTCTTAAGGTTATTACACTTTTATTATTTTTATTATTATCATTATATTAAGTATGTTTGTAGCACAGATAAGGTGCGTGTGGTTTATTCTATGGATGGTGATAAAGTAAAATGCTGGGATATGTTTGGAATATTGCATTTGTAAGAAGCTTAATGTTACTTTGACCCACACTGAATAATTCAACAGGGTATGATATATCAAAGGTAGAGGCAAACAAAATCTCAATCCAGATGACTAGGGAAACATTTCTTCAATGAAGTACTTTGAAAATAACTTCATAAAGTCCTTACTTACTTGGAAGTATCACTGCAAATGGAAGGTCATAGGCTTTTTGGCAATTTTTTGTTGGATGCTATAGCTATTACCTACAGCTCAGGAAGAAAGGCCAGTACATGCCAAAGGCACTTTAAGAATATGACTCGATACATTTTATAATCATTTTAATCCAGGGCCATTAAAATGCTCTACAAGGGTCAAGAGCCAGGTTCTTTATTTCTTTGTAAACATTAATGCATTTTCACTCATTGTGTCATGGTTGGGAAGGAAACAGCACTCATGGCTCATGGTGCTAAAGATGATATAGGATCAATGAAAGACTAAATCATCAATACATCAATCTGTGTGCTACCAACCTAAGAGACTAATGTGCAAATTAATGACCTTTAAAATTCAAGGAATGTACATACATCAATCTAATTGAAAGAAGAATTGATAAAGTGTTCCGTCATTTACTGTCACAAACAGGAAGGAGAGATTAATGACACATGTTGATCAAATGCAGCACTTAAAGAGTAAGATATCATTTTGCCATCATCACAAGCCCTGATCTAGTCTTGGGTTTCTTTTGTACGAAGATTGGAGGGGGAATATGACTAACCAGATGTAGTAAGACTACCATGACTCTCCAGATACATAAGAAAAGTTTTCTATGATCGAAAACACACCCACTCAGCAGTTTGTACCAAGATTACAGATTCATCTTGGGAACAGGGAAGCTCACAAAGACTCCCACATCTTAAAAAGCAAAAAGGCCTCTTTAGTCTGTTATTTTCTCAACTCATGGGTGCAAAGAATATTATTTTGACATCATGATAGCTTTGTTTTTATTCATGAAACTCCTCTCTTATTAAATAAAAAAAAGAAGAACCGTTGAGATAAACGCAGTATTATTACAGGGCAGTTCTCAATGTCAGTATTGCCTTTGACTATCTAGGTTATAGAGAATCAACTGGAGAAGGGGGCACAATGTACAATCTAGGAAGATAGTCACTTACAATCATTTTAAATAACACCCTTCTTTTCCCAGCAGCTGCCTTGGGAACGCAGACCACCCTCTTATCTCTTGTAACCCTTCTCATTTAGTGAGCATCGGAAAGTAATTTTCTGTAAGTGTGGAAGAGATTATATGTTGAACATACACTGTGTGCAGATATAATGCATTATTTCTTACATATACTCTCTACATACCTCTGGAGATTCACAGGAGGGAGTTTTTCCAGCATTTGCAGAAAGAATCGCTGAATTCCCTTGAGCTTCTTGGCCTCTTATCATTCCTGACACCAGTCTAAACTTTACTGAAGCTTTTCCTTCAGAAAACTGCTTTTTTTTTTTTTTCTTTTTTATTCTGGATGTCCCTTTATCAGCCATCCCCCTCCCCCAGAAAACTCTAATTATCTTTCACTGGAAACAGCAGGCTTGGGGTTTCTAGAGAGCCTATCATATCCTTGAGTCCCATTTCTATCCATTTTAGTTGCATTTTTCCTCTCATCACAGTCCATTTACACTTGCCCTATCATTTATGGCTTTTGGACTTACAGCCCTGTGGTTGTTCTGGGACAAAAGAAAGTCTGCATTTTTAAAATTTCTTGAAATTCCATCATTCAATTTATAAACATATAAGCTATCCTCATGATTAATACTAAAGATAACACACACTAAGAGACAACTTTTGTTGTTGTTGGTGGTGGTGGGTACAGGGGAGAGCAGCAAAAAGCAGTACTCTACAACTTGTGTCTTATTTCGCCATCAATTTCAGCATTGAAATCGCCATTATCCGACATACACAGCTTCCTATTAGTTTAGCTTTAGTGAAGGCTTAACCAGCATGGGGGCACATAATAAAAATCCCCTTTTATTGCGTAATCATGACAAAATAAATATGAGAGCCAGCCTAACAAAAACAGACATCACCAGAGCCAAGAAGTTGGGCTTTTATGCATGACCTGGTCGTCGAACAATCTTATTACTCAATATCATAATTAATAAACTGTTTAGCAGCCAGTATGGAGGGCTTTGCAAAGAACTCATAAAGGACACATTCACAAAAGCAGTATGATGAACAGTTCTGCTTCTAAATCAAGGTTTTATATAACAAAGTCACAGAAGAGCCTTGATTCCAGACACCTGGGTGACAAATCCCTCTTAGGATCAGGGAAGTGAGAGGAAATAAGTATGGGACATTGAAGGCCACCCAAGGAGCATTACAGCAGTCTCATCTCTAGAATGACAGGAGTTCCACAGTTGTTAGCGGTGCCAGGAGAACATCGGGAAAGAAGCCAGAGCCTACTGGGGAACTAACTAGACAGCATGCATCAGCCAGGCCAGGGATGAAGAATGTGTCCTTGAGATTAATGTTTCACAGCTGTGATGTAGACCTAGCTACAGGCATAGTCGATGGATTTTGCAGCAGGAGACAGATGAGAAATTATAGCATCCAAAAGAGCCTGTTACACCAAATCAATGATAAACGTACATCCATGAGACAATTGGTGGTGAAAAAAAAAGATAGCATCCCTTAGCTCTGATTTTTCCCTTCATCCAAATTTTGCAACAGTTTGTTTTGTTTTTGTTTTTTTTTTTGCCTTTTAGCTTTCTAGGAACACTTTATTCAGCTGAAAAGAACAGCAAGGCACCACTTCAGTTATTTTCACAAGTTGTAACAAAGGACGTGACAACGGCACCCTTAATTAATCTTTGTCCTGAGACTGATAAAATAATAAGGTGAAAAACAATTTCACTTTTCAAACCCACAAGTTCTGGGATTTGGGGGCTTTGTATAGTCTTTCTCAATTCTGCTGGCAAACTAACCAGTCCGTGTTTTTTTTTTTTTCCTTTAAGTTCTGGGATACAAGTGCAGAACGTGCAGGTTTGTTACATAGGTATATGTGTGCCATGGTCGTTTTCTACACCTATCAACCCGTCATCTAGGTTTTAAGCCTTGCATACATTAAGTATTTGTCCTAATGCTCTCCCCCGCTTTGCCCCCCACCCCCTGCCTGGCCCTGGTGTGTGTTTCCCTCCTTATATCCATGTGCTCTAATTGTTCAACTCCCACTTATGAATGAGAACATGGTGTTTGGTTTTCTGTTCCTGTGTTAGTTTGCTGAGGATGATGGCTTTTGGTTTCATCCATGTTGCTGCAAAGGACATGACCTCATTCCTTTTTATGGCTGCATAGTATTCTATGGTGTATATGTACCACATTTCTTTATCCAGTGTATCATTGATGGGCATTTGGGTTGGTTCCATGTCTTTGCTATTAATTTGAACAAGTTCTATACTTCTTGGTCAGGCAATTCCATCTCCCCTATTTACTTAACATGGTTTTAAATATTTTCTCCTTTTCCTTCTGCATCAATGTCGAAAATCCCTTCTATGTCTGAAACTTTAAATTACTCTTGCACCTTTAAGAGGAATTTAAGAACAATTTTATGACAAATTTCAAATATATACAAAAGTCAAGCCAGCAGTATAATGAATTGTCATGTACCTTCACCCAGCTTAATCAATTACCCACTCACGGCCAATCTTGTTTTATCTACAACCCCACTGCCACCTCTCCATATCCAACTTCCCCATTCCCAGATTATTTTGAAAGAAAACCCAACCTTTCCATTGTTTTTCTCACAGGGGAGTTGTAATCAAGTCTCCTTCAGGAAACTGGTAGTTTTGTTTGCAGTTTTACTTTTTCTACTTCTATTGGGAGAAAAGGATATTTGGGGAGCTTTCATTATTTACTTCTTGTCCATTCTAATTATAACTAAAATCACAATTATAGAGTTAAGATAATTGCTAAAGACATGCATGTGAGCATAATTTCAGATAAGCAAATACAGTAGTGATTCAAAATATTTAACCGCTCTTTGGCTGTAATTGACCATTGATAAAATATTTCCACATGGTGTGAAATAAATGTAAGAAAACACAGCACTCAAACTACACAGACCTTCTATTAAGGCCTTTTCCACAACTGTATTTGATCTCTTGATATTCCCTTCAAAAGATGTTACATTTCACAGAGATGGACTCCTGGTGTGATTTGTCCCTTTATGAATCTGCCTTGTGTTTACAATCAGTATCAAAAGATTAAAATTAAAGTGTTTGCTGCACATTCAATTTATTTCCCAGATTGAATTGTAAATTATATACGCAAAGACTTTCTCTTAATCTCCATGGTGTTCATCCACAGTGCTTAATATAGTGCTTGGCATTTATTAATGCTTAACAAAGGCTTGTCGACTTATTGATCTATGTTGCTTCTCATCATAAAACCCAAGTATGTTTTATAAAATGACAGATTCTTTAATATAGGAAGAGCAAATATGTGTTGCCACTAGACATTTCCTGTCCGCATGGCAGACATCTCGAATTTATCACTGCACTCTTTTCTACTAACTTGGGATGCAGCCTCAGCATCCTTGAGGTGCAAATTGCAACTTACCTCCTATCTGTGCTCTAACATTGTTTAGAGAAGAGATTCAAATCATTGGGCCATCAAGCTTGTCAAACGCTGTTCTGTTTTAAGTGTTCTGCAGGTCACTTTCACTACTCCTGTTTGTTTTAGTCTGTTCATTCACTCCAGGGGACCTGTATTGTGGTCAAAGCCTGGTTTCCATGATGGGGTTGGTATGAGGAGTCAAATTCTAATTCCATTACTCACAAGCTGGATCATTAGCTTTTGTTTTTTCCTCCATAAAATTTGGATAATAACATTCTCCTCTTTTCAGAGGGGTTTTGTGATGGTTAGATGAAATGATTAATCTAAACAGCTTTTTAAACTGTGAAAATCTATGCAAGTGTCTGTTAATATAAAAGATATCTTAGGGGGTCATACAAATAAGCACAGATCTTTGTCCAGGATAAGCCTCTACAAACTTAATGAAACACCAGTTTCCAAATTTATATTCACTCACCTATCCCTTTGAGTCTCTCTTTTGTATGATTGTTTTGTGGCTCAAGATTTATTGGGGATCACTTCAAAATGTAATCTGAGGTCTAATGATGTGTGATTACACTCTATTGTTATCAGCCTATGCTGAGGAGCAGGGTATGGGATCAAATCGATAGGATAGAAAATTAGATAGGAAGCACAATGAAAAGTGTGAGGTTAAGGGAACATTTTATAGGGTTTTGGGATACAGTTGCTGAGACTACTTTTAAAAGAACAGCCTCAGGTGATTTCCCTAAAGCTTTGGCCTTATCAACCTCATGTTCTAACCAAGTGACTAACTGGCCATATGTTACATTTAAACAGCTTTCCCAGAAAGCTGCTCCTGATTCTCTGAGCATGTTGGCATATATGACAATATGGAAAATATGCAGCGGTTAATTTTCCTAACCACCCTGAAACTAACATATTTGCAATGCATTTCATCAGCAACTTAGTAAATTGCCATTTAAGAGGTATATTACTTTTACAATAGTATCATAAAACTCCTGCTGCCAGCCATAATTCACAGGTGGTAGCTGAGGAAAGTGGATTCAATAGTACTTCAATATCCCTATGTCCTGAGGTGCTAGTTTCTAAGTAACAGGCTGGCGATGTGTGTGAGCATGTTTCTACTTTGGGGGTTTTGAGTCAAAATAATTTATAAACCTCTCTCTCTCTCTCTCTCTCTCAGCCTGAAATGGTCATGGGGATATCAGCAGTTGTATGGAAATTTTTTTGGTGACTAGAGGGTCCTATATGAAGGTCACATGTGTATTATTTGAGAAGGCATTGCATACTTATTTTTGGCATTCAGGTTCTTGGGTGATATTTATGGGAAATTTTAAATGCATAATAAGAATGATAAGATTTGAGGTTTTTATTCATTGGCCATATTATACAGGGAAAAAGAAGGCTAGTGAAATAGGGACATAAGGTTCTATGATGTTGGTTACTTTAAATTTTTATCTCATCTCTAATTCAAATGTCAAGTCAAAGTAAATTTCTTAAGTACTTTAAAAATCTCTGCAAACAATTTAACCAAATTTGGAAGCATTCATCCAAACGTAGATGTTGCTGTCAGAACAGGAGGTGAGGACAGAGAAATCAGTGTCACAGGCAAATTGAATTGGGAGCTGACTGAAAATTTTTTGAGGGAAAATGCAAATTTCATTACCAATGGCTTGTAAAGACATGACTCTTAAGGCTTCTACAACTATGATCCTAATAATTCCATGACGAATGTACTTCCCACATGTTTTCAGAAATAGAGCTGGAGGGAATGTTTCCTAGCACATTTTTTGAGGCCAGCATCACCTTGATACCTAACTCAGACAAAGACACCATAAGAAAAGAAAATTACAAAGCTGGGCACAGTGGCATGTACCTGTAGCCTCAGCTACTTGGGAGGCTGAGGTGGGAGGACTGCTTGAGCCCAGAAGTTTAAGGCTGCAATGCACTGTGTTTGTACCTGTGAACAGCCACTGCACTCTACCCTGGGCAAAACAGCGAGACCCCCATCTCTTTAAAAAAAGAAGAAAAGAAAAAAAGAAAAGAAAACAACAGGCCAATATCTCTGATGAGCACTGATACAAAAATTCTCATTACAGTATTAGGAAATTGAATTCAACAGCACATCAAAATGATTATACATCATGATTAAGTAGGATTTACCCCCAAACATGCAAGGCTGGCTTAACATATGCAAATCAATTAATGTTATACATTGCATTAACAGACTGAATGACAAAAACCACTTGATCATATCAATGGACACAGAAAAAATATGTAACAAAGTTCAACATACTTTTTTGATAATAATTCTTGACAGTTTAGGTATAGAAGAAAAGTTCCTTGACATTATAAAGACCCATTTATGCAAAATCTACGGCTAACATCATAATCAAGAGGGAGAAACTGAAAGCCTTTCCTCTAAGAGCAGGTACAAGGCCAGGATGCCCGCTTTAGCCAATTCCATTCAACATAGTCCCAGAAGTACTATGAAGAGCAAAGAGGCAAGAGAAAAGAAATGAAAGGTATCTAAATCAGGAAGGAATAAGTAAAATTATTTGTATCTGCAGATAATGTGATCCTATATGTAGAAAAACCTAAAGACTCCACCAAACAACTATTACATCTAATAAATTAATTCAGTCAAGTTGTAAGATTTAAAATAAAAATGAAAATCTATGACATTTTAATACACAAACAATGACCTATCTGGAAAGTAAATTTTTTAAAAAATCCCATTTATGGCAGCATAAAAATACCTTAGGAATAAGTTTAACCAAGGAGGTAAAAGACCTGTACATTAAACCCCATAAAACATTGATGAAAGAAATTGAAGAGGACACAAATAAATGAAAAGATATTCGATGCTCATGGATTGGAACAATTAATATTGTTAAAATGTCCATACTGCTTAAAGCAATATAATCTCTATCAAAATCCCAATGACACTCTTCAAAGAAATAGAAAAAACAATCCTAAAATTCATATAGAACCACAAAAGACCCTAAATAGCCACAACGATTCTGTGAAAGAGAAAAAAAACCCAAAGTTGGAGGCATCACACTTCCTCCTGATTTTAAATTATATTACAAAGCTATAGTAATGAAAACAGTATGGCACTGACATGAAAACAGACACATAGACCAGTGGAACAGAATAGAGACACCAGAAATAAATTTAAACATATATAATCAACTACTTTTCAACAAGGGCACCAAGAAGACACAATGGAGAAAGTAGAGTCTCCTTGATAAATGATACTGGGAAAACTGGATTTATACATACCAAAGAAGGAAATTGGACCCTTATCTTATGCCATGCATAAAAATCAACTTGGAATTAATAAAAGTCTGAAATGTAAGATCTGAAACAATGGAACTCCTAGGACAAAACATAGGGAAAAAGCTCCTTGACACTGGCTTTGGCAATGATGTCTTGAATGTCACACCAAAATCTTAGGCTACAAAAGCAAAAATAAATATGTGGGACTGCATCAAACTAAAAACCTTATACACTGTAAAGAAAACAATCAAAATGAAAAGACAACCTACAGGTTGAGAAAAAATATTTACAAACCATATATCAGATAAGGGCTTAATATCCAAGATTTATAAAGAGCCAATACAATTCAGTAACAAGAAAATATAAACTCCATGGAAAAATATGCAAAGGACTTGAATACACATTTCTATAGATTTGACATAAAAATGGCCATCAGGCACATAAAAAGATACACAAGATCCCTAATCATCAGGAAAATGAAAACAAAAACTGCTATGAGATACCACCTCATATCCGTTAGAATGTCTACTATAAAAAAGACAAGACCCAAGTGTTGTCAAGGGTGCGGAGAAAAGGAAACCCTTGCCCACTGTTAGTGGGAAAGTAGATTGGTGCAGCCATTATAGGAAACAATATGGAGGTTCCTAAAGAAAATTAAAATAGAATTATCATATGTTGTAGCAATTCCTCTTCTGTGTATAAATAAAATAATCACCTCACAAAGGTATCTGCAATCCCATGTTCACTACAGCATTATTTAGAATAGCCAAGATATGGAAACACACTAGGTGTCCATCAGTGGATGAATGGATAAAGAAACTGTCACACACACACAGACACACACACACACATACACACAAATATTATTCAGCCTTAAAAAAGGAGATCTTGCCATTTGCCACAACACGGATTGACCTAGAGGACATTATATTAAGCAAAATAAGCCAGATATAGAAAGAAAATTATTGCATGATCTCACTTTTTATTTTTTTATTTTTTAGAGACAGGGAGGGTCTTACTCTCTTGCCCAGGCTGGAGTGCAGTAGCATGATCACAATTCACTGCCACCTCTAACTCCTGGGCTCTGGCAATCCTCCTGCCTTAGCTTCCCAAGTAGCTGGGACTATAGGAATGTGCCACCTTACCTGGCTAGCTTTTAAATTTTTTTTTTTATTTTATATAGAGTGGAGTCTTGCTATGTTACCCAGTTTGGTCTCAAACTCCTCACCTCATGAAATTCTCCCGCCTCAACCTCCCAAAGCACTGAGATTACAAGCATGAGCCACCACACCAGGCTGCATGATCTCATTTATATGTACCATCTAAAAAATAAATAAATGAATGCCAAATATATAGAGATAGAGAATAAAACAGTAGTTACCAGGATTGGGCTGGGAAGAGGAAGTGGGGAGATACAGGTCAAAGGATACAAAGTAGCAAATATGTAGGATGAACAAGTCAAAAGGTCTAATGTACAATATGAAGACCACAGTAAATCACAGTATATTCAGAATTTTTGCTAAATGAGGAGACTATGTCTGCACACACCATGGGGTAGGCAGGGAATAAGTGAAGATGTGAGATGGTAGCTGTGTTTATTTGTTCCACTATATAGTAACCATTTTACTACATGTATCTTGTAACATCATGCTGTATATTTTAAATATACAAAATAAGATTTAAAAATAAATAAATAAAAATATGACTTGCAAGACTCCTACAAATATGATCCTAATAATTCCATGACTAACTGTATTTCCCACATTCCCTACATCCCCCTCTCACATTCTGCCTCTTTTCAGCAAAAGGGTAAAATTTCATATTTAAAAAAAATCACATGGCTACTCTGCCTTCACTTAAAACTGTCAATGACTTCAGTGTCCTAAAGCTTCATCTTTTATTCTCATCTCTCATATAAATGGATGTGACTTCCATGATTTAACCTTATGACTATTTTTTTAAAAAGTAAAACCACTTATTATTTTGTCCTTCCAAAAAAAGAAAGACAAAATAAATGTTTAAGGAATTTCTTAGACATCACAGGTAATTTTACATGTTAGTATTTTATTCCTTATTTCCTCTCCTTGCATATTTGGTCAAGTTATAGATCTATTGTGTAATAGACATTTAGTTCGAGATGGAAACCTTGAGATAGTGCCCAAATCCTTAACTTCACAGGTGGTGAAACTGAGGCTAGACATGTATGATCCTTGACAGAGGTCACACAGGAGCCAACCAGTGACAATGTCTTCCTATTGTTTTCCTAAAGCCACTTCTTATCAAAATAATGCGGACATAATTAAGCTTTGCGGAGTTACGTGCTGGCCCCAAAATGATCAAATGCGGTTTTTAGATACTCTGACTTGGCACAGCACAGATAAATCATTTGTATTCTTCCTCTTTGCCCCCTGGCACACAATAGATCTCTAACTTGCCCAAATATGCAAGGAGAGGAAATAAGGAATAAAATAGTAACATGTAAAGTTACCTACAATTACCTAAGTAGTTCCTTAAACATTTATCTTGTCTTTCCTTTTTTGAGAGGACAAAATAATAAGTGCTTTTACTTTTTAGAAAATAATCATAAGGTTCAGTCATGGAAGTCGCATCCATTTATAGGGGCAGCTTTACCTCTCTGCAAAGTGAGAAGGAAACTGAGGCAAAGAAAGAGAAAGCATCCTGTCCAGCCTACATGGCACAGCATTTACATCTAAAATGCAGTTTGTTACTTACCCTCATCTGGCTAAATAGTGTTCTGAGGTAGACTAGCAGCTATCTGTCTGCACAGGATAAATGATGAACCAAAAATAGTTTGTGTGGTCTACTGGTAGACATAAAAAGCAATGAGGTCAGCACAGAGTCCATGAGGATTGAGCACTAATGTATTCTTCTGCCTGCTTTGATTTTCTAACAAAATCATGCAGTTTTAAAAGGGGGAGGACAGAGTTTAATGATTGGGGAAAAATTAGAAATGTCAAGTATAATCCTTTGAAACAGGTAGTGAAAGCTCAGGAGTATAACTGTTTTGATGTTCCCAGTCCTGCCAGTGAGTGACAGGGAAAATGAAGACCCTTTCAGACAAACTGATTGTGCTCCTGTCAAAGGTGGCTCAAGTTCTGTTCAAACACCTGTTTCTATCTTTATGAATATTAAAAGCCTCTGTGATTTTTTTTCTGGAAGCAATGATTTTGAAGTGTTACAGTACACAAAAGACATCATCTCAGTCTTGTTCCAATTCACTGCCAGTCCTTAGTTTTCCCTGAGAATGTACATAATTTTAAAATTTGGTGGCAGATTTGTAGATGTAAGGCCTGTTGAAACTGAAAAACAGGGTTGCTTTATTTTAAATCAGTATTAGTCATTCTAATTTTATTTTACATGTGATTTGTTTTCAAGTTAGCATAAAGGTGCTAACCACAGAAATTGATATGGAAATATAAGATAAAGCATCCCTGGAAGAGATGAAGTCAGGGCTTTCCAAAGATGTCATTCCATCATTAATAGCCATGGCACTGTCAGCTGTATATGGAGATCAATTCTCTTGGATATATAATCCTCTGACAATTAAAACTCATGTAGTTGAAATGTGCCTGGGCATTCCACAAGTGGTACTTTTTTTTTTTTTTAGATTTAGTTAGCATGGATTATGATTCCTTCTAAAGTTAAATAAAGGTATATGACACAAACCAATAGGATTTTGTGTAGCTTCTTGGAAACTTACATACTACAAACCCAACAGACTGTGTAAAATATTGCTATTAAATCTTCCAACCACTCTTTCAGAGTTCTTTCTCCTAGTGTCAAATGAAATTGTGTTATATGAATCACAACCCCACAAAATGATCACTTGTAATTAACTCCTTCCAGATTTCACTCATTTTAGTCTTGACTAATGGCTACTTTTGTGAAGGAATCCAACCCACTGTAATCCCTAAACACAGGAGCCAGCTTTAGTGTGCATCACATTAAGGCTGCTGAAAATGAATGGTCTGATTTCTGCTTGAAATTCAGGAAGCATAGTATTCCATGGTGTATATGTGCCACATTTTCTTAATCCAGTCTATCACTGATGGACATTTGGGTTGGTTCCAAGTCTTTGCTATTGTGAATAGTGCCACAATAAACATACGTGTGCATGTGTCTTTATAGCAGCATGATTTATAATCCTTTGGGTATATACTCAGTACTGGGATGGCTGGGTCAAATGGCATTTCTAGTTCTAGATCCCTGAGGAATCGCCACACTGACTTCCATAATGATTGAACTAGTTTACAGTCCCACCAACAGTGTAAAAGTGTTCCTATATTCAGCCATAAAAAAGGATGACTTCATGTCCTTTGTAGGGACATGGATGAAGCTGGAAACCATCATTCTCAGTAAACTATCGCAAGGACAAAAAACCAAACACCGCATGTTCTCACTCATAGGTGGGGATTGAATAATGAGAACACTTGGACACAGGAAGGGGAACATCACACACCGGGGCCTGTTGTGGGGTGGGGGGAGTGGGGAGGGATAGCATTAGGAGATATACCTAATGTAAATGACGAGTTAATGGGTGCAGCACAGCAACATGGCACATGTATACATATGTAACAAACCTGCACGTTGTGCACATGTACCCTAAAACTTAAAGCATAATAATAATAAAAAAAGAATAAAAATACATTAAAAAGAAAAAAAAAGAAATTCAGGAAGCAAAGACTTAGGGGTCAGGAAATTACATCTCGTTGTCTAGAATTTGTGATCAACATTTCAAGTCACTCATTCACATTTAGGGGTAGAGATAAAGCCAAAATCTGTCTTACACTGAGAAGGGATCTAAAAGGGTTTTCTTCACATTGCCTGGTCATATTTCTTTTACTCTTTGGAAGTTAATACAGATAGAGTAGAAACAAGGCAACCTAGCCCCCTCCTTTTTCTGTTTTAGCTTCTGGGTACAACCAGTCTCTGGCCATCTTTGATGGCTAATTCCAGACATTTACAAAAATGCAGAACCTGCTGTCACCATCTCTGCACTGTGCAATGACAAGATTACCATTTTTCTGCTCACAGATATGTGGCATCTGAAAACTCATCTAGATTATATATACACTACAAATGTGAAAATATGTATAATGAGTCCCATAAGATCATCAGTCTCATGGAGGCAGGACTTCCTTAAGACCAAAAATGTATGCCAGAAAGCCATGCAATCCAATTTTCAGATTCCAAAAAAAGCCGACAATCAGTTTCCAAGCCATAGTGTCTTAGTCAGTTCAGGCTGCTAGAATAGAATACCATAAAGTAGGTGGCTTGAATAACAAATGTTTGTTTATTGTGGTTCTAGAGGCTGGGAAGTCTGAGATCAAGGTGATGGCAGATCTTCTGTCTGCTGAGGACCTTTCCCTGGCTTGTAGGCAGCTATCTTCTCTTTGTATCCTCACGTGACCAAGAGATTGCACTCTAGTCTCTTTTAAGGACACCAGTGCCATCCTGGGGGCTCCATCCTCATGACCACATCTAAACCTAATTACATCTCAAAAGCTCCACCTTCTAATACCATCCCATGGGGGATTAGTATGAATTTTGGGGACACACAAACATGCAGCTCAAGTACCATCATTGTTCATCCTGCCATTTCCCAAGTATGGTGGACTCAGCTCAAGAGCAAGAATATGACGTCAACCTAGTCAAGTCCTTCCCTTGTGCAATATACCCTCAGGAGCTTCCCAGCTGGCCCAAAGGAAAACCATTCCTGCAGGTGCCTAAAAGACCTGCTTCCTCTGTAATTCCACCTTCTGCTCTCTCCTTCATGCTTATACGGCACCTGCAGCACTGGCCTCACTGCTGTGCCCCCACACTCTTAGGCTGTTCACTGCTCTGTTCCCCTCTGGTGCATTCATCACTCTCTGAAATACTACCTGTATGACTTTTATTTATTTTATTTTATTTTATTTTATTTTATTTACTTTCTGTCTCCCAACACTGGAATATCTACTCCAAGAGGATAAGGATTTGCTTTCATTGTTGCTGTTGTTTCTCCAACTTCTACAGCTGTGACTGGCAAAAAGCAGGCACTCAATCATTATTTTTTAAATGAATGAATTAATCCATGACCACTCCTTTTATCCTTACGGCTTTAGACCTTAAGGCCATTGAGTGTCTCCAGAAGGAGACAAGGAGGCCCTCTCGGGTAAAAATATTAATCTGATTATGAATATGTGTCTGGAGGATGCCAAGTTCCATAAAATTGATAAAGTAATCAAATACTGTGTGTTTGATTCTGAGGAGGCAGCATTCTTCTTTACCCAGAGGAGCTCAGAGTCAGCCCCAGGGCGGTTGCCTATGGCTGTGCTGTTCATGTACTGTGCAAAGGTGAGGAGGGGGTGAAATCCAGCCCAGTTTCTGCTAGCTGGGTTCTGTACCCTTCAGTGTGGCAGGAGAGGGGGAACTTTTTTTGTAATTCATGATCCCAGAGGGTCCATCCTACTTCAGTTTACAAAAATATGCCTCTCTGCTATTAGCTGGCCCCTTTCTATGAACACCCTCAAATACCTAGAGTCAAGTTTAAGCTCTCAGCTTCACTCTCAGCCTTCAAGATTGATTTTCCATTCAGTGCTGTTTTAAAGTAGGTGAGCATCACTTCCTAAGGAAAACTGGGTCCATTGGTCCCAGGAGTCTCCTTTGCACAACACATCTCCCCACAAATGACACTTGAAAGGCGA
Organism: Homo sapiens; assembly: GCF_000001405.40. Lineage (NCBI taxonomy): Eukaryota > Metazoa > Chordata > Mammalia > Primates > Hominidae > Homo > Homo sapiens. The sequence goes on along the minus strand of NC_000013.11, from coordinate 94,239,866 downwards.
ATAGAGCTGATCTTCCAAGAGGGAAGCTGAGTGGATTGAGAGCCGAACACTCTCGCCTTAATACCTTAAAATGTTTAGCTTTTTGTTTCTAGATATTGTATAGAATTCCTAAACAACTGGCTTAAACTAGCAAGGCAACGCTTAACTTTGGCCTTTCCTAACTTGGAGGTAAGATTCCCAGGAAACTATCATTTCGCAAGAATAAATTCATAATTCACATAATGACTTCATCAATAATGACTCTAATGCCGAGAGTGCTTTGAAGCATTTATTTTCTATACCTGAAATGTTTGCCCTAAAATGTATCTAAAATGAGAAATTTTTTAAAAAAGTTTTAAAAATCCTCTATTTCCTACTAAAATCATTCCAAGAATCATCTACATGTGGTGCTCTACATTTTTCCTTGACTTGATTATTCTTAACAATGACGGTGTCTATTCCAGTTGTCACAGAAAAACAGTTATGCTCAAATACAAATTATTTAACCACATGTGTGGGAGTAGAGAGGAAATGACTCCTCCTTTGCTCGTGACAATGACACACTGTGGGTTGTCTAGTACCTTTCCCTTCATAGCTTAGATTCCAACATGATGTTTTTTTCACAATGCTGCTCTGCCATCAAATGCAACTGCAATCAGTTTGCTTAATTGATCATCAGCTGGAGACAATTAAACCGAGAAGGGCCCCCTAAATGAGGAAACAGGTAGAGGAAGAATCTAGGCATGAAATTATTCTGAAATCTGTTCCCAGATCTTCCACCACTTACATTGTAAGCTAGTAAAATCTGGTGTGTGATAAATGTTTTGCGTTGTATTCACGTTATTAACTTAAGAGCAGTAAAATGTGTGAAAACAATCTTTATTTTAGCCAAACATAGGCTAAACTATAGCATTATGAATGATCTTTGCAAAAGGCATTTTCCCACCTTTTAAGTTGTGTTCTGCTTTCCAGCCTTGCTCCAGTCACCCCTCCCAGCTTCTCAGCAATCTACGTTTATCTGTCGTCCCCAGTTTTATTTATATCGAGATTCTCCCAATCTCCTTTCTTTACCTCTACAAGCATGTTTTAGTCTAATCCTTTCTCAACCCATCTCTCCTTAAGTGGGGATCGCCCTCACTGCCATGTGTCAGCCCCAAACTGTGGGAGACCCTCGCTTATATCTTTTGCTTCTACTTTCTCACACGGTGCTTATTCCCAAAGCTCCCTAAAATCTGGCTTCAAAATTCAGCATATGATTGAACTGCTTTCTCAAAAGACTTCTTATAATTGTTAAATTCAGGGACTTATCCTGTGTCTGAGTCCTCCAGGTGAATTCTGTAGTGGCCAACGTGCCCTCCAATGGAGTAACTCTACTCCCTTAGTCCTCGTGGTGAAAGCCCACTGTGCCCTTCTATCTAATAAGACAATGGTGACCATGTATCCTGTGTTTCTTCCACCTCTGGTCTCATGTGCAGTCTACTTTTTTCTCCAGCTTCTAAGCAAATTCAGAATGTGGAGCACACAAGGGCTCTGTCCTTGACCTCATTATCTCTTCTAGCTATAGGCTCTCTGAGGGGATCTCATCCAGACCCTTGACCTTAAATATAGTCTTTATGCTAATGATTCCCCAATCCAGATTTCTACTTGTGATCTCTCCTCGAACTCCAGAACTATTTATCCAATGCCCACTTGACATTAATAGAAGGACATCTAAAAGCCGTCTCCAATTTAAAATGGATAAAAAAGGAATCTTTATTTCTATCCCCCAAAGATCCTCCCTCAGTCTTCCTCCATCTTGGTAAATGGCATGTTTATCTACCTCGTTGCTCTCCTCAACCTTCACAGGAAATCCATCTTCCAGTTCTACTAATTCCTCTTCCAAAAACTATCCTGCATCTGTTCACTTCTCTTCATCACTATGATTACCTCCTTAGTTCGAGCCAGCATAATCTCTTGCCTGGAATACTGCAAGAGCATCTCTTCTCAGCTCCTTGTTTTCATTTTTGCTCATTATTCTGCAACATCTAGACTGCTATTTTAGAAATGTAAATCAGGTCATGTTCACACCACTGCCTGAAACCCTCCAATGGCTTCCCATTATAACCCTGGCTTACAAATCCTGCTGGCTTACAAACCCTGCACGATCCAGCCCACCTACGTTTTTTTATTCACAATCTCCTTTTTCTACTCTAGTTCACTACACCAGCCTTCGTTCTGTTATGGAGACACTCCTAGCTTGCCCCCACATTGGGGCCTCTGCACCATATGGTTCCTCTGTGTAGGGCAAATGCTCTTCGTCTCCTTGTTCAATGAGTGGCTCCTTGTCATTTACATTTCACTTAGCTATCACCTTCTCAGAAAGCTCCTTGCTACCTATCCAATCCAAGCTGCCACCCACCTACAAAGAGACCTTACCGCTGTTGAATGTGTTAATTATTTATCTGTTTATTTGTTGTCTAAGATCTGCTGTTTTTCACAGGTGTAGTTGTCATAAAGGAGGCACTCAGTAAGTATTTACAGGTGGGAAGAATGGAAGGAAGAGGAGAAGGAAGAAAGGAAGGGAAGGATGGAGAAAAGAAAGAAGGAAGGAAGGGAGGAAGAAAGGGGGAAAGAAGAAAAAACAGGCACTTGAAAAGCCTTGCTTCATTCATTGGGTTCTTTTTCCTAGTGCTCTTCTCTGTACCAATTCCATTTTAATCCATTTCTGTAGTCTTTTTCTACCTCAGCTCACTTCTTGTCCTGCCCCTCTGCAGCTGATAATGGAACAAGTTCTCATCCTGCTACCCAGGCAGCAAAGCCAACCACTAACTTCTTGCATCTTGTTTCCTGTCCTTTTAACCTCCTGTTTATTACTCTTGGAGCAATATGACTTGACTCCTTGCCTTTAAGGCCTGTGAACAAGGTGCTTCCAACCTTCTTGTCAAGTTTCATTTTTCACTAGTTTTTGACATGCCTGAGGCTATTTACATGCCCAAAATTTTCAGGAGAAAAAAAAAAAAAAGCTTTCTGCTTTTCTTTGCATATCCCTGGGGGAAAGCAAGGATGTTAGAGGAACTCTGTCTCCATTCTTGCCTTCTCTGCCTCACTTTTTCTACCTCAGAGTTTAGACGACACCCTGTAGTATGTTCTCAGGAAATACTTACAGAAGGAAGAAGTGAAAATAAAGGAAATACTTGTAGAATGAATGAAAGAATGCCCCAAAATCTAACCACTGGTATATTTTGTATCTTTAAATAACCAGCTCAAAGTTACTTTCATTTTAAAGTTTTCCCTGATCGCCTCACCTTGGTTTATATTCTTACTCCCTTCAATCTTCATAGCATTTCTTTTAGAATACAGATTTTTACCTGATATTTTAGCATTTTATGCAATTGTCTTGATGTCTCTACATGTTCTGAAAACAGGCACTGTCTCATACACCTGGAAGCCCCCTAGTCTTAATATTTAGTTCCTGTCTCTTAACACAATTCTTGTCCAAAGCAATAGCTGAATATCGACTTCTGAGTTTTAGTTCAAGGACTAAAATACTTGCAGAGGAAATCACAAAGTTCCTGCTGATTACAGGTTTATAGAACATCCACTGTAAACATTAACTCAGGGTATGCTGCTGCTCCGTCAACTAATCTCTCAGAATTTCATTTTCTTTATAAATGGGGCTAATAATATTTATCTAATAGGGGGACTCAGAGGATTCTTTAATTAATGATGAAACACATTCCAAGATCCTCAGAGGAAATAAGAAGATAAACATTATTATATCTCTTATTACTGCAGATAGCAGTTATTAAACTCCCCCATAAACAGGAACCAAGAAAAATTTCAGGCCAAACTAATAGTTTAATAAGAAGCAGCCAGGGGCTACTACAGTTGAGCTAACGTAAACACTTTGGCAGAAATTAATCCCTTCTTTAGTTGTTATTAATACTGGACAAGAAGAGTTCTCAGGGTCTCAGTTTCGTCACCTGTGTAATGGAGACATTGGACAAGGTGACCTCAAAGGTGTCTTCTAGCTTCAATATTCTCAGCGAATCTCTGATCTTATTAACATCTCAAATCTGCAACTAATTGACTGGTTCTACATGTTTTAATATGATTGTGTGCCACTATCACTGCTTTCTCCCAAGGATTCAATTTTACCCAAAGAGTTGAAGGACCAGTGTAGATTTTCAAAGAATCATTAGGAGGTAGGATGCTGTATAACATTTTTCAGAGAGCTTGAATATGTAAATTTAAGTTTTTGAGTCTTGGTGTCCCAGAAAATTTTTTGGCATAGGGTAGAGAAATAATCAGGAAATATCCATGTGTACTCTACTACCTCATTTGCTAATCAGAGTTTCTTGCAAATAGAAATTAGTGTTTCTCATTTGTATGTCCCCTGTGGCTCAAGGTAATAATGTTTATCAAGGTTCCCTAGGAACACTGCAGAGCCTTAGGGATCAATTGGCCCTGGTAAAGTAAGGCCGCTCAATGAGGATGGTAGGCATTTAGCAACAAATCAAAGTTAGTACTTTTTTCTTTTTTTTGGAGAATGCTTGTGGAATGGATATTCTGAAATGTCCTGTTGAACTGTGAGAGACGCTCCCAGAGATTGTTAAAAAATTCCGTCCTTGGTTCATTATACCTGATGTGAGTTCAAAATGGTCTTGAAATATCAGAACCACTGGAGTGTAGTGCTTTATAGCTCACTCTTTGATCTCCAGTTCAACATTGTTCTCAGAAGGTGTGCCCAGGTATCCTGAGGATTTATCATGCTGTCTTTCTTTTTTTAACTTATTGTGGTGAAAAATATCCAACGTAAATTTACTCCCTTAACAATTTTAAGCATACAGTACAGCCTTGTTAACTCTATGCACATTGCTGTACAGATCTCTAGAACTTTCCATCTTGCATGACTAAAAGGCTCTATGCATTGAACAACTCATTTCCCTTTTCCCCAACCTCCTGGCAACTACCATTTGACTGTCTCTATGAGTTTGACTACTTTACATAACTCATATAAGTGGAATTATGCAGTATTTGTCTTTTTGTGATTTGCTTATATCACTTAGAATAATGCCCTCAAGATTTATCTATGTTGTGGTATATGCTGACTTTTAAAACACACAGCTTTTGTCCACAAAATCCTTATTTCTATTGCGTCTGGTTGATAGCCTGTTAATTCCTGGGAGGAAGAGAAACTTCCTGAAACACTGGAAAAAAAGAGTTAATAGGTCAATACCAGAATTTTTATTCCATAGTTCATAAAACAAGCTTTAAGGGTCCAAGAAGTTCTTTAAAGAGATCTAACTATCTGGACATATCAGAATGACAAGATAATATTAACTTGTTTTTTTAAGTTCTTGGGTCACAGTAAAGTGATATTGCAAAAAAAAAAAAAAAGCAAACAAAAGAACGGCCTCCTTTTGTTCAACAGAGACATATTTTCAGTAGCAGAAACTAATTTTTAGCTTCAGTATTACATGTAGAAAAGAAACATCTTCCAGTGATCATGAGGTGGTCTGGTGTCTGATTCCATGAGAATTTTGTGCCTATTGATACCCTAGTATTAATACAACAGATACAATAAAAATGAATTTAGTTATACCTGTAAACATGGAATACTTCTGAGTTCACAGTACATCCTTACCCTTTTCTCACAGAAACTTCAGAAGGATAAATGGAATGATTTTTAGAATAAGGTTTAATACTGGCTTTAGCATTTAGGCTTTGAATCACCTATCTGAGCCTCGGTTTCCCCAGATGTCTCTTCTGTCTCCCAGCATTGCAGGGGAAATGAGGTGTGACTAAATAAGATTATGTAGGCCATGGTTTTGATCTAGTAGAGTTACTGCCCTACAAATAAACACCTCGCCCTGACTATTTCTCATACTTCAAATGCCAGTGCTTCCAGTTGTTCTAAAATTTAGTCCTCTGCTAGAAGACGTACTGTTACAGTAGTCCCCCCTTAGCCCTGGGGGGTATGTTCGAAGACCCTCAGCATATGCCTGAAACTGTGGATAGTACCAAATCCTATATATGCTATGTTTTTTTCTGTACATATATAACTATGAGAAAGTATAATATGTACATTAGGCACAGTAAGAGATTAACAACAAGAACTAAGAATAAAATACAACAATTATAACAATAAACCAAAATCACTCCTCTTGTACCTTTGGGTCATTATTAAGAAATATAAGGGTTCCTTGAACATAAGCACCTCAACACCAAAACAACGAATCTGAAAATCAAGGCGGCTACCAAGTGACTCACACCAGGGGAGGGAAGACAGTGTGGAGACGCTGGACAAAGAGATGATTCATGTCCCTCGTGGGACTGAATGGGATGGTGCCAGATTTCACTGCAATATTCAGAACAGTGGGAAACTTAAAACGTATGCATTGTTTATTTCTGGAATTTTCCATTTAATATTTTCAAGCTATAGTTGGCTGTGGGTAACTGAAACCAAAAAAGTGAAAGAGCAGATAATGGGGGATGGTATTAATGGGTTAAACATAGAAAAGAGATAAATTAGGAGCTATTTGCTTATGAGTTACTTCTTTATTGACAATAAGATTAATGGCTCCCAATTTTTTAGCACCTCTTAGGCCTGTCTTTTTTGTTGTTATTGTTGTTTGTTTGTTTTTAGATCTACATTAGAGCTGGGCTTTACATAATTCTCTCCATCCAAAAAAATTTCCTTTATACAGTCAGTTCCTCTAGCGCTTTTAAATATGATGCAATTTCTCATATTTTTGTTTCCCTACAAGTTTTTAAGAAGACAGTGATGGGTACATTGTGGTGCATATTTGTATCTCACACAACTTTGAAAGGAAATACAAATTAAGCCAGTCTGACCTCCCGTGCAAGTCAGTTCCATGTTTCCTGGTCCCACCAAAAAAAAAAAAAAAAAAAAAAAAAAGTTATAAAACCTGAACTATTGTGAATTCCTACAGGATTTAAAATGTGACATTTACATTAACCATAATTACATTACCTGGTTACACATTCTGGTGCCTGACTTATTCTTTTGGCCAAAAATGGTAACAATCAGCCAGTCACTAGAGTCCTTTCTACTCCTCCAAGGCCTCCACCTTGGCCCAGAGTCAGGTATCCGAGACACATAAAAACTCACGGATGTTCTTCCAGCCTCCTGTTTCCAAGGTTTCTGGAACAGGTGGTCATTAATGCAAATTTATGGGCCATTACAGAATCTAAAAAAATATGTCATCGTTGAATAAAATCCATAAGCTCTTCACACTTGGTTTTTAATTACCAAATATGTAAAATAGGAAAGTTATAGATTTAGCTGTACTGGCTTCTAGAAAAGGTACTGAACTAAACATTCTTTGACACCCTGCCCCACCCCCCCAAAAAAAACCCACCTCCTGAAGGGGGGCAATTGCTTTGGTAAAAATTTAGATTTCCTCTATTTAAACAAGTTGTATAAAAATCTAAAGCAATCACTGTCTCAAAGAGGGTGTGTTGTTACTATTTCTGTCAGTGCCAGTGTGTGACGTGGCAGGCGACCATGAAAGCACTGCTCCGTGTTCTGGGGTGTGCGCACGTGCCATGGCATTGCAGGACATGTCTCTCCTGCTCGTTTCCTTAAGGAGTGGGTTAGACTGAAAGAAAGCAAATAGTTTGGAGTACCATTAGTCCTTGTTTAAATTTAAAGTGAGAACTAAGCTAAACATGGTCATATGAAAGGAATACTTTTTAGGAATGAATGGGTTAGTCAGTACATGAGAAGTAGATTTTAAAGAAGCTATTGCTATATCTTGGTTAAGAAACATGTCTGCAACAGAGATCTTTGCTTTCTTAGAAAATATATTTTTCGGTGTTGTTTTAAAGGATTCTCTATTCACCACAGCTAACACTTCTCCTGTCTTCTCTCTCAACATGGTCGGCTCTTGTTGGTTTACAATAGATAAATAGAGTTGCGATTTGGACCTTTGGGATTTTTCTTTTTCTTTTTCTTTTTTGATCAGAATAAAAGAGTCGAAAAACTTTTTAAAAATTTTTATTAAAACGAAGCTTCAGTTATTCACATAGTCACAAGCAGACATTTTTTTTGTGTTTTCATTTTAATAGCCAGGTCATTTTGTTTTTATTTTATTTTATTAAATAAAGTCTATTATTTCCTCTGACATTTATTTTTCTGACCCCAAGATTAGGAAAAACTGATCATAGGAAAAGATCATTTGCTATCACTCTGCTTAGCTTGCATTTTAATGATAAGAAAGCCATTTTCCGAGATCTCTTTCAGGCTGAAAATGTTTCGCCCAATTTGTGTGAATTTTTAATAACAGCAAAATAAGCAAACCCTCTGATGACAACATTTAGCATTGATTTTTAATAACCTCATGCCTTTTAAGTTGCCCTTTGTATCTTGTTGGTGGGCAAAAACCTTTCTATAGAAAATTAATCAGAAAATAAAAATTTATTTCTGATGCCTTCCTTATTCTTGGGGTTTATGAGAGGCGATGACACGGACTGCCAAATGTTTCTGAACTTGCTTCTTCAGAAACAGTGCCAAGGCCAACAGCCAATAGGATCGTTTTTAATTTTCTGCTTAGTAATATTTCCTCTCTCTTCATGGTTGGATTCTCCTTGGCTTCACAGCGGGGAGCTGTCTCTACAAATAGCCCTTGTGATTGACTACACCAGCCCAAGGGTCCCTGAGATTGTCTGTTGGGTCAACATAATGATGTGAACACGGCAGTGTTTATTATTTTCTCACTCAACAAATTAATGAAACTTTGCAGAACATCTAGTATACACCAAACCTTGTGCTAGGCTCTAGGGGTCTAGTAGTGAACAATTCAGCCAAAGTCTTAGCAACATGGCTATGGAGACACAGCTAGGCTTCTGTACATTCTTTTTAATGTAGCTACGTGCTACCTTATGTGCCAGGCAATGTCCAGAAGAATCTCCCTGTCTCCCTTCCCCCAAGCCTGACCCTTTCTGGCTTCAGACTCTTCACCTGAAAAATGAGTAAATAACACCTTCCTCATTGTCTTGTTGGAAAGATTGAAGTGAAAGATGCTTATTATGATGTCTGGCACAGAGTACACTCATACATGTTACCTATTCTTACTGTCATCTCCAATAATGGTAAGAGTTCAAAAAATAATATTTATTATCTGCTATGCATTTATACGCTAGGCTGTATGCTGAACACTTTTAGGTACATTTTTTGCAACACTCTCAACAATCCTCTGAGATGAGTCTGATCATTTAGGTCAAGGGAATTTAAGTAGTTAGCCAAGGGATGCCCAGCTACTGAGACTGATGGGTTTTGTTCTGAGGAGATACCCTTCTTGGATTAGATGATCATTAGTGGCTCCTGGCTTGATGGTCCAGGTATCACTTGGAGAATGCTAGAGTGTGAGGAGAGTGTCTCTGGCACACGTGTCAGGAGTCAAGGATGGGACTGATGGGACTGTTCATGGCCAAGTCCATAATCTTAACACCAATGGTGGGGAGGGTCCTCAGATTGTCCCAGTTAGATCTGTTCTTCTCCCATTTCTTTGTGTGAGATCCACTGTGGGGCTGGGTGGAGGTCATGGGAAAGCCCTCCCCTGGGCACAGGGAATCCAGCCATGTGACCTGGAGCAGGACTTGGGCATTTCTAGTCACCAGTTTTCTCACACATAAAATAAGAAGAGCAGTTCCAGAATTCCTTTTCTCTAGATAAGGAAGGGAAGGTACTGAGTGTTTTCAGTCTTTACATATGGTAACTTGTTTAAATCTTCCAGTGACCCCATGAGGAAAAAGTATGGTTTTACCATTAAAAAAACGGAGGTTCAGACAAACTAAATAATCTGCCCCAAATTGTCTAGCCACTCAGAGGCAAAATCAGCCCACGAATCTGTCTGCCCAACTCCAAATCTCAAGTTCTTTTCCTGCTACCACACCATCCCTGGCTTCCTGTTCATTTCCCACTGATAGTAACTTGGGCATCTTCTCTCTCACACAAAAGGTCATAGAATATCTGTCACCAAATGTATCCTGAAACAGATCCCATCCAGTCTTGGAGGCCTTCTGTGAAAGTGTTGATTTTCAAGTGAGTTGGGATGAAGAGTCATGCTTTTCTGTTTGTGAGTTACTGTCATCTTTTTTATTCAAGTCTTTTAACCTGGATTATCCCAGCACTCTTTTTATCTCTGCTTTTCACATGGCAGTGGAACTGCAAGGTTGCACAGGTCTGGTTGTTTGTAAGTCAATGAGGCTATCCTTCTAACCTTGTGTTATTGAGCAGGGGGAGATCACCCAACTGCAAACGTTTTTCATGCAGCAGTCTACCCTACCCTAAATACTTGCACAACCATACTCTTGTTGCTGGCATTTTTCCTGAAGTGGAGTTTGTAATTAAAATACTCCTTGGCTTCTGTAGTTTCTTTCCTATTCAGGCTACACGTTTCAAGTGGTTATTATGCTTAATACAGCTACTGCAAAATGGAAATTAAAATATTAATGGTTGGATGCCAAAATTGAAACAAACACCAATAAATATTCTCATGATATTTCTACATAAAATAGCCGTTGATAACCAGGCCCTCCAAGGTGTTGTGTGTGTGTTGGAAAGTAAGCTTACACCTCATCAAATTATTCCCTATCCTGCCTTTCTGAGATAATAAAAGAACAAGATTATTCCACCAAAGGCAAATAATATTAGAAACAATTAGGAAAAGTTAATGAAAGGAATAATTAAATGTATGTTAAATAACAATGTATCAAACACATCTGTGTTTGAGATGAATATCATTTCATGAGCATAATTCGGACTGATGTCAGCATGAATCTTCATTCTCCCAGATTCTCATCCAACTGCCAAAATATTTTTCCCCTGTGGGATTGTAAAATAAAGCATATTCCAGTTCCCACCAGATATGATAGTGTTTCACATTACCATATTTAGACTTTAGCATTCCAACAATACAGCAGGGAAACAATTCTTGAAACACTCCTCATTTTCAGCACATTCTGTGTAAGTAATCCCCATTGGCCAGCATTTATATCTGCCTGGTTACTCCTCCCACACTTGTTAACAGCACTTTGAAAAATCTCATTTTAAACTCATCTGTCTAGACTTTTTTTTTTTTTTTAAACCAAAGAGGATATATGTGTATTGGAGAGGGCATTCAACAAACCCCACTGGAGGATGGGATGGCTTCAGGCCATCGGTCTTTCCAGGAGTGGAGAATATTCTTTAGGCCTATGTGTACGTGTGTGGTGAAAATAAAAGCTTCTTCATTTTCCAGGATGTTTTACTCTGGGATAACTTCACCTTCTGGGAAACAGTCTCCCCTGTTTAGACACCAAGGCTATATCACACTCCTTCTGCCTTATTATATTTTAAGTCTGTCATTTTAGCTGAAGACAAAAAAAAATCTCATGTAAAGGCATAAGATTTCTAAAATATAGTTTCTAGAATATCATTTCTAGAAATAGTTATTTTTCAGATGAGGTCCCCACTATGAAAAAACATCTTCTTCTTCATAAAGTTTCAATTTTTCTTGACATAACTAATGAAAAATAATAAATACATGTATTTGTGTTAAGGGTGAAAAATATATAAAGCACATTTCCAGTGTCCCCAAATCATAAGGGACCTCCTCATTTTTTCATAGCATTTCAGTGGTGTCAGAGGACCGAGAATGCTGCATTCTCTCAGAGTAGGTCAGTCCCTAAAGGATTACTCTGCATAAGTGTGTGTGCAGCAGGCATTAGAAAGAGAACTGTCTCCTCCTTGGTTCTAGATTCTATGTTTCTACAATGCAGCTTAAGTTGGCATTAGCTGTTTTGGCAATCTTGTCCCACGGAACAATTAATGAGCTTATAGTAAGAAAAAACTCCTAAGATGCTTTCATATCTGCTATGTGCTACCTGCAAAATATTTCTGGTTCCCTTCACTTGCAGGCATGTTGTTGGACTGTACTTCCTCACTCCTTGCAGTTGGACTACTGAGGAACTGAGAGTGAAATACCGTGTGTTAATTCCAGCCCAGTGCTTTTTCTTGCTGGTATGAGACTCTCCAGGGCTCTTTCATTGTTTTCTTTCTACCTCGGTGATTGGCAGTGTTCAAGATGGTGTCTACGTCATCAGCCTGGGTTCTAGAGTAACAGATATGGAGTCAGCAAAAGCCAGCATGGATGGACAGGTAGCTTGAGTGAGAAATAAACCTTTGTTCTGATATGCCACCAAGATCTCGGGGTTGTTTGTTACTGCTGCATCACCTAGCCTATCCAGACTGAAGTAAGAACAAAATCATTTTTAAAACAAAAAGATCACATTATAGAGTGGGGAACACAAACTCTATATGCATCTCATGGCTGTTACAGTAATAATTATTTCTTGAGTCATTAGCTTACTCCCCCACTGGCCTGTATGGCAACTTTGTGCAATTTAGAATAAATCCTGGCACCCAGGTGAATGTCCTAGTGGTCAGAGTGTGACCTGAACTTCAGGCCCAGTGTCCTTGGCTTGGCACCTTGTGCAATAATCCATTTAATTTAAAAGAGACAATAGTGTATCTGGTACGAATTTTTTAAGTGATTTTTTTCCTTCACGTGAAGTAAGGTTTACATAGATTACAGACACTAACGCTCTTCTTTTTGCTGCCTTCAAAATCACTGATTTCCTTTTATAGTACAAGGATTTGTGCAGTAGCTTTCTGTTTGAAAGGACTTTCTCATGAAATGGCTACAATTATAATTATAATTATATTTAACTGGCAATGCAGATGTGAGTATCACATGAGATAATGTATGAATAATGTTTTGTTGACTACAAAATCCTCTACACAGTGAGTTGTTAGTATCTCCTCTAATTAACACAATCTCTGGAGGTAGACACGCAGAGAATTCCACCATTTTACAGCTGAAGAAGTTTGATTCTGAGAGGTACAGTGACTTGCCTAGAACAATCAGTGGCTTGTAAAGCCAGGCTGGAGCCCATGTCTTGGGACTGCTGGTTCATGGCATCTTTCCTTGGGCCACGCAGGCTGGAGACAAGCCATTGTTTTCACAGAACTCTAGTCACTGAATGGCTCCAGGAGGCCTGGATGGTACAACCCTTTAGGCTTCCAGCTTCTTCAGCACCCTTGCCAATGTTGAGGGTATCATCCTTGCTGATTTATTTATTGTTTTTCTCAGCAGAGAAATTTGCAGGAGAGAAGTGATCTCCTTCAGAGAAAGGGCTACATTCCAGAAGGTTCATGGTGAAGATAAGAAACCGTCATGCAGTAAGAGGAGGCCACTGTGATGTATGTGTTTGTTTCTTTAGACCCAAGTATGAATTCAATAGCTGAATGAAGATGCTTAGAAAAGAGCCTCAGGTACCTTTTTTAAAAAATTGTATTTATGGGGTACAGTGTAATGTTTTAATACATGTACACATGGTGTATTGATAAAATCAGGGTAATCAGTTTATCCATCACCTTAAGCACTTATCGTTTCTTTGTGGAAATTCAAACATTCAAAATCCTCTCTTCTAGCTATTTTGAAAAACACAACATTGTTAGCTATAGCCATCCTAATGTGCAGCAGAGCACCAGGACTTAGTCCTCCTATCCAACTGTAACTCTGGGCCCGCTGACCAATCTCTCCCCATCCCTGCCCCCAGCACTTCTTTTTGTCTCACATTTTGCATCTTCATTTCTGAATCTGACTCTCACTAAGCAAAAATTATTTATGTATATAAACTTGCTCTAAGCTAAATCAATTTAAGTAAATATTTGATGAGTTTGCTTTACTGTGTGCTCTGTTGTGTTTTCCTCATAATGATGGTAAGAATTTGTTGGTCATCTCAGCAAAAATGCAGAGTGGCAGTGTGGTGTCACATTTGAGTGAGTGATGATGGTTAGCAGGAGGGCTGTGGAGAGGGAACCGTCACCCATGGGAAATCTGAATATAAATTAAAAGCAAAGGTGCATCACACAAATCAGAACATTATGAATTCACAGAATGTATGTAAGGCCAGACAGTGGGTAGTAGAAGAACTTGCCCACTGGAAACACAAATACAGCCAATTCTTATGTATGGTAATATGTTCTGTAAGGTCACTGCAAACACCAGATTAGTGAATACTGAACGATGCATTGGTCCTAGAGGAAATACAGATTTAGGCTCCTGCAAGCCTCTGGTCACGTTTTCATCAGCTGATTAATACACAGTCTTGTTTTATGTGTATTTCTATTTAAAGACTATACAGTTTATATATATATATATATATGTGTATACTTTACACACACACATATATATATACCTTACATATATCTATATTCTCTAAAGAGTATATATTCTTATATACAAGGGGTCTTCAAAATGTTCATGGAAATACATATTATTAAACACTGCGTGGATTTCAAAATTTTTTTGCACCAAAATAAACTTGTACTAACTTGTTATAATATGTCTGAATAGGATATAGTTTGAGGCACTAAGAAGGATAAGACATCAGTTTGAAAAAAGTCCGTATGAGAGTAATGTGAATTCTGCCAACATTGAAGAAAGAACAAATATCAAACTTATGGTAAAGCTTGGGTGGACGAAGGCTGAAATCCCTGATGTTTCACAAAACATTTTTGGGGATAATACTCCAAAGAAATCAGCAGTTCACAAATGCATAACTGGTTTTAAGAAGACATAAGATGATGTTGATGAAGCCCTCAGTAGCAGACCATCCACAAGGATTTTTGAGGAAAAAAATTAATCTTGCCCTCTTCATGCCCTAATTGAAGAGGGCCAATGATTAACAGGCAAAGAACAGCCGACACCCTAGACATCTCAACTGGTTCAGCTTACACAATTCTGACTGAAAAATTAAAGTTGGACAAACTTCCCACACTCCCTGGGTGCCAAAACCATTGTGTCCAGATGAGCTGCAGACCAGAGTAGAGCTTTCTATGGAAAATTTAAACAAGTGTGATCAGGATCCTGAAGCATTTCTCTGAAAAGCTGTAACAGGAGATGAAGCATGCCTTTACCAGTACGGTCCTGAAGACAAAGCACAATCAAAGCAATAGCTACCAAGAGGTGGCAGTCATTCAGTTTCAGCAGAGGTGGACCAGTCAAGAACAAAGGTCGTGCAACAGTTCTTAGGGATGCTCGAGGCATTTTGCTTGGTGACTTTCTGGAGGACTAAAGAATAATAACATCTGCTTATTATGAGGGTGTTTTGAGAAAGTTAGCCAAGCTTTAGCAGAAAAAATGCTCCAAAAACCTTCAACAGAGAGTCCTTCTCCACCAGGACAATGTTTCTGCTCATTCCTATCATCAAACAAGGGCAATTTTGCAACGGATTCCATGGGAAATTATCAGGCATCCATCCACCTTATGGTTCTGATTTGGGTCTTTCTGACTTCTTTTTGTTTCCTAATCTTAAATAATCTTTAAAGGGCACCCATTTTTCTTCACTTAATAATGTAAAAAAAATGCATGGACATGGTTTAATTCCCAGAACCCTCAGTTTATTAGGGATGGACTAAATGACTGGTATCATCAGTTACAAAAGTGTCTTGGCCTTGATGGAACTTATGTTGAGAAATAAAGTTTATATTTTATATTTTTATTTTAAATTCTATTTCCATGTACTTTTTGAAGTCCCCTTGTATATTTGATATATATATATATATATATATATATATTTAAAGATGATATACAAAAATAAAGACTCTGTCTGTATAATTCATTCCAACTGAACTCAGTCAACAGCACTATAACTCGTGCCTGAACAAAGCTTATCTAACACACATGTTTTCTGCACACAGCACAGTACAGCACAGTACAACATTGTTGTACTTAGGAACACGAGACAGCACTTCAGCCCTACACTTACGGACCATTTTAAACAGTGCCATTACCACAAAAACACATCAATGCAGAAACAATGGCACTAAATGGACCACAAAAAGGACACTTGTTGACAGTGTGACAGCCGAAACAAGAAGGCAGAGCTCTGCCTTGTTCAACCTCAGCTGAAACATGCATGTCTAGCACTGCTCTGTGCAAGTCAGCAAATGACCGTAAAAGCTCTGCAAATACAGATTTTGGGGTTACATATACATTTTAGTGAGTAGGTGAATTTGCAAATAGAGAATCCATGAATAATGAGGATCTGCTGTACTGGGGATTGCATCCTTGCTGTGCTACTTTTTAGTTTGTTGAAGCTACCCCAGCTATCTGAGCCTAAGTTTGCTCATGTGTAAGATGATAATGACAGTAACTGTGTTGTAGTGCGTGGAGGATTTATATGATAATGTGTGTGAGGTGTACAGTAGATATTTAATAAACGATGTTTGCATTTTTATCCTCATGGAGCTACGCAGGGAGGAAAAAACATCTTGGCAGAATAGCAAAGGAATGGCAGTGCCAGAAAAATCTGGTTTCAAATCCAAGTTCCATAACCAGGTAGCTATGTGATTTTAGGTATGTTATGTTTTGTGAGACTCAATTTTATGTCCTGTAAAATGAGCACAATGATATCGAACTCACAGCAATGTGTCTAGTGTGTAGATTAAATAGGAAAAGTGAGTGTTCTAGATTATAATGACCTCAAGGAAAGTCAGTTTCATTCTCTGCATCTTCATATTATTTCATTATCAAGTAGAATTTTTATCCAATTGATGGAGTATCTATAATGTTTTTAATAAAACAGGATATCCTTTCAATTTATCCAGAGTTTACATAACACATGAGATGGAGAATCAAAGGCAATTAGGTATTCATGGACACAAACATATACACTTCTTCTTTTTTCATGTTAAAAACTATTAAAAAACACTTTATGTAGCTTTGTGGTCATTTTTAAAAATAGGATTTGGGAATTACAGGGTAAATGAGAAGAGGAAATTATAGCCATTCTTCTTTAAAAGGTTCCCAAATTTACTTCATTTTAAGGGTTTCCTAGCATATTCAGTAAAGAAGAGTTAATCAGTTAGAGGGGCTATCTCTGAATTTGATGGAAGATGGGAGCTTTAACCTGGGTTAAAAAAAGCATCAGTGGCAATAACTAAGATGGTGAGGCATTGCTGCACTGATGCCAGGTCAGAATGCAGCTGAGCACAGGTGGAGAATAGATCACTGGTAATATGAGCTCAGAATGAACTGGACCTTCAGCCAGAGAATTAAGAAGCAGATGAAATGAAGGACTATTAGAAAATGTCTTATTTGAAAACTTTCTCTGTTAGATACTTCTTGATTTTAATTCATAGTCTAGTTACATAATATCTATTGAATAAGGAGATCCAGGCACAGGTGAGACATACATCTAGAATTTTCCTGGCTCATTCTATTAGATTTTCTTGGATGAATCTAACCAGGGAGCTGCCCTTCCAATACTAAGGATCATCCTAGTCTTGAGTCATCAATGCAGGTAAGGAAGAGTAATTAGAATACCCCACTAGAGCTGTCAGAAAACTAGAACTGATTTAAAATAGTGGCCAGCCCAGTCATTCCCTAATGTGTCTCTAGGATTAGTGACATGTTCTCCAGAAGCAAAAATAAGAAAGCCCTTCCTTACATCAAATCCTTGGATCTTTGCTTCCTACAAGATATAATCTGGGACTTCTCTCCAAATATTTTCCTGAGATCCAATGTTTTAGAGATCTAGATTTGTATTATAATTGGCACAACTCCAAACTCCTATAACATTTATGAACAATCTTTTATCACTCAATTTATTTTGAGAAGAACACATTTGACCCAAAACATGAATGAGGCTCAGGCTTACACTGACCATGACAAGTCTCCAAGCCTTTCACATGTTCATTAATCTTAATGGTAATGGATGAGAATTAATATCCCCATTTTGTTTGTGACAAAAACCTGGATATGAATAGATTAAGCCACTAGAATCGGGCAGAAAAACAGGATAGAAAAAACAAAAAAAAAACCCTATCACTAGACAAGGAAAACACATGGTCAAGAACTAGGAAGTTCTTGACTTTTAATTTAGATTGCTTCTGATTGATAGACTGTGGTGTTAATTCCTGATATAAATTAATGATATCCAATGGCTGTTTAATTAATGCAAATGAGCAAGTTTTTAATCATACCCTTGACTATTACCCAATTTAAATTTGTGCCTTCGAGCTTTATTTTAGGAGCTTTCCTCTTGTTAATCACAGTATCTTAAGTCTTGTTAGTCTGTACCAAAAAACTCTAATTTTTTTTCCAGAAAGATAAACTGAGAATTTAACAATCTGCTTTGCAGAAATCTTCAGTGAAGGCAAAAAGGAGTTCCAAGTCAAACACACAGGATTCAAACATGATTCTGTCATATGAGGTTAGTGTAAAAGTAAAACTGAAAAGCAATCATACTGCAGTATATACAAGTGAACAGAACAAGGTGTGAGCATAATGTGAGTGCGCTAACCCTTAATCTCAGGTAATGCCTTTTACATATGAGGTCTAAGCATTTTACAGTGATTTCTGATTTAAGTGTCAATTTCTATGAAAAATAAGTTGGCTTAGAGATGCTTTTTTCCCTCATGGTTGCAAGAAGGTAAATTTTGATAATTTTAGTTAGGGCAGTTTTATTAGTTTCATTTGCTTATTAGCTCCATTAGAAGACTGACATATCACTTACGTTAAAATGATTGGTTTACTTCTGGGAAAATATTCAGGAATCAATCTTTACACAAAGTCAGGACCATTTAAGTGGTGAATATTATATGATCCCACTCATCAGGGCAAGTCATTTAGCTGTTTATGGATATAGGTCTTTTAAAAACAAGACATTTCCATGGGGGTCATACAGAGAAACGCCTATAGAAATGGTAGTCACCAGATAATACTTGTTTTGAAAAAAATTGTTGGCTAAAGCCACCTTGTTGTTGCACAAATAATAAAAATTTAGGCTAAAGTCACCTTCCTGTACAACACAAAACTTTGGGTCCTAACCGATCTTCTTATAAATGTGCCCATAAGAGTCTGTTATGGCTTGAATTATGCCCTCCCCCTGCCCCAATTCATATGCTGAAATCCTAACTCCTAGTTTCCTAGAATGTGACCTGAATGTAATTAGGGTCAATGTGGACATAATTAGGTAGAAGGAGGCCATTACTTATTAGGGTATTATGGGCCCCCAATTCAACAAGACTAGTGTCCTATTGACATAGGAAATGTGGACACAGACACAAACATGGGAAGAATGCCATGTGAATATTCAGGTTATGCTGCCATAAACCAAGGAACTACCAATCACTAGAAGAGAGGCCTAGAACCGACCCCTACTACCTCTAGAGAGAGCATGCCCTTGTTGATGCCTTGATCTTGAACTTCTAGTTTCCAGGACTATGAGACAATAAGTTTCTGTTGTTTAAGCCCCTCTGTTTGTGGTACTTTATTACAGAGTCTAGCAAAGTATTACGGAGTCTTTTTGGAAAAAAAAATAGATCGGCTCTGTTTCTCTCTCCTTTGTTATCTATACCAATATTGAAGTGCTTTGGTTTTCAATGAATGCAAATGTAATTTCCATCCTGAACCTCCTCAGAAGAATGCTAATCCTGCCCTCTTCAGATCTGGTACCACAATCATACACTTCTCACTCTAGTAAGCAATACAGAAGATTTGAACAAGCTGGACTCCTATGATGAAGGGTGATGGTACTCATGTAGTTTGGAATGAAGAGGACTTGGAACGTATGTGAGAACAAGCCAGTGTTTTCTTGGCCCTGTGTCCAGGGAAGAGGGGTTGTGCTGGGCCTGTTTGTTTGGTGATAGTTTTCCATCTGTCATCTCCAGAATGGTAGGGGAAATTCATCTGACTGTTGATGTGATTGAACTCTTCTTTTTGTGGCTCTGCCTCATTGGTACAGAAATCTAGCTGTAAACTGGACCTACTCTGTTGATAACAAAATGTTGAGTTATCTTTTAGGTATTACAGAGCCCCAAACCAGAAGTCATGTGGTTCAGGCATGCGCAATGGAAAAAACTTTGACTTCTAATTAAACACCTGAAACCAATGAATCCTCCTCTTGGAACCAATAAGACTGGGACATCATCAGAACCTGAATGACAAACTTTTGGAAGCCAGGTATCCACTGACCCAGAAAATCAGGGTCTAAAATCTGCCTCAACATACCTTTCTGGAAATGGTAAAATTTAAAGTCTTCCAATCAGATCCTGCCAAGCCATCATTCCTTTCTCTTGCCTTCCGAAACGAGACCCCAAATCAGGGGAGGCAGATTTGTGTCTGCTCCTGTCTCCTTGCTGACCAATTTTGCTAACAAAGCCTTTATTTTCTTAAAAGTTGGTGTCACATAGTATTGGCTTCTGTGCACATCAGGGCAGTGAGCCCATTTGCTTGATAACATAACTGTAATGAGCACTGGCTTGGTGTGTCTTCCTTTTATATTAGAAATTATGTTCTAATATCTAGTGTTTCAAGTAAAAGTTTGTGAGTTCAGATAATGTGAAGAACTTCCCAGATCAATATGTTTCTAAGCCTGCCAAGCACAGAATGATGGGGAAAAGTTGGGTGTAAAGAGCCCCTAGTGTCTGGTACAGAGGCAGTGCCTCTTGTAACTGTCCCTACTACCCATGTGGGTACTAGCACTGAGTACCTAAAAAGTGCCAGGGCCCAGGGACAGGCCCTTGATAGTCAGGAAGTCCTCGCCTCCATTTTGTAAATGAGGAAATAGCAGATCAGGGTCAGATAACTAGAAAATGCTCTCATCAATTCTCCAAAGCCTGAGCTTTTACTCTCAGTATAATATCTATATCTCTGCTTGAAAAGCAGTCGACTCTTTTAAAGGGCATGTTATTGCCGTTGTGGTTACTCTATCACCCCCAAACATATTTGAAAAAGGAAGTTAAAGACACCAATACACAGTAATGCTTCTGACACATGTTAGCATATGTGAATCAATTCAGGCTATGAGGCTATTTATCATCTATATCATATCATTTTTTAAATGATCACATATTTTAGAAATCAGGAATTTTTTAAATACTATAGCGTTTCTCCAGGTGTCTTCCAGAGTAACCACCTTCATCAGAATAAACTGTGATGCTTATAAAAATACGAAGTCTAGAATTCTACCCCAGACCAACTGAATTGGAATAGGTTGAGAATGCCATGGAATCTGCATTTTTAAAGAGTATCCCAAGGTGATTCTTATGCAAAGTAAAGTTTGAGAGCCACTGCTGTAAAGGCTGGGGAATCAAAGGTCTCTCAGGAAAATCTTTGCCTCTGGCACACTGAGCTTCTAGATGTAGAACTTATGCCAAGCTGTGTTGTTACCAAGGGCTGCAGCAGGTGCAGAAGCCTGGGGGTACAGGACGGTCACCAAAAGGACACAACTTTTGCAAGGCCCACATCAGAAAGAGTTGCAAACTCTGTAAAAAACAATTTAACAAGTAGATTCGAGCTCACCTTAGAGCAGAGAGCTGTAGCTGCAGAATAACGGGGTGCACTGGGATTCTACAAGTCTTTGTCAAAGAAGTGATGTCTTGATAGCCCCAAACAAACCCTGCCATTTTTACCTCTTCCACCTCATGAAAGATTCAGCCTCAAGCAGTTGCTTCTGTATCACTTATCCAAAGTGGGCATTGGGTACAATGTGAATGGACAGTTTGATTTTGGTTTGTATGAAGTAAAGGAGCAGAACCAACTACCCATCTTTTAAATTATCTTGCAGCTATGCTGTCTGCCTTAAAATGCTTAACTTCTCCCATTTTACAGGAGGAAAAGGGCTCTCATAGTCAGAAGGGTTGCTTGATCTTATCAAGCAATTTCAGTTCACTGGAGTTTCACTTACAAAATAGCAGTTTCAGGAATCTCAGCAGCCCGAAATGAGAGCATTTTATGTGTCTATCACGTTCTCTGATAGAATACAAATCAGAGTTAAAATTCAATATAGAACCATTACCACATGCTTGTGTTTAAATTATGGAGTGAGAAAGAAATATTATCCCATATTTAAATAGCAACCACTGATAACCACTCATATTGGTGAAGTGCTATTGTGCCTGGCACTAACAAATATGTCTTTTACTCTCCACAACACCTCAAGGTAAGTTGTATCATGTCCCTTATACAGATAAGAAAATGAAGGCCTTGAGAGATTAAGTCATTTCTAGGATACAATGTAAGTTAATGCAGAGCTAAGATCAGAACTGGTGTCTCCTTGATGCCGAAGCCTGTGCTCTTAACCACTGATCCTACTTGCTTTATTTATGCTTCTTTTTAATGTTTCACAGGATACAGTAGACATGCTTTGTTCTGTTAGAGGGGATGATAGCAGTTTTTCATAGTTTGAGCTTGAATTTTTCCATTGAAGGCAGTGTTCAAAATTCCTGAACAATGATGAGACAGAATAACTAATAGGCTGTTGTAGTAGTTACATCACCCAACTGTCGCTGGGGCCGTATAGATGAATGGGATGCTGTCATGCCCTCTCAAAGAAAGATGCATTCCAGGATTCACCATGGGCTGCAATTAGCATATAGATTCCCATTTATTATTGTCTGTTTACTTCCTGTTTCAATCTCCTGCCATTTTGAAATGGGATATAAAGAGACAACATTCCATACAAATATGCCTGAGGTCATTGATTTAAGGCTCAGAAAGAGGTATAAGTTTTGAACATTATTGAACATAACAATATGCTCATGTTTACAAAAGTGTTGGTGTAGATAATACTAATAAAATAAAACACAGTGTTGGCTAATTTGAATTCTGTACTTACTGACATTGGGACCACATTGGTTTCCCACTTGTTATTCTGTCCCCTCATTCTACAAAGTGTGGATCACTGCATTCAATAGAAAAATTCAAACTCAGATTCTGAATTTGCAAAAGGTGATAATGGTAGTTTCTATTCTATATGGAGTGACTTTAATATCTGGTGTCTATAATGTGCACAGGGGCACTGCAGGGTACATACTGATATCTCCATTTTGTCGATGAGAAAACTGAGGCTTAGAGAGTTTAAGTAGTTTGATAAAGCTGGTTTGAGACCCAGATCTTCTGACTTTAAATCCCAATTCTTCAGCTTCTACATAAGGTTGTGTTTCTTAGAGGAGACCTCCCTGGGTCCTTATGAAGTGACCCTCAATTACAACAAAAGAGAAGACTTGAAACATTTTTGCTTTTCTCTCTGTTAAAGTTTATAGACTGTTTGGGCTGGAGTGGAGTAAAGGCTGGTCTTATCACAGTTTATGAACTGAGGCTTTTTAAAGTGGAGTCCTAGGGTTCTGACCACTATGTGTGAATGAGCCAGCTCCAGAGACCAGCTGGCAGAACAGAAGACGTGGAAGTGAATAACTAACTTTCAAAGACCAGATGCTGGTGTTCCCTGCCAGCTGAGGGGCCTGAACACTCTTGGAAGTCTTCTATGTGTCACATTTAGTCTCAGACTGGGATTCTCATATCAATTTGGTTAATTTAAAAAGGTAAGGTAAGAGACTAGGAATTAGTAAGAATGTGGACAACTTTTCAAAATTTATAATAATAACTGTTGATATTTACATAGTATTTTGCACAATGTGAAGTACTTTCTTGTGTGTATTTCATGGTGTAATACAAAACAAACCAACCAACAAAATCCCAACAAGATCTGAAGTTTATGACTTAGATTCAAGTCATGTTCTTCCTCAGTTTCCTTCTGTGTTAATGGGGAAAGTAAAATAATAACCATGTCACAGTGGAGGTAATTATGCGTTATTCTTACCTGATACCTTAGGAGAAGTCAACACTTTTGAAGGGGAGAACAAAACAAAAGATTTCTTAGCTTGCTTAGAGAGAAATGAATACAATGAGGAATGCAGTGCAGGAACTTACAAAGATAAAACAGTGACTTTAACAAGCATTAAGATACATTTGGAAAAGATTTGACCCTTTTTCACTCTTCCTACAGATTCATATCTGACATGTTTGTCTTTTATGACAAAGAATAGGAACTAACGTCTAAAAAACATATTTGAAATACGCAGCCTCATATCAGTGTGGTAAGGTGATAACACTTTTTGGGTTATTATGGAAATATTGATGGTTATTTTATATCTTACTATTAACGAAGTTAAATGTACCCCTTTTCTTTTTGATGTTTTCCAGATTAAGTCTAGGTTTGAAAGCAAAATAAAACTAAAATTTGTGCACAAAATGTAATATAAAAATAAGTGTCTATTTGTTCAAAAAGGGGATGCTTTTCCATAAAAAAGAGACAAAAATTCTTGAGGACAGATTTTTTTCCCTTCAATGTAATGAAATGTAATAAATTGGTGGTTAGTTTTGTAACTTTAAAGTCCTGGTAATTCTTATTGAAAGCTTGGATCCCTCCATGTAAATATGTCAGGACATATTTGTTGTTAAATATGTCTAGACATATGTCAGGATATTGCAATGTGTAAACTATGCTATTGTGCAAGTTATAGGGTCACTGAGCACTGAAGGAACATTGTTTTCACATTTTATTTCCTTTTGCTTCATATGTATATCATACATTTATTTACATAGCATATAGAAAAAAATTATACATAAGGAAATGATTATTTTAGGGCAAGTGTGTCTGCTCACAGTTATATGAATTGGGAAACCTGGACAGATAAAGCCCATGACAAAATCAGATTCTAGAATTCATAGAAGCAGATGATTGTAGAACTGATTGGTGATGTTGAGAAGCCCTTTATTTTCACAAGAAAAAAAAATGCAGCCAGTTAGAAGCTGGGAGTGGAACTGATTTTTATCAACCTAAAATACCACTCCAATTCACTGCACTAATCTGCTTACTTTGCATAATAGTTCATACTGTGAAAACTTTTCAACAATACAGTGAGGAAACTTTAGAAGTAATGAGTGTGCTGTGTGTCCATGCGTGAGCGTGTGTACGTGTGGACAAGTAGGAGCTGGAGAAGAAAGAACACTTGACAAATATTTTCCACTACCTGAAATTTTGCACATCTTTAAGAAAAGGGGCCAGGTTGAAATGTTTAAACAGTTATTCAGAATAGACTTCCTCCTTTTTCTTTAAGTGAAATGTCACACCTTAAATTGTGTCTTAGCCCAAGTGCTGAAAACAGTTTAATTAAGTGTATCTATTTCAATAAATTCCTTGGGAGAACAGACTACCAAAGGGCACAGAAAGAATGAGAGCATTAATTGCGTTTGAGATTAGTCCTATTGAATTGAATTCTCACACACTGATGCCCTTTGTTCTTAACCCATGAATAGTGGTTGTTTATATATTCAACTATTGATAAATTTACTATAAAACAGTTCTTCCATCAATACGGGAAGGTTAAATCTGAAAAAAAATTTCCAATCCATGTAAATAGATAGAGGGCCAACTTGAAAATAACCCAAAAGGAACATTGATGGCATATTTTATTTCATATAGTGTTTTGGGGAGAAATAGCTGGATTCTTTGCCTACCTAATAAAAACAACTTTAGGTAACTCCAGTTCAAATAAGATTTCTAATATATAATACCAAGATAAAAAAAGATAAAACTAAAGTACCTAATAAAAAATTCAATTTGTTGATATATTAATTAAATTCCCTACCTACCCAAGCCTGACTGAATCTGTCCCATGGGAGTGAAGTTGAAAGATGAATTTGCTAATTAATGGTAATACAGTGAATGACACAATTAGAACAAACTCACAAAAGAACGAACATCCCTTGGTGAGAGAGTCAGTACAACTGTACAGGGGAATTCTCCACATATGCACAAGCATTTGGAACAGAACAACTGAAGTTCTATTAAATTTGGTTTAACAGGGATAATGCCTGAGGTAACTTTATGGAGAAACATAAATCAAATATGAAATTATTACTGCAGGATTATCTTTATTCACAGTTAGATAACTTCAGTCCAAAACTCAAATCCTAAGAGACTGACAATATTTTTGGCTTTTCTAATCACAGATATTTGTGCAATTAAAGAATACTTATACCATCCTAACCCCTGTGAATAGAACAAAACAGATTTTCAGAAAATGTATATTGCCATATAACTCTTAAAAATATTTCACAGCTAAAGTTGGTAGTATTTATTCTGTCAAAAATGGCCACCATTCTTCCCTCACTGTACCATGATCCTTACAATGTAATTTGCAGCATCTCCATCAAGAAGTAAAGTCTATTTCTTTACTTCTGGAGGCTGGGATGATCCTGTGAATTGATCTAGCCAATGGAAGTGGTGGAAGTGATGTCATCCAATTCCAAATGTGGGTCTCAAGAGACCTCCACAGCTTCGGCTCAATCTAACCTTGCCACCATCATGTGGATGAGCCGGGGCTGGGATGCTGGAGGGTGACAAAACACATGGAACCGAGGCAAGTCCCATCCCAGGTGAGACCATCCTAGACCGGTGGCCCTCTGCCAACCCGAGAGCTACCCACAGGGGCATGAGGGAGCACAGTGGGGACTAGAAGAACCACCCAGCTGATTTAAGCCCCAAAAGCTGATCCCAAAAATTATGAACAAATAAATGGTTAGTTTTATTCTAAACCACTTTGTTTGGAGTACTTTGTTATGTAGCAAAAGCTAACTGACAGAAGCGTGCATAAAGTTCTTGGTTTTCTTTAAAATTTTACAAGACACTGTTTAAACTGCCCAATTGAGAACGATCACCTATAATTATAATGATTATTTTTGTTATTTTTATTGACCTTAGTCATGCTGTATCTTTCTAAACAAAGAAAACCTTTCAAGTTAGAGAGAGAAAGAGAAGAGAAGAGCACAGCTCCAATCCTGACTCCAGGACTTAGTATTTTTTGTTTGTTTGTTTGTTTGTTTTTTGAGACACAGTCTTGCTATGTCACCCAGGCTGGAGTGCAGTGGCATGATCTCAGCTCACTGCAACCTCTGCCTCCCGGGTTCAAGTGATTCTCCTGCCTCAGCCTCCCAGGTAGCTGGGATTACAGGCACCCGCCATCACGCTCGGCTAATTTTTGTATTTTTAGTAGAGACGGGGTTTCACCATGTTGGCCAGGCTGGTCTCAAACTCCTGACCTTGTGATCTGCCCACCTTGGCCTCCCAAAGTGCTGGGATGAAAGGCGTGAGCCACCGTGCCCGGCCCTAGTAGTTTTGACATTGACTTAATAGTTAACGTATCTGTGCCTTGATTTCCACACTTCTAAAATGGAGATAATGATAGTCCAGTTTGTAAAGTGTGTGAGGATTCACTGAAATAATACATATCATGCAATCAGCACATGTTTCCTCAAAGTGTGTTAGCTTATTATGATTACTTGAAGGGCTTCTAAGCTATTTAAACACCTTGAAGAATATGGCTGACATCAATGGACAAGGTTAAGATATGGGTGACAAGCAGCAGATACACTTTAAATAGTTAAGTGCAAATAGAACTATATATTTTTCCTGGTTTTAAACAATTTTAGACACCCAATAATTTTAAATGTTACATGCCCCCAGTGATTCCATGTCCTTTAGGTAATGCCTAGAACAGTTGGGAAATTTATTTACTTCACATAATTAACAATGATGATAATAATATTTGTATGTGGTATGTAATACAGATGTTACCCTGGAAACTAATGAGCTTCAGAGAAATGACTTTCCTAGATCCACATATCAGTGAGCAGTTCAACAAAGAAAAGAGTTAAGTACTCTTGGCTAGGGGTTGATTGCTTTAGCTGTCACAGACTACCATAGCAGGCCAAGCTTCTCATATATATTGATGAAAGAAAAGAAATCATGACTTGTTCAAAATAAAGATTGAGATGTTGAAAAAAAATAAGTTTGTTTGCTGGTACATCTCAGTATGGGACTAACAGGCCTATGATATTAATGTCAATTTTTACAAATAAGAAAACAGGTTTCCTACCATGTTTAGTCGATGGGCAGAACCCACCTTCCCAGGTTACAGAATTGGATATAAAAAAGGGTGCTAATAAAGTCCTCATTGATTTTTTTAGACAACGAGATGTGTGTAGGAGAGAATTTAATGTTCACTTCAAGACATCGTTAATTAGCCCCCTTAACCAAGAATTTGTGCACATCTCCTAGGTGTAAAATATAAAGAGCATATTGATAAATTTCTTACACATCCAATGTTTCACAGAATTATGTGCCATATTGGGCTAGACTCTTCTCCCCATTGTAAATTGCTCTCTGGAAATTGCATTGGCTTTTTCAGGAACTCTGTTGGTATATAATAGGGCCATGAGAATGACCGATTCTGAGCTTGTGGTCTTTAAGCCAAAGCTTAAGATGAATACTGGTTCCACAAGTTACTAACTCTTTAACTTTGGACAGACCACGTAAGCCTTCTCTCATTTAATTGCCTTGTCTGTAAATTGGTAATGATACTAATTCCTCTGTCCATGCACAGGTGCTATCAGTAGCACACTGAGTTTTTTTCTAGCTAACTTACTCCCTTCAAATGACTCCTCTTATCATCCTCTCACTCCAAATGTAAATATATACCTTAAATAAACTTATTTTTTATTACTCATAATTGACAAAAATAACCTTTGCTTTCTATGCTATGAGACAAAAGGTAAATGCATTTTTCTTTACGTTCTTATACTGACATAGTATTTTTGGATGGAGTCAAAGTTGAAAAGTTCCTGATACATAAATCTTCAGGCACTTAATCTTAGTTATTGTATCCAATAAATACCCTAATCAGTATCTTGCTACATAAATAAGCTCTTCTCAAAAGATTCATTTGTTATTTTAGGCAACTAAAGTATTATTTTAGGGCACAGAAGCAGCAAGATTACTAATATTTCTAGGCTGTGCAGAAAACAAAACAAAACAAAAAACAAAACCCCAAAACAAAAACCCAAACCCATGAGCCAAATGACAGTTTTGAATATAAGTACAGGATAGGAAGGAAAGTTGAACATCAGTGGTATTTTCAGCCACATTTAATGTCTCCACTGGCCTAGTCTTGTCTGTTTCAGCTACAGTAGACCAACACTCCCACACAGACGAAAGTGGTTGCTCCATAGAGTGAAAAAATTAACTGCGACGGTTTCTGATTTACAAGTGTAAACTCCCGTACTCACACGGAAATTTCTGACTCAATGAATAAAACAGTATTAAGCTGTAAAACATTTTAAAACTGTAATGTAGGATTTGTTTTATGCCCTGGTATTTGTAGTTAGAGCTTTTCCACTTGTGCTAAGGTATTTAGATTTTAAGTACCAAATAAATAAACATTTATTCATAATGTTTTTATTTTCTTTAAGTACTAAAGTAATTCTCTGCATGATTTCACATGCAAACATACAACTTTAAGATGAAAGCTTAGCTTTGTACTATTGGTGGTTATAAAATAATTTCTGCTCTCACAGTGTTTAACTCTGTGTTTTAAACAAATTCTAATTTACTCTGATTTTTACCTCCTGTTCTAATACAATTTCATGTATATATGACATATTCTTTACCTTAAATTATCTAATTCTAAGTAGTATTTACCTAAATTATGGGCAGTGCTGAGGAACAGTTATTTAAAATGTTAAACTTTTGCCAGGCACGGTGGCTTATGCCTGTAATCCCAGCACTTTCGGAGGCTGAGGCGGGTGGATCACCTGAGGTTAGGAGTTTGGAACCAGCCTGGCTAACATAGTGAAACCCCGTCTCTACTAAAAATACAAAAATTAGCTGGGCGTGGTGGCAGAAACCTGTAAT
Source organism: Homo sapiens (assembly GCF_000001405.40). Lineage (NCBI taxonomy): Eukaryota > Metazoa > Chordata > Mammalia > Primates > Hominidae > Homo > Homo sapiens. Next base: position 94,210,292 of record NC_000013.11, on the reverse strand, counting down.
CCCAGCTACTTGGGAGGCTGAGGCGGGAGAATCGCATGAACCTGGGAGGCAGAGGCTGCAGTGAGCTGAGATTGTGCCACTATACTCCAGCCTGGGTGGCACAGCGAGACTCTGTCTCAAAAAAAAAAAAAAAAATTAAACATACAGCTAGGCATGGTTGCTCATGCCTGTAATCCCAGCACTTTGTGAGACTAAGGAGGGAGGATTGCTTGATACCAGGAGTTTGAGACCAGCCTGTGAATCATGGCAAGATCCAATCTCTAAAAAAAATTTAAAAATTAGCCCAGCGTGGTGGCATGTGCCTGTGGTCCCAGCTACTCAGGAGGCTGAGGTGGGAAGATAGCTTGGGCCCTGGATGTTGAGGGGCTGTAGTGAGCTGTGTTCGTGCCACTGCATTCCAGCCTGGTTGACAGAGCAGGACCCCTTCTCAGTAAATAAATAAATTAATTAATTAATAAAAATTAAAAATTAAACTTACAGAAAAAATGGTACAATGAACACTCATTTAAGGTCACACACAGATCCAACAATTATGTAATCTTTAGTCATTTATTTTCTAACACTAAATTTCATAAAATGCATGACATTTATAAAGAGATTCTCTACAGTGATATTATCAGAACTGTGTATTACAGTTCATTTTTCTGGTATTGTCTTAAAAAAAGGGAAAACAATGGAAAAGAAAGTATAATTTTTCTTCTTCTGCCGTTTTCAAATGAGATGAGACCCGCAGTGAATTTTTCTTATCAAGCTATTTTTTTTATGGCGTATTTCTGCAGGAGCATTAAAGTGTACTCTGGTTGCAGATCAATATGACACTGACTAAATATAGATTTACTTATGAGGTAGACTGAAAGGAGCCATGTTGGACAAATGAGTAAATAATGTCTCTTTTAACAAGTTCATAATTATGTATTTTATTACATAAGCTCTTCCACAAATAGCTCCAGGGAACCATTACAAACCATGCCTAAATAATGCTCACTCTAACAACCAAACCAAGTACTAGAGGCAGCCACAAGACTGGAGAATACAGCCCTGGAAGGGAACAAACAACATGAGTCACATTATTGCCTTTTCTTCCTTCTTGAGAAAAAATGAGATTAAGAAAATCACTGTCTGCAGAGGCCAGGGAATCCTAAAGAAATTCATTTATCTTGGGATATTTGACAAGTGTTGTGCAGATGGGAAAGGGGAAATATTAATAAAATATTACACATACCTATTCTACAACTTTAAACATAATAGACAAATTAAATACAAATAATACATGTAATGAATATATATTATATATCAATTATGATGTTATCTTAATAAAATATTAAGCAATAAAAAATAGTTTTTTGTCTGTTTGTTTGTTTTTTTAGAGATAGGGTCTTGCTCCATCTCCCAGGCTGGAGTGCAGTAGCACGATCATAGCTCACAGCAGCCTTGAGCTCCTGGGCTCAAGCGATCCAGGGATCCTCCCGCTTCAGCGTCTCGAGTAGCTGGGAGCATCACCAGGCCCAGCTTGTTTTTTTTTTTTTTTTTTTTTTTTTTGGGAGATGGGAGTCTTGCTTTGCTGCCCACATTTGTCTCAAACTCAAGTGATCCTCCTGCCTTGGCCTCCCACCATCATGTTGGGATTACAGGTGGGAGCCCCTGTGTCTAGCGCTAAAGCAAAAGGAAAAGGAGAAAGAACAAAAAGGACAAATCCCTGCACTTTGGTTTCTAAACAGCCACCTCTCAGTGCTCTGTGCACGCTGGCCTCCCTGCATGGAGTTCTTTCTCCCTTCTTTTTCACCTTGAATTTCTATTTATTTTTTTAAAGACGTACATCAAATATCATCTCCTTCCAAAAGTTTTCCATAACTAATCTTGGCAGCCAGCTGTTCCTCCTTCTGAAAACTATAATAAGGGCTAACATTATGGAGTGCTTACTGATACACTAACTGCTTTATATGCTTTGTCTTATTTAGTTGTCAACAACACTCTGAAATAGGCACTTACGCCCACTTCAGACATGAAGAACCTGAGGTTTTAAGCCACTAGGTGCTTTACCCAAAAACACACTTTGTAAAAATGTTTGTTAGAGCCTTTTGCAGAAATATTTGAAATTATTTGTATACGCAAGAATGATGTCTTTTTCACACCAATTAACTGGCACCAAGCAGTTCCTCAATAAATGCTTATTGAATAAATGAATGCAACCTACAATGAATGTCCTCCTAGTAATGCCAGAAAAATGAACCAGTATGTAAAAACTACTAATCTCTATGGATTGGAGAGACATGTCATAAATTTTACGTTCTCTACAACACTTTGGGTCTCAGAGGTGCTGGTAATTTATCTCAAATGGGATCGTTCAAATAATAAATTGTAAAAATAATGTGAAGTTGGTGCAAAAATAATGTAAGGTTGGTGCAAAAGTAAATCGCAATTACTTTTGCACCAACATAATTCAGGCTTTCTGCTTACAGAAGAGCAAGTTGAAGCCCCTAAGAGAACAACAGTTTGCCCAGGGATATGTAATTGGTCAGCAGGGAAGCTGGAACTCCAACCCAAACCACCAGATTCCCAGCCCTGTGCTCCTTCCCCACAATCATGTATATTCCCACATCAGTTACTCTGTAACTAAGTTCTGCTGATGGTCATCACCTAAGGGGGAAAAAAAGAGTATTCATTCTAGAAAATTAAAGAAGCATTAATTAAGGAGCACATACATTCTATTCTTTGGAGATGATATCTATTGCCTTGTGAGCAAGCCAAATGCCACTTGTCATAGTCCACTTCATAGAAGTGACTGTATCTTGGAGTTTAACAGATATAAGTTGGAATCATTTACCAGCCATATACCTCAGGACAAGACACTTAACAGCCTATGAACCTCAGTTTCTTCCTTGTAAAATGGGAACGATTACATTTACTTCAGAGGGCTAGTGGGAAGATCGGAAATATGGGTTTGTTAAGATTTGCTTTCATTTTAATCCCCAAGGTTGCTAATTGTTTTTAAATGTACCCAGGATTTGTCTTAGTGCGGTATAGTAATGCATGCAGACATGGACGTGAATGCCATGAAGGAAGGAGCACAGATCTCTAGGAACAGGTATCTCAGACAGGGCCACATGGGTAAGCACCAGGGCTCTCAGGGAGGCAGGAAAGACAAGGAAAAAGCCTGGAAAAGCCTGTATTGTGGTTTTCTGGGGAAGAATGGACAAGATAGGGTAAGTTCAGTGAGCAAGCTTAAGGTTGGGTAATTTGAGTAACTTCAGTGGGTTCTAGCGGTGTCTCTAGTCATCTGTTACTTGGTCATGAGATGATTTAGGGTAAAGAAATACTGGCTTGGTGAGAGTTAGATAAAGGGGGTGACTGGAAGTATGGTTTCTGGACTGGTTGGTTTGCATACGAAAGGCAAATACACAGGCAAATTGTTTACTATCTTGTTTTTTATTTTCTTTTTTGAAACAGGGTCTCACGCTGTCACCCAGGTTGGAATGCAGTGGCGCGATCTCAGCTCATTGCAACCTCTGCCTTCTGGGCTCAAGTGATCCTCCCACCACAGCCTGCTGAGTAGCTGGACTACAGGTGCATTCCACTACACCCAGCTAATATTTCTATGTTTTGTAGAGATGGGCTCTCTCCATGTTGCCCAGGCTGGTCTCAAACTCCTGGACTCAAGCGATCTGCTCGCCTCAGCCTCCCAACACACTAGGATTACAGGTGTGAGCTGCCGTGCCTGGCTCTTATTTGCTATTTTTAGGAATTAGCTAGCCGTGGGAGAGGTAGTCTCTCCAGGATTAGCAAGGCCTCAACGTGTCAAAGCATCATGAAATATAATACCAAAAAAAACCCCTCCATAAGTAATATGCTAATCTTAATAGAAAATTAAACGAACACTACTGAAGACGGCTGCTGAGACTCCCGTTATTAAATAATGTGGTCTGCAGCATGTAGTGTGAATGTGGGACACATTTTTCATAGCATCCACTAGAGAGACACAGAGAGAATGAGAAAGAAAAAAGAGACACAAACAAGAACAACAAAAGAATAGAATATTCTCATTCACTTCTCATCTATTTCTTCTCATAGAAAAGCATTTCCAAGCACCATTTTCCTGATCGAGCTTTTCTATTTGTATGATTCAGTTTCCCATTATTTTATAAATATAAATTTCCAGGGAGCTTAAGAAGGATTAAGATTTGGATTGTGAAATGTTCTTGACAAACTCTAGGTCAGGGTTTCTCAACCTCAGCCCTATCGAAATTTGGGGCCTGATGAATCTTTGTCTGCTCTGTCCTTTGCTTTGGAGGTTTTGTAGCATGTTTGGCCCCTACCAACTAGATGCCAGCAGCACCCTACACACAAATGTGAGGATCAGTAATGTCTCCAGGCACTGCCAAACGTCTCTGATGGGCAAAATCAGTCCCAGTTGAAAACCAGTGTTCCAGATAACTCATGGTTTAGTTTAGCCGTGTTTTCATATAGCTCTTTATATTCAGGATCCTGAAAGCCATTTATCATTTACAGTTGAAATACTCTTTAATGAAAGAAAAGTGAACGTATTCTCCCTGCTCTCAAAAAAGAAAATGAAGTCACAAAGCATGGAGAGCTAAATGGCAAACTTAAGATGAGACTTAGAAGATGCCATCTGAAAGAACAATCACAAACTCCTGGTGGAATAGATTGAAATTTGTTCAGGTACATCTCTGCTTTGCAAGGCAGGACATAAACTTTCCCAAGCTGCTCTAGTTGTGCTTTGGTGAGGAGAGAAATAAAAGAGGCTTGGAAATTTTTCTAGGATCCTTCACCTGCTCTAACCTGGTAGAGGAAAGCTTCCCTAACAAATAGGCCTCTTGGTGTTTTTGCTTCTTATTTTCTTAAACAAGATAAACATCAAATAAACAGACAAACTCTAAGTTGACTCCTGTCAATACTGGCTGCAAAAATACACAAGAAACGTAATGACCATTTGAGATTTGCTATAATAAGATGGGCTAGATGTTCACAAATACAAAGACACATGCCTGGAGACCTCAAGTGCAACCTTAAGTCCCTTGATTTTTCTGTACTCCTGTTTGTTGGAATCTGATTAGCAGTGACTAAGAAACGGTGTAGGTAAAATTAGAGAACCAAATAGAAGCTCAAAAGAATAAACCAAATGCAGATAAGCATCAAGGAAGCACATATTTTTACAGGCAACAGATGCTTTTGGCACACGATAAAATGTTTTTATATCACATTACATATGTCTTCCTATTATTTGTGGTCACCAAATATTCATTCTTATCATGAAAAAGATTATTATTTGATTGATCCAGGGTTAAGAATATTGAATTTAAACTATGTCAGGTTTGAATTTTTAATTTATACCTTTTGTGTTCTTAGTTTATTAAGTTATGTTGTGGCTCATACATTGAGAAAAGTGTTTTCTAAGAGATAAATGTTTATTAAAGAAAGATTCATTGAATATACACATTGAAAATATAATGCTGAACAAGGCTGACTGAGTTCTATACGGTTGCTTATAGAAGTGAAGGATACAAAATTGGAATATGATTAATTCTAGTGACAGAATTTTAAAACCTTCTTTTCCAACCTGCTCATGTAGTGCAACCAGTAAAGGTACTGAATTTCACATTTGTCTGAGAAACAAATTTCACATGCAAGGCTTTTATAAGTTCAAATCTATGGGATGTATTGTTTCCATAACTATTGTATGTGTTGGTGATATTTCACAGAGCCATAAAAGAAGGTAAGCCTGAACTAATTAGAATAGTGATTGAAGAAAATACCTCCGTATTTTTATTACAGTGAAATACTCCCACTTCAAAATGGATTAAGTATGTGGTATATAGAGGAATGGTTTATTGATTTATGTATTTTGTTGTCACACTTTTGTAGGCGTTGGCTGGCATACTAAAGCAGTCACATCTTAAAGCTCTAAAATGTGGAAAATATATTCATTTCCCATTGTGTGGAATGCACATAATTCTTAGGCACTGCCCTGATTCTCTGGAGGATTAGGTACATTTTTATCCACACTTGTTTTTGGTTTAAACTGAGTAGCTACCCTTTTTGTTTATCAGCTTAAAGTATTTATGTATTACAGAAAGCTGGAATTTTGTATATAGAAGGATTTGAAGTTGCTTTTTGACTCTTTGTCCTCTTTTTTTATTTGAGATGTTGTTTAAATCTATCCCTTTCTAGAAAAGGAGAAATAAAAACCCAAAGCAATGATTTTCTTCAGTGCCTTGGGAAGTGTAAATTTATTGGATATTCCTTCAAAGTTATATGTTTAAACAATAAAGTAGGTAAACATATAGTAGTTTTGCTGAGACTTTTGGTGAAAATGACTGAGTGAATTCATCCCATCTCTGGTTCCAGATACACCAGTGACAGAAAAACTATAATACAAGAAAAATAAAAAGCCATAGAGATGAAGCAACAGAAAATATGAAAGAATAGTTATCAGACATGCAGTAAGGATTGGGAGGCTCCAACATGTATTTGATAGAATTCCCAGAAGAAACAATGGAGAAGATAGCAGAGAAGAAACGTACAGATTTAATAGTAGTTGAGAATTTTCGAAGTAAAGAAGAATCTGATTCCTGAGATTGAAAGTAATTGTGATGTTAGCCTCCCCAGTCCCAATAAACATAATGTAGAATAGAGACAGAAGTATTCTAATACTGTGTTGGAGGGACTGCCAACATAAGGTTTAAAATTAATGGGTATTGTCTTTCAAGTGAAAAGCCCTATAATAAATGCACTACCTTAATATTTATTATGGTGAATCTAAGGACAAAGAAGATTAAATATGACACATCATTTATTTTTTACAAACTCTGAAAAACAACAGAAAGTTATAATTTGAGATAATGTAATTGTGTAAAGCTTCTCATTGCTTTCCAGAACCAATATAAATGTATTCGTTCAGTGATTCTACTCACAATAATTATATATATAAGTTTTTCTTTGGAATTTTCATGGTTATTTTCTTTGATTTTACAGGATACATATAATCTAGTAAAACCTGGGTCAGTATTTTTTTTTAAAGGTAACAATACAAATTCTAGTTCTATAAATATAGGCCCTACTTTGAGCAATTGTAATTTCAAATGCCCCAAAAGTGATAGATTAAAAAGGTTTTATAGTTTTATAAATATAAGACTCACTAAATATAAGACTCACTATAAGTGAAATAATAATAAAACATAAGTGAGTCATATTTATAAAACTATAAAACCTTTTTAATCTATCACTTTTGGGGCATTTGAAATTACAATTGCTCAAAAAGAATAATCTGATCAAGGAATCTGGTGATTTTTCTCTAATGCTATCAGCCCAGAGGTGTTGAAAACAGGATTAAATTTTCTACCTTTCATGGAGAGTTCTAGTTTGATTTCCTATTGCACTAGAAAATGAACCATGTTCTTAGGGCCTTCGAAGGGGCCTCACACTTTTGGCCTTACCAGGCTCCTCCTCACCTACTCCCGGGCTCTGCTGACTTCACCTTCGTAAATACCATCCCATCCCTCTGAGGGGCCATTCTGAACAGATGTCTCCATCACCTAACCCACTTCCCCAGTTACTGACATCAAACATTTCTCAAGGTTCTAGCATTACCTTATCTAAACAACCCATACTTTTTCTTGCACTGATATGGTTCAGCTGTGTCTCCACCCAATCTCATCTTGAATTGTAGCTCCCATAATCGCCACATGTTGTGGGAGGGACCCGGTGGGAGATAATTGAATCATGGGGGCTGTTTCCCCCATACTGTTCTCTTGGTAGTGAATAAGTCTCACGAGATCTGATGGTTTTATAAGGCGTTTCCCTTTTCACTTGGCTCTCATTCTTTCTTGTCTGCCACCATGTAGGACATGCCTTTTGCCTTTCACCATGTTTGTGAGACTTCCCCAGCCGTGTGGAACTGTGAGTCCATTAAACCTCTTTTTCTTTATAAATAACCCAGTCTCAGGTATGTCTTTATCAGCAGCATGAGAACAGAGTACCACAAGCATCTTAGAGAACTTACACATCTTTTTATTTAGTGAAATATATCAATATGATTTCATTTAGTTCTTGATATGCTAAAACATGCAAAGGACTGTGGGCTGGAAACACTGAGAATTTACAAAGGATTTTAAGTTAGAATGGCCCCTGTTTTGCAGGAATTTATGATCCATTTGAGGAGTAAAGATAGGACATTAATTCATTTGAAGAAAACTAGAGCTACATGGCAATACATAAATGCCAGGGGAGTGAGAAAACTATTACCATTTCAGAACCCAGTATTCAGAGAATTATCAAGGTTTTTCTCCTATTTAGCATTTGCCATGTAGGCATCTTTTTTTTATTTTTTGAGATGGAGACTCACTCTGTTGCCCAGGCTGGAGCGCAGTGGCACAATCTCGGCTCACTGCAACCTCCACCTCCCAGGTTCAAGCGATTCTTCTGCCTCAGCCTCCTGAGTAGCTGGGACTACAGGCACCCGCCACCACGCCCAGCTAATTTTTGTATTTTTAGTAGAGATGGGGTTTCACCATATTGGCCAGGCTGGTCTCAAACTCCTGACCTTGTGATCGGCCTGCCTTCACCTCCAAAAGTGCTGGGATTACAGGTGTAAGCCACCATGCCCGGCCGCTATGTAGACATCTTAATGATGATTTTATTGATCAGCTGATGCTTATTATATGCTTCCAAATGCAAGTATTTAGGTGATCATGACATATATTTGTTAATTTTATCATAATTTATACCTCATAAGATCGGAAAAGTGAAAAAGAAGAGGCAATACATAAATAGTATTCCCCAAAGGTGTTAAGATATATATATTTTTTGGTGTGTGTTTTGTTTTCTGTATAATAGTGGCCTGGATCGTCAAGTTACCTCTAACATTAAGCATCCCAGTTTCAGGCACATACGGTTCCAGGCAGAGTTGTCTTCCTGTTTTTCGTTATTGACATCACAAGAGCGCTGGCTCTGTCTCCTCCCGCAGCGCCAATGTCAGCATATTCAGGAGGTGATTCATTTCTGTCACCTGCATCATAATCAGCCTCAGCATCCTATTGCCTAATGCATCACTGTCAGACCCCCTGACTTCTTGATATCTCTGTCCCTGTGAGAGGCCTGGAGATCAAATCACATCTGATAGCAAAACCCAAAGCCAGAACATTCTGTCTGAGGAAGTGAACCAGGAGGGGCACGTTTCAGTGTGCTAACTTCATGCAGCCTCCCTGACAGCCTTGATAATGTTACAGTTTTCCAAGGAGCATCTTCATTTACTTGATGTTAATCACTTTGTTAGGTCCTGCAACAGAATCAGTCAACTGCCAAGTGCTTCTGCCTTTTGCGCTGCCTGTTTCCTGGCATTACTGGGACCCCAGGCTTTATTGAAGCCCTGGTCATCCCACTTGGACTCCGCTCTCCTCTGACATCACCACCATGTGGTTCAAACCCAGTGTGGCCACTAATTTTGGCATTTGTCACTGACACAATAATACCTCAAAAAGCATTTCAACTTTGTTAGTCTTCAATTCCAAGCAATGCAAATAATCTCCTACACCTATACAAAGAATGCTGTAGGACATTAGCAAATCTGCCAACTCAAACATCTATTGAGTTAATTTTTCTCCAACCATGCAAACTATCATGTCCCTAAAGTCTTTTTTTATTCCTGCCATGTTGCTTAGCCTCTCTTTTCTCCACCATCACACTTTTATTTGAATAGAGACACCATTAAAATAGACTTCAGCTAGTTGAACTGAATACAAAGAAGATAGACTACCATTCCAAGCCTCTTCTTCCAACACAGTCTCCTCTATAATATGCAGATTTACTGTCCTGCATATGTTGAAAATGAAGCTCCACAGCCATTGGCAATAGGGCATGAACTCTGAGTTGCTAACAGATTTGAAAATAATTCTTTGTTACATATCCTCATGTGCTCTATACAGGACCCACACCTTACAAATGCCAGTCACTTGGCTGGTGTTAGAGATAGACCTAAAATACCTTGAAGTTAGCCAGCATATTATTTTAGAAATTCTTTTCCAACGCTTTAGCTCTCCATGACTTTGAAGTTTCCAGAGAGCAATTCCTGAAGAATGTTCAAAGTAAGGATCCTGGAAACATGTGGTTTTTTTTTTTTTTTTTAGACAGAGTTTTGCTCTTGTTGCCCAGGCTGGAGTGTAATGGTGCAATCTCAGCTCACTGTAACCTCTGCCTCCAGGGTTCAAGTGATTCTCCTGCCTCAGCCTCTCAAGTAACTGGGATTACAGGCATGCACCACCACACCCAGCTAAATTTGTATGTTCAGTAAAGACAGGGTTTCACCATATTGGTCAGGGTGGTCTGGAACTCCTGACCTCAGGTGAGCCACCTGCCCTGGCCTCCCAAAGTACTGGGATTACAGGTGTAAGCCACCACGCCTGACCTGGAATATTTTTAACACACGAGAAACTCTGCCTTCCAGTTTCTGTGTGTGGTCAAGGAGGGCAAATGAAGGAGAAAAAGGGGAGAGGAAGGGAACATTAATTGAGCACAGGTGCATTCTATCAACCAATAAGAGGTAGCATTTATTGAGGGCTTGCCATGAACCAAGCACTGTTCAGAATACTTCACATATATTGTCTACCCATTTAATCCTCAAACAACTCTATGAAAAAGAACTGCTTTAAAAAAGTCATCCCTGTTTGACAGATAAGGAAACACAGCAGAGTGTCCCAGTTAACAAGTGGTAGAGAAGGATGCAAGCCAAAGCACTGTGTTACCTTGCCCACCAGAAACCTCATCATCACTCCGTGGAGTGAATGTTATTGTTCCAAATTTACAGATGAGGAAACTGAAGCTCATAGGAATTGTGTGACTAAAGATGGGGAGGTGCAAGCAGCTGGTTATGCAGGCTAGTCTACCTCTTTTCATTCTGCCATACAATTCCAGGATGTAGAGATCCAAAAATGATGACAAGGCATTTTAACCCTAATCCAGAGAAGCTGAGTCAAGGTCAATTTAGCAAATTAACTAATAAAAAGAGTCAATGACTCAGCAATATATTTATATTTTGACTTTCCCATCTTTTCTCTCTGTCGTGAAGGAAAGATAAGGCAGATTTTAGCTAGGATATTAGGCCTAGTAAAGTTCTTCACAAACACGGGATGAAGTGCATAATGTGGTACTCCTTCCCAAATGTCTAATGTAGCTTCCAGCACAAAGGCTTTTCAACAAGCATGTGGCAAATGAGATTATAATGCCAACCTGGCATGCCATTGCCCTAAACTCTCCATGGTGGATTGGTTCTACTGGCTTGTCTGATTCATGAAAGAAATTTCCTGTGGGTCATTATCTCGAGGAAGTCCTCTGTCTGTCGGTGGTGGTGAATTTTAAGGCAGCTGTGCCATACGATGGAAAGAGAACAAAGATTTAATCTGAATTCACTCATGAAATACAGCTTCAGGGTGTGAATCCCAGCTCCGGCAGGGGGTTGAGCAAACAGCAACAATATCACTGTGGTTTTTCACTTAGGATGTGTAACTTGTCAGAGCAGTGAAATCTCTTATGAGATGTGTGTTAGGATGATGTTGTTCAGGCAGAAGGCTGTTCAACAGTACACTTCCCTAAAGACATTTTTCAATTACAGATGCATTGCAATCAGAGATGGAAAAAGGCTGGATGGGGTCACCAAGTTTATTTCATGTGGCAGAACGGACACAGCCTGAGATTTTGTTTCATCTAAAATATCTTCTAAAATCCAGCTTATATTATTTCATGTGGGAGGCTGGTTCATAATCTTACAATCCGAAGACTGTTTCCCACTAATATAACTTGAAATTTGACCTTATTTTCATTACTTTTTTCCAAGTGAGATCTGTTTGCTAATTTTACCAAATCATCTTCCTAGTTCGTTTCTTAGGATGAGAGAATGGTTATTCCTGTAATGGTCCTAAAAGATCACCTAGCCCAAGTTACTTATTCATAAAAAGAAAAACTAAGGCTCAGAGAGGCTGAATTAGAGCTTTTATCTGCTTTTCAATCCATTACCTGCATTAGGACTTTCACCTGTGTCTTTATTACCTTTTCATTATATACAACCTGTGACCACCATCTTATAGGTTGTGAGTCTAAGCTGTTAGATCTAGGATGAAATTTCTTTGTAATTATGGCAACAGAAAAAAAAGTACTTAACAGCTGAAACACCTGTTTGTATTTATTATGTTTTGGGAAATATAATTTGATCAGTGGGAAATATAATTTGATCAGTGCTACATGTCATGCTATATAACAATGGTTAGTATTTTATAGGGTACAATTAAAATCAAAACATTATTTTTCTTGCAAAGACATCTGCATAAAAAGCAACATTCTAAAAACAAGTCAACATTTAACATGCTAAACATTAGCTACAAATATTTGGCCTTCAGGGCATAGAGCTTTTTTTAACACTGCTAAAGTGTTACGTTTCTTGGTAAAATTGTTTATTCATTATTTTGATGCTAAATGTATATTTGTTGTGGGTGACAGAAAAACATTTACAGACTAGATGCATAATAGTAAGTTGCCAAAATACAGATACTATCTTTTGTTCTTAGTTATTGTTACGGGCTGAATTGTATCCCCCTAAAGAGGCACATGTTGAAGCTCTAATCCTCAATCTGACTGTATTTGGAGATAGGGCCTTCAGGGAGGCAATTAAAGTTATATGAGATCATAAGGGTGGGTTCCTAATTCAATAGAGCTGGCACTGTTATAAGAAGAGACACCAGAGAGCTCACTCTCTCTCTGCCACGTGAGGACACAGAGAGAAGACTGCTGTTTGCAAGTCAGGTGGAGAACCCTTCCCAGAAACTGAATTGGCCAGAACCTTGATCTTGGACTTCTGGTCTCTAGAATTATAATAAATGTCTGTTGTTTAAGACACCCAGTTTGTGGTATTTTGTTATAGCAGCCCTAGCAGGCTAATACCGTTATAGCTCCCCTTCTTAAAGGTGAGAACTTGATGATGCTTGGCAGGGAGTGGAGGTTATGTTAAAGTATGCAGCTTTTGACTAAGGTCTGGGTGTGTGGAGGAGCCCTAGCAAATTTACAGATGAGGGGGGATTTTCTCAATACTGTAGAGTTTCTCAGAGATGACAGTATTCCATGGAACTGGCCCCAAATCTCTCTATTCTTTCACCCCATTCCATCTTCCCTACAGTCCTAGCAGCCTTAGTAATTTCCTTTCTCCCTGTAGATTCATACATGAGGCCCAAAGAGAATGGTATCAATGTGTTAAAAAAAACCCACATTTTGACATCATTTGTTATAGAATGGTAGAAGCCAACAAATATATTTATTCCAGCAGAGATATTTATTCCATCATTGATAGGACATATTACCATGCATCTGACTAAATCCAGAAACAAATTAGCCAATATAACAGCCAATATAAGTGTCTCTTTTAAAAATATTTTGCATTTCCTACTTTGCATTTAATTGAGGTTAAAGTTCCAAACATGAAATTGAAGTTCCTTTTCCGTCAAATATGGTTGTGTGGCAGTTATGGGAAGAAATTGAAAATGAACCAAATAAAGGCATGTTTAAGAAACGCCTTATGGGGTTATGCCAACTCTCGTAACACCAAGTGGTTTTGACAAGCAGTCTGAAATCCACTAATCACTTGGGTAAAACTCTTCCGCTTGTTCCTGTTAGTTTCAACTCAAACAGCAATCTGACTTGACAGGTTTACTGTAGCCTTAAGGAGAAGTGGATGTAATGCAAGACACAGCCTTGAAGGTAAAAGGTCAGTGTTGAGAGTCTGAAACCACCCGGCATCTTAAAATGATATTTTCTGTTGTTACTTTTGGACATACTTCACTTGAAGACCCTTTAAAAACTTTAGTTTCTTGCTTGGAAGTCACAGATTAATGACAGTTAACATGAAGTTCAGCTACAATATAACATCTTTATATAGCATGCGCTTGGCTTTGTGGTTTTCAAAAGGAGGATGGCTTTGAAAACACAAATGTACAGCTTGATTTTTTTGCAGCCAAAATAAAAAATTTTAAAAAATTTCTTAGTTAAAAAAAATCCTCCCTCTTATAAGAGATATTCTTGTGCTGTAAACCCTAATTAAGAAAAAAAAAAAAAACTGAAAAGGTTATTCAAGTTAATTGTGGTATGCAGTATGGCCCGGCTTCCTCTGATAATGACAAAATCTATTTCACTAGTGACAAGTGTCTCAAAGGCCATCTATCTTTTGACTACAAAGAACATTGAGGGATGTCTATTTTAATATGTCATTATCAAAGAGAAATTTGTTCTCATAGCCCCAAGATGCTCCCAGCACACTGAGCAAACATTCTGAGCATGCAGTGGTTTTGGCTTTGGGCCATATCTCAGGAAAGCCCACACTTATTCCTGCTGAGTCTTCTTTTAACTATGGTACTGTGGGTTCCCCTTGGTCTTCCAAAGCTGAACCTTAGTCACCCGTAAACTACAGTCTTTATGTGAGTACCTTGGTATGGGCTCTTCCCCATGTTTCTCAGAACACGTGAGAAATGTCTGAATTGACTTCTGAGATGGTGGCTGATGCATTAGAGGCTGTGTGGCAGGAGCCACATTTGCACACCCCTAAGTCTCATAGCTCTTACTACATCTTCCAGGTATTGCACTGAGTTCTTTATTTGCATTATCTCATTTAATCCTCATGACAGTCCTATGGGGCAGAAACTTTAGCAACTCTGTTTTATGAATGAGGAAGCAGAGGATTTGTGAGTTAAGGAACAATCCCAAAGTCAGCGAGAATAATAATGTGAACATGCATGTACAAGCTGACTCCTATGTAAGGAAAATCAACTGTTTAGATATGGCACATGATTTGAAACAATCGATTTTATTATTTAAAACCATAATACATGCTTTTGTATGGAGTTTCAGGACTGCAAGCATCTCTGGTCCTCAATGGTTGCACTGAAGTATTCTTATAATCCAAGTGATGTCCTTGGAATTTCAAACCAATTTCCATGCCCACAATGGCTTCTTACTGGGGTTGGTTAAGGGGAAAGGTCTTATACAAGCCCTAACTAGGAAGAAACTGCTGGAAGAACAGGGAAGGAAGCAAAGGAGAGAGACCAGGGAGGCTTTAACTTCTTTGACATCTGCAGATCAGGTGCTTGTAACTGGACATGGGGACACCAGTACTTACCACTCTCTGTTCAAAAGAGACTTAAATAGAAGAGCAGTCACAAAGAAGGTAGGAAAACAGGCTTCTTATTTTGAAAAGAATAAAACTTCAGTGCTCAGTTCCAAAGGCCTTGTTTCTAGATACTTCTTTCTATAATACTTCTCATACTCCTCTTAGATTTGCCCTTGGTTATGTGTGTGTGTGTGGGAAGGGTACATATACACACATAAATACATACTCATATAAATATACTCATCTACAGATACACACACACAAACACACACACACATACACAGATACACAACACATGCTTCTGTATAGAGTTTCAGAACTACAAGCATCTCTGGTCCTCAATGGTTCAGTTAAAGTATTCTTTTTTTCATCTTTAAAATTTTTATTTTCATAAGTTTTTGGGGAACAGGTCATATTTGGTTACATGACTAAGTTCTTTAGTGGTGATTTGTGAGATTTTGATGCACACATCACCCCAGCAGTATACAATAAATACAATTTGTTGTTTTTTATCCCTCGCCACCTTCCCACCCTTTCCCTCCGAGTCTCCAAAGTCCACTGTATCATTCTTATGCCTTTGCATCCTCATAGCTTAGCCCCCACTTATGAGTGAGAACATACAATGTTTGGTTTTCCATTCCTGAGTTACTTCACTTAGAATAATAGTCTACAATCCCATCTAGATTGCTGTGAATGCCATTAACACACACATACAGACACATATGCAAAAACACACAGACATACACACATATGCATACATTGGAGTTGCCAGAAAAAAATGCAGGACACTCTGTTAAATTTGAATTTCAGATAAACACCACTCTCCACATTGTAATTATGTCCAGATATTGTATGGCACATACCTATCCCCAAAAACTTCTAGTTTATCTGAAATTCAAATTTAACTATATATCCTATACTTTTATTGGCTAAATCAGGCAACTTTAATAAATAAATATGTACATGTATGAGTATACATATACTGTACATATGCTACAAGTATATTTAAATCTATATAACTGTATCTGCAATGATATATAACACTCCCCAAATGAGATTAGCAACCTGTCCTTATATATGCCTGTTTACCCTAAATTTCCCATACATCAAAGTAATCATACTTGTCATTTCATCTTCAATATCTGTTTTTCCCACTATATCATAAGCTTCACAATGACTGCAGCTATTACAGACTTACCCCCAGCATAAAACATAGCAGATAAACTACAGAACACAGAATTAATGTGAAAGCCCACATCTAGAATTCCGCCAAAAGCTCAACCTCACTATTAAAAGCAGGGAGGACCTGTTCAACTGTGGACAAAAGCCAAAGTCAGCTGCTGAAAACCATGAAAGAGATAAGGGGTCTAGATTTAAAGAACTTTCACTGCATGACGACAATGATCATATGCATTTCAATGTCTTTATCTCAGTGATTTTCTTTGTAGTCGGGCTAGCCCACTGGGTAACAGCAATTTTGCACACGGGCATTTCTCCTATACCCCAAGCGACACTGCGAACCCTTCTGGCATGTCGCACGCTCACCACGTTCTGTTTTCGTATTCTGGCATGCCGCATGCTCACCAGGTTCTGTTTTCATATGCTACAGCACACTCGAAGAGCATCCCTTTGCCTCAAGTTCTGTTATTATGAGTGCCACTTAGAAATTTTTATTTTTGCCGAAACCATTCAAAGCAGAGGATAAAACACAGAGGTCAGGAATGGCGGCCCCCTCCCACTCCACATTACATTAGCGGCATTTGAAAATTACAGCCTCACCAGCTTGCAAAGGAAATACTACATTTTTCATCTTCGGTGACTCTGATTAAGTAACATTCACTTTGGACCGCTCCTATGGTGACATAGCTCCACTATAAAGGCCTCCTGGGTGGCATTCCGGTCATTAGAAACTATACAAACTATTAGGAAACAGTAGCAGATCTGCTAACCTTTCAAATTACAGTTTCCTCTCTAATTGTGGCAAAGAAGACTGAATTCATAATAGTTTTGAAGTTGGATAAAATAGATATATGTGGAAATACACACACACACACACACACACACACACACACACACGAGGAGTCTCACCGTTTCAAGTGTATTTCTTAGAATGTTTTCCCATAGAGCTCTTAGTCTAACTGTTCTGATCCCCAAAAATAAGGCTTCATTTTTGGTTTCAACAAATTCCCTGGGTCACCTCACATTAAACCATCATGTGTCTATAAACACAGGTTTCAGCAAACTGATGCCCACTGAACTTTAGTGTCTACATGTCTCTACCAGGGACCTGTACCACCAAATTGGGGCTCACCCACCACTTCATTGCCTGATATAAAAACTGAGTCCCCAGCAGAGGGCACAACTGAGGTGCGCAGTAATGTTCTCTGTGCTGTTGACCAGCCCTTCACATTCTCTCAGTTGCCCTTTCCCATGAGGCAGTTTTGGTTAGTACCTCATAATGGCTAAGGCAGGCTCTTTCTCTGCATACAAGTGTACATACATCACAACACCCCAACATATGTCAACATCACAAACATTTAGTCTGCTTGTCTTGAGCTCCTCATAGCATGGGAAATGCAGGCTCATATTTTACTGGCACGTTGACTAATCTTTAGGGGAGATCTGGCATATGTGGGAAGTGATTGACTACGTGGTACCCTTTCCCTTGAGCTAGTACTAACCCAGACCCCAGACATACTCTTGGCATTCCATCTTTCTGATGACATATAAAAATGAGGAGCCACACACTCTGGGCTATTATGGATTCCATGGTGCTTTTAGGAAGACCTGAGGCTTTATCCCCAATGTGGCAAAATGCCAGCTCAGAGAGTAAAGTTCCAAGTACTCAAAATCTTTCTATACTTTATAGATTGTTCTGTTATTTGCTGCAAAGATTAACTAGCATGAAGTAGGGAGCCATTTATCTGTTAACACATTTTTTTTTCTTCCAGAGTTGCCTGCATTTCAGCAGTGGATTTAAGCAACCTCTATGTAAAATATTGCAGCATGCTGAGGTAAGTAAATGCTATGGAAGATAAATTATTTGATGACCAAGTGGGTATTTTCCTATAAACTATTTTTTTTAATAAAAATCATAAAATTGTGAATTGTGAGAGATGAAGGTAGGAGTGAAATATGAGGATAGGTTTCATTTTTGTGCTAATGAGAGGTCTTCTCTTCAAGTATAAGAGGATATTTTTCATATGAATCCAGCACACAAGCTTCTTCTCTATACACCAGGAAACTTAGTTCATATGAGCATCATTTTGCTATTATCTGGGTTTGGCTCTCTAATGTTTTCCATAGCCACTCTATTTGTTACCTTCACCAGTTCCCCTTGGAGATGAAATTGAACATCTCTAACTCAGAAAAGGAGCTCCCCATGGGAAGATCCTCTGCCCTAGTCATTAATAGAAGAGACAGGAAAGGCTGGGGCTGGGAGGATTGGATTTATATAAATGGAAAGATAAGTCTCAATTTTTTTTTTTACTTCCTTCAAACTTGCCTCTACTATTATTTTTTTTTTTTTCCAGCTTAAGATATTTCTTGTTTCCTGCTTTAATCTAAGCTTTGTACAAATGATGACATACTGGAAAAAGAGGCCATTTCCAAGGACATCGCTCACTGTCCTGATGCCGTGCAGTGTACACTTACCGACTCAGCTCTCCAAAGATCCTCTTCTATCCCCATTCACATTTATTCCACACCTTGCCAATGCCTTCAACTCAAACTTGACACTGGCTCAAGACATTTAAAGCCAGTAATCCCTGAGCTACACTTAGCCAGCCCATGCTGCCAAAACTCCCATAAAATGTCTCAGAATCTCATGGAATACCAAGAAGATTTATATTCAGCCTTAACTTGGGCAATCTTCACCTAGCATTTCTAGTATCAACTCATTTCTTATGAAATGTTCAAGTCTGTCAGTGAAGGTGCAATATCATACATATGTATAAATAATGAGAGAGCTTCTTAGGTGCCACATGTAAAATCCAGTCTTGTTACTTCATCGTTGCAGCTTAAAGAAAGCTCTTTTGTCTCCTTCTTTGGGAAATAATCCAAAACTCATAGAAATTTATAAGAATGGTACAAAAACATTTGTATACTCTTTATCCAAAATCACCTATTGTTAACATTTTGCCTCATTTGTTTCTGCTGCTTGCTGTCACTCTCTCTCTTATATATATATGTGAGATAGTATACACATTACTACTTACATACTAATATGTACCACTTATATACTAATATGTATCACTTATACTACTGAAGAATAATATTTGAGAGTATATATATGAGAATGTATTCATATATGCTACTCATATGTTAACATATATAACTTTTGAGATAATTCTCACTATTTGAGAATTAGTTACACACATCGTGGCCTTTTACTCCTTAATACTTCAGGGTGTATTTCCTAGGAACAAGGATAACCTCTTACACACCCATACTGCAGTTATTAACTTTAGTAAATTGAACATTGATACAATACTTTTACGTAACCTACTGTCTGAATTCCAACTTTGTCAACTGACCCAGTCAAATCCTTTCAACCATTTTCTTTAGCCCAGGATGAAGACTAGGATCCTGTATTCCATTTCATTGCCATGTGTCCTCAGTGTCCCTCAATCTGGAGCAATTCCTTAGTCTTTCTTTGTCATCAACTAAAGTGATGGATCATTTGGTGTGCCAGGCAGTAGATCACATGCCTCAGCAGCCTGGAGAATGCTGCTGTATTTTCAGTAGGCAACACATATGAGATGATCATAATGTGGATGTCATTTCACTAGGAAAAAGTAAAATTTTTTCTGCATACTTTTTTTTTTTTTCAGAGTCTTGCTCTCTGGCTGGAGTGCGATGGCACGATCTTGGTTCACTGCAACCTCCGCCTCCCGGGTTCAAACAATTCTGCCTCAGCCTCCTGAGTAGCTGGGATTACAGGCACCCACCACCATGCCTGGCTAATTTTTGTATTTTTAGTAAAGACAGGGATGGCCATGATGGCCAGGCTGGTCTCGAACTCCTGGGCTCAGGTGATCTGCCCCCCTTGGCCTCCCAAAGTGTTGGGATTACAGGTGTGAGCCACTGCACCTGGCCTGCATACTTTTTTTTTTTTTTGAGACAGAGTCTTGCTCTGTCTCCCAGGCTGGGGTGCAGTGGCGTGATCTCGGATCACTGCAAGCTCCGCCTCCCAGTTTCAAGCGATTCTCCTGCCTCAGCCTCCTGAGTAGCTGGGACTACAGGCGCCCGCCACCACGCCTGGCCAATTTTTTGTATTTTTAGTAGAGACGGCGTTTCACCATGTTAGCCAGGATGGTCTTGATCTCCTGACCTTGTGATCTGCCCGCGTCGGTCTCCCAAAGTGTGGGGATTACAGGCGTAAGCCACCGCGCCTGGCTCTGCATACATTTTAATGAGAAGAGATGTTGGATCATGGAAAGATCTCCACAAAATGGAATGAATTTTTTAAGTTTTGATACTCTTTTAATTGTTTAATTTATCTGGAAAATTTACTCCTTCCTTGACATTGCAAGGAATGTGTGGATTGACATAACAATCTAGAGGTGTCCTATGTTCAGAATCTATCACCTGTTGCTAATTTACTTATACCCAACATCCACTGCTTTTTATCCAAATAAATTCCGTCCATCTTGCAATCTTTATGATGTCCAGTAAAGCAATAAGTGGTAGCAGTAAAGGGAACATCCCAGGGTGGGGAGCATGCCTCCCTCTCCTGTTCTCTTTCCAGGCTTGAAAGGCAGGAGGCACTACTCAGGAATACACAGTCCTCGTTTCTCAGCTGACAGGCTAAGGATCCCTCTGCTCTTATGTGAAACTCACATCTTTCTCTTCCTCCTCCTGTCCACCCCCAAAGCCCATTTTGTACAGAGGAGAGAAAGAATCTGTTCAGCACAATTAAACCACCTACACACAGACTTACCAAGCAGAAAACAAAGAATAAGGAAGAAAACATCCGCCACCACCTGAGAAATTGAGTAAGCAGTTTCCTGAATTTCTACCCGTTTTTCAGGGATAATGTCTCTTGAGGAAGCCACAGGTTAGAGCTTCTGGGTGATATAAGGTGAAGCCTTAGCAACACATATTAGGAATCCCTATAACAACAATGGGGAAAGGAAATGGTGGGGACGCTTATTATTCAGTGGCAAACTGGGGCTGCTTCTCCACAGCACTAGAAGAGAATAAAGCAACTATACGATTGAGGGGAGAGAGGATGGATTTGGAGTCAGACAGACTCCTTTGACGACTGACCAGATTGTGAGACTTTGAGGAAAGCTCTTCAGCAGCTTGAGTCTCAGTCTCTCTTTCTTTAGTATGAAGGAGCTCTGATAACAAATCGGTCACCAGCTATGGGATGGGGTGTGGTGCAAGTGCCTCTCCAGATACAGAGGTCCCTAAAGAAGGGGACAGAGGTGAGCAGCCAATCCTCAGAACAGCTGGAGGGTGGGGGATGGATATAGTCCCACAAAGGGATCTGGTGACACCTCACGGCATCCACCATGGCTCCCGTCTCCTTCCAAATCTGAATGATAAAACCTTATAGAATGCAGTGCTAGGTTCTTTGTAACTGAAATGATTTCACTTTCTTTTTTTCTTTATTCAACTTTAGTTCAAAGAAGTGACCACTCACATCACAGAACTCTCTGAGGCATGCTGGGCTAATTGACTCTATTGAGATATCCTTTGTTATGATAAAAATCTTCTATTCCCCTATACAGATGGTACCAGCCAAGAGGAAAGTCACTCGTGCCTGTGGTCAAGCTTCAGGCAATCCCAGTGACCTTGTGCTGCCTTAACTCACCCCTGTCTCCTGGGAAGAGGTGCAGAAGGGGAAAGTGCTTGGGCCTTCCTCTCAGTGACACCACTCCCCTCTTTGTGTCACTGCCTTGCTTTTGGGCTCAGCGTCATTAAAGCACTGCTGCACCTTAGTGCACACACTCCTTTCTAGGTCACTGAGACATGAAGTGAGTATCATTTGTAATATTCATACTTTTCTCTGTGAACTGGCAGGGGGATGGAGAAGGGCAAGAAAGTGGGAGCAGTGTCTGCTGGGAGGGTGGAGAATTAATTTGCATTAATTTCTCACCCTGTTAACTGGTGTGTCACTTCTCTACTCACACAGCCTCCAGTGTGGATTTAGCAATTACTTAGCTCAGCAGAGATAATGTACCCCATAAAATGGCAGAGACACTGGCCAGGGCTGGGCCCAGGAATTCAGTATGGATAATATTCTAATTCTGTATGACAAGGTAAGGCACAAACAAGTTAGCCATGTTTTTCTCTCAAAACTATATATATCTTACTAGGTATATCACAGTGTATTATATAGACATACCTATGTATGTTTATATATTTCCATAAAGTTTTCTTATCTTATTTTTGGTCTTTTCCTTTCCACTGGACTCTAAGCCTCATGAGGGTAAAGGTTTTGCCTATTTGTTCACTGTTGTAACTCCAGCACCTAGAACAATGTTTGCCCGATAGTGGACACTCTATAAGTATTTGTTGAATACCTAAATCCATATTAAGATCAACTCTTATGTTTGAATTAGTCTAGAAATTTGGGGGATGTTGGATTATATGTTCCATTTTTAAAACAAGATGTTTATAATCAAGTGACACGATTTTAAAAGAACATCATTTTAGTTGAGGTGCCAGTAAAATTCGTGAATGCTTTATGCTAAAAAAATATTGGGTTACGTGGCCTCTTACCTTCTGACTCATCGTTCTGCTTTCTTTTTCTTAGCTTTACCATAAATTTGAATCTGTAATTTCTGCTTTGATCAATTTGATGTATAAGGAGTGGAGCCAGTCAAATTTGGAAATAAAATTTCGAGGTTAGAATTCCAATTATGCCGGTGATTCACTGCATAAAACATACGAGCCTCAGTTTCCTGTAAGTGTTCATTTTGCTCCAAGCCTTCTTTTGAGGGAGGATACACACGTTGCCCAAGGCACCAAGAATAAAAACTTTCTTCCTGGGCTCTTTCCCTGTCATCAGTTTTCATCTGAAATAAAAGGAGATTGACTCCAGGATCTTCCAAGGCTGCTATTCCAAGAGCAGGTTCATAAAGGTGATTGTCAAGCTCCAGTGCAAATGCTAATAATCTGGAATTTTCCTTCAAACCATCTGCCTATGCAAAATACAACTGGGTCACACTGGAAAGGAGAGAGAGAGCTCTGATTCATATGAGAAATCAAGAATCGAACCTTCGTAAGTTCCATACTACAGAAACATAGCTAAGCATGCTCATTTTCTATTGGGATTCTGGCCTGCTATTTGAGTGTATGCAGAGGGCAGTATCCTAACTCTGGTATAATTCTACTAGTAGCTTGGTCTTCCAAAGCTTGCTCAAAGAAGATAGCATATTTAATCTACTAAATTATGTTTTAATCAAGATAGAACTCTATAAAAATAATTCTGCATGCATAAATATAGCCAACTCGTCATTTTTTTCTTTAAAGTGCCTGTGAGAATGTCCATGTCATTTTGACCACTTGAGGCTGGTAGGCTACTCTTTAATCCCCCACCAACATCGTAGCCAAGGGTTGAATTTTATGGTTTCAAAGAATCTGTTGCGGTGACCCTAAACCTTCTTATGTTATTTGTAAAATTGAGCAACCCATTAAATATCAATTTAGAAAAAAAATTAAGTACTTTGGAAAGACTGGGTGAAGTAGAATGGTTGAAAAATCTTGGTAAAGGTAAGACAATGATACGAAATTTAAAGAAGGAGGAAAATGGGACTCTGCTCTTGTTGGCTTGCAAGCATCTTTAAGTTCTTTTAGTTTTTCAAAAGCTAAAGGCAGAAATTATAGTTACTGCTTTGTGTTTTGTGCAAGAAAAATCATGCCGAAATCCAACTGGTAAACTCCTATTCCAATAATATGACCTCATATTAAAAGATTGCTGAGTAAATATGCATTGTGTTTCTCTATTTATATTTGTGAGTTAGACTACCCTTTACCTCTTTTCAGTTTTCTTCTGGAAAGGTCTATGTGAACATATATCTTAAAATAATTTCTCAGTAAGAAAACCTTTTTTTTTTTTTTTTTTTTGGAGACGGAGTCTCGCTCTGTCACCTAGGCTGGAGTGCAGTGGTGCGATCTCGGCTCACTGTAAGCTCCGCCTCCCGGGTTCATGCCATTCTCCTGCCTCAGCCTCCTGGGTAGCTGGGACTACAGGGGCCTGCCACCAAGCCCGGCTAATTTTTTGTATTTTTAGTAGAGACAGGGTTTCACCGTGTTAGCCAGGATGGTCTTGATCTCCTGACCTCGTGATCCGCCCACCTCAGCCTCCTGAAGTGCTAAAAACCTTTTTTTAAATAAACTCTTCAACTTTCAATCTCTCACAGTTGAATACTTCATCTTCAGCACTGAGCTCCACGCTGGGGATGCCAAGATGACCAAGTTATGTTTCCAAACACAAGAGATTCTCAGTGTGATAGAAGACCTCCTCATAGACTGCATCTAATGACCATATTCTTTTTTTTACATTGATGGTATCTTTTTATTCCTATATTGAAAATGTTTTTCAATGAGGTAAATTGTTCTATTATCCCCAATGGCTATATAAATGAGAAAACCAATATTTAGTAATATATATTCATATATATAATATATGAATTTCAAGATGACACAAACATAAAATAATGTGTCTATGTACACGTTGTCTATGTCATAAAGTTACCTGATTGAAAAGTTTGTAGACTTTCCACTACACTATGGTGATAACCCTAATGTGTGAAATGAAAGGATGATACCTAAAGGACTTTGAGCCCCACAGCAGGTAATCCAGAATGTTATTTTATGGTTGGTTGATTTTGTAGATGGCCAATGGCTTCTTTTTTTTTTTTTTTTTCAACTTTTATTTTGGAGTCCATGTGCAAGTTTGTCACATGGGTATACCGCACCCAGGTAGTAAGCATAGTATCCAATAGGTAGTTTTTTGACCCTATCCCCTTTCCTCCTTCCCCACTCTGCTAGTTCACAGTGTTTACTGTTCCCAGGTTTATGTCCATGGGTGCTCAATGTTTACCTCCCACATATAAGTGAGAACATACGGCATTTGGTTTTCTCTTCCTGTGTTAATTCATTTGGATTATGTCCTCCACCTCCATCTGTGTTGCTGCAAAGGACATGATTTCATTCTTTTTTATGGTTGCATAATATTTCATGGTATATATGTACCACACCTTCTTTATCCAGTCCATCACTGATGAGCACGTAGGTTGATTCTATGTATTTGCTATTATGAATAGTGCAGCAATGGACATATGAGTGTATGCATTTTTTTGATACAATGATCTATTTCACTTGGCATGTATACCCAGTAATTGAATTGCTGGGTCAAATGGTAGTTCTGTTTTAAATTTTTTTGGGAAAACTCCAAACTGCTTTCCACAAAGGCGGAAACAATTTACATTCCCACCGACAGTGTATAAGTGCTTCCTTTTCTCTGCAGCCCAATCGGCATCTGTTGTTTTTTGGCTTTTTAATAATGGCCATTCCTGACTGGTGTGAGATGCTATCTCATTGTGGTTTTGATCTGCATTTCTCTGATGATTAGTGATGATGAGCATTTTTTCATAAGTTTGTTGGTTGTGTGTACGTCTTCTTTTGAGAAGTATCTGTTATGTCCTTTGTCCATTTTTTTAATGGGGTTATTTGTTTTTTGCTTATTGATTTGTTTAAGCTCCTTCTAGATTCTGGATGTTAGACCTTTGTTGGATGCATAGTTTGAGAATATTTTCTCCCATTCTGTAGGTTGTCTATTTACTCTAGTAGGTTTTTTTTTTCTTTGTTTTTTGCTGTGCAAAAGCTCTATGGTTTAATTAGGTCCCCCTTGTCAATTTTTGTTTCTGTTGCAATTGCTTTGGGAGATTTAGCCAAAAATTCTTAGCTAAGGTTGATGTTGAGAAGGATATTTCCTAGGTTTTCTTCTACGATTTTTAGAGTTTGAGGTCTTACACTTAAATCTTTAATCCATCTTGGGTTCATTTCTGTATATGGTGAAAGGTAAAGGTTGTTGGCCAGCCATATGCAGAATGAAACCGTTTCATTCTTCTGCATATGGCTAGCCAACTATCACAGCACCATTTATTTAATAGGGAGTCCTTTCTCCATTGCTTGTTTTTGTCAGCCTTGTCGATGTTCAGAGAGTTGTAAGTGTGTTGCTTTATTTCTGGGTTTCTTATTTTGTTACAGTGGTCTATGAACCACATTCTTCAACCCTTGTTCTCCCCTTCTCCCTGGTTTGAGTAAAAATAATCTCCCCAAATACCAACTAAGACACTAGACATATGCTTTGGTGTCTTCAACTTAGCATGCTGAAGACAGCATGTGTGGACCTGCTAGAATGGCTATAATGCAGGGAAGAATCCTAAGAAACAATTACTGTTGGCAAGGGTGTGGAGAAATTGAAACCCTCGTAGATTTCTGGTGGGAGTGTATGATGATACAGTCACTGTGGAAAACTGTTTGGTGGTTTCATGAAAAGTTAAACATAAAATTACCATATGACCCAGCAATTTCACTCCTAGGTATGTACCCCAGAGCATTGAAAGCAGGGACTCAGCCAGATACTTGTATACCAATGTTCACAGTACCATTATTCTCAATAGCTAAAAGGTAGAAACAGCTCCAGGCTTCATGAACAGATGAATTAATAAACAAAATGTGGTATATATTAAATACATACAATGAAAAATTATACAGCTCTAAAAAGGAATGAAGTTCTGATACATTCTATGACATGGATAGACCTTGAGAACATTTTGCTAAGTGAAAGAAGCATGACACAAAAGGACAAATATTGCATGATTCCACTTATATGGGGTACTCAGAATAGGCAAATTCAGAGACAGAAAATAGAATAGAGATTACCAGGGGTTGGGGGTAAGTAAGAAAGGCGAATTATTGCTTAATGGTTACAGAGTTTCTGTTTTGGTCAATGAAACATTTTGGAACAGATAGAGGTAATGGTTGCACGAAATTATGAATATAATTAATCCTATTGCATTGTGCATTTAAAAATGGTGAAGGCTGGGTGCAGTGGCTCACGCCTATAATCTCAGTACTTTGGGAAGCTGAGGCAGAAGGATTGTGTGAGCCCAGGAGTTTGAGACCAGCCTGGGCAACACAGTGAGACCTTGTCTCTACAAAAAATAAAATAAAAATAGCTGAGCATGGTGGCACACACCTGTAGTCCCAGCTACTTGGGAGGCTGAGGTGGGAGGATCACTTGAACCTGAGGGGTTCAGGCTGTAGTGAACCCTGTTTGTGCCACTGACGGAGCCTGGGTGACAGAGTGAGACCCTGTCTCAAAAATATACATACATAAATAAAATGGTTAAAATGGAAAATATTATTAAATATATTTGCCACAATTAAAAAAGTAAATAATAAAAATTGTGTGTGGACAACCTGTGATCATTTTGGACTTTATCTGCTGGCAAGATAGTTTATTCATTTTCTAAACTTCCTCTTTTTACTTCCACTTTTCTTCAAGGTTTAGGAAAAAAAACATTACACAGCAGTGGCCTACTACTACTCCCAATTGTGAGAAAGCCAAGTCATAATGTTCACCCAACTTCCCTGCTCAGAAAACACATCATGGTGCAATTATCTACAGTTTTAAAACAGAAACATAAAGTGTTCTCCTTACAGAAGCACAAAAGTTCAGCTCCATACCTAGCAAAACTCAGGAACAAAGTCCATGTTCCTGCAGCCATCCTATAGTCCCAACACCTGGAATCACCTGACCTCTACCTGATGCTCTGACCTGCCCCAGGAAAACAGTCCAGCTCTTAGGTCAGACTCAGATCATTAATCATCATATCAGCCTTTCTGCAAATCAGTTTCTGATTTTGTAACCTGATTTCAGTGACTTGAGCATTTATCTTTAAAAAAAAAAAAATCTGAGACCTAAGTTACTCCACTGTATCCCTGTTTCAGCAAGTGGAATCTGCCTGGTTATTTTTGGCCTAAGGGCCTGCCTTGTTACCACACAACCAAGGCATATACCTTTGTCAATTCTCATTTGGGAGAGGAGGGGCCAACTACTGGGTCTACATTGCGTGGCTCAGCTATCTCCCAACTTATGCTTGCCCTCCTAATGTCACTTCCTAGCTGCATGAATTGGACTAAGCCATGCAACCTCTCTGAGTCTCAGTTTCTTCATCAGAAAAGTAAGAACTATGTGACCTGTTCCTCAGAGCCAGTTAAAGATTAACCAGGACTAATGGATGTGAAGTATAGCACCAGGCACTTAGTGAGTGCTCAATAAATAACAGGTAGTGGTAGCTAATTTGCCTTTATAACCATGTCAAAAATGTGGCAGATGCATTTAAACAATTGTCTCACTAATATGAGGCACCCTAAGTTGTATAATAACTAACACATTTATTAATGACTCTGAAATTAAAAGTTGCAAAAGCCAGGTGGCAAAGTGCAAAGATTGTGTGGTCAGGGAGTTCAGAGATAGACACATTTTGCTCCTGGCATCACCAGTAAGTATCTACAGGACCTTAATAAAGTGAATTAAATTGTTGGGGCCTGACTGTCTTCTTCCATAGACAATAGATTAAGTCAGATACTGTTTTAAATCCTTGTTAGCTCTAAATATTTGATTCTTTATGAAAAATAAATAAAATCTCCACAAATTAATAAGAAATATTACATCCAACTATATCGGGGGAACCAGCCCCCAATATTTCAACGCAGGTTCTTTTCTATTTCCCCTAAGTGTCAGCCGGTCTGAGAAATAAAGAGAAAGAGTACAAAGAGAGAAATTTTACAGCTGGGCCTCCAGGGGTGTCATCAAATATTGGTAGGACAGTGATGGCGACCCTGAGCCACAAAACCAGCAAGTTTTTATTAGGGATTTCAAAAGGGGAGGGGTGTACAAAGAATGATGAATTTAACCATTGATGTTTTAGGTCTCCACCCCTGCATGCTAGTAAGAGCATCATGGCTACCTGGTATAAGGGGGAAATACGATTGATGAGTCCAGAGCTCTCTGGTAGAGTGGATATCAAAATGTGGTTCCTGGATCAACTAATGCCAAACTGCAGGTTTTGTTCCAGACCTACTGAAGTAAAATTTCTGGGGATGGGTCCAGCAATTTGTGCTTTAGCAAGCCCAATTGCTGCTTCTGATGCTTGATAAATTGAGAACCATTGCTGTAATACATTAAAGCCTCCTTGTTTCAGTCTCTCTCCCTCTCTCTCTCTCTCTCTCTGTGTGTGTCTCTCTTATACACACGTATGCACAGGAAACCTGTTACCTTGAATTTAGATGATACATACATTTACAATAAGGATATCTATTCCACCTTAATGACTTGTCCCTATTAATCTGTAGATTTTTGAAAAAAATCCTCTGACTTGCCTATTGATCAATTTCATTTCCAGTAGATTATTTTATTTTGAAGGAGAAATGTATGCCCAGTAGAAAATAAAGAAAATTGCTAAGGACAAATAAACATTGATTGCTAAGGGAGAAGAAGGCCACTTATCACATTATCTCTTTAGTGAACCGTCACTCCCTCTGCATGTAGCTCATTCCAAACATCTTACATTTTAATGCAACAAGGATGCCTCCAAATGGTGGTTTCATTCATCGATTTCTCTTGCTATTTTCATTATCTACTTAAGCAAAAAAATACATTTATTGTGGCTTCAAAGACTGCATTCAGTTGATCAAATTGCCATATTTGAAGCAGAGTATCAAATATAAATGGATACCACTAAACAGCCTGTTTATCAATTCAGAAGAGCATGATCCAAACATGTGGTAAGGCCTCAAACCAAAGAACGTATGTCTTAAGGAGTTAGTGTTCACGTACAGTTTAGCATCAGATGAACCCAGGAACTAAGAACTACTTCCAATGTCACGGTCATAGGATGTGTCTGTGTAAAGCCCTCCGTGGTTCTCCCTTATCTTTCTAATAATACTCTTTTCAATGAGGCCTCTGCAGTGTTATCTCCTACCTTGTACCCTCTCTACTCCCTTTCCAGCCTTCGGGTAGGGAGTCCCATCCTGTAGGTATGTCCACATCCTCCTCCCCCTGTGCCTCTACCAAATCCTGCACACAATGGTACCTGCTCACTCATCTCACTATTGAGTTTACATGCCTTCCTATTAGGATGGTAAGCACCTTGGGATCAGGCATTTTTTTCTTTGAATACGAATAGCAACATGATAGGTTCCTGTAAATATCTATTGAGTGAAATAATTTCACCTTCTGCTCACATTTTCCATTTTCCTGCAGACACATTATTACCCCAAAAGTAGTGACCTGGTTAGAAGGTAAGAAAAATACATAGAAA
The DNA here is from genome assembly GCF_000001405.40 of Homo sapiens. Taxonomy (NCBI): domain Eukaryota; kingdom Metazoa; phylum Chordata; class Mammalia; order Primates; family Hominidae; genus Homo; species Homo sapiens. Next base: position 94,179,788 of record NC_000013.11, on the reverse strand, counting down.
AAAAGAGAATTTCATAGTGGTATTACCTCCCAGGAAAGAGTTGTAATCAAAAGCAAAATTTTCCTCCTGTTGTGCTTTCTCAGCTAACTACAGAAATAGTCACTTTTAGAGAAAGCCTGTCAAAAAGCTTGTGAACAGCAGTTAAATTCACTTTCCATTTATTTTCAATGAATAGGTAGGAATTAGAGTATGTATCACTTTTATTTTTTTTTAACTTTTGGAGATCTATCAGAGACTAGCATCTCCTAGAAAAACATGAACTAAGTTAAACAAATTTTTAAAAATTACACGTATACAAACAGTGATGGAGAATCATTGAAAAAAACATAAAGCAGGCAATCAGGAACCCCTGAGTCAGGAAACTGGGTACATTTTTATTCCTGCTACCTAGGAGCTATTTGATCATGGGTAAGCTCATGCCCTTTTAGATTTCACCTTTCCATCCACCCTCTCTATCTCAAAGTAAATGCCAATAAGACATAAGAGATTTCTGAGGAGATGGTGTACAGACAAATGCAGCGTCATTTGACACCTGAAGAAGATGCATCTTAGAAGGATGTCAATAGTAGAACCTTGGTTGGCTTTAAAACCTACTTCTCACTTCAAGAACAAAGATATGCAGGAGGGTGAGGATACTGGAGATGATGAATACATGATCAGGACAAGGTCATTTGTGCCTACCAACCATGGGGTTTCCACAGAAACGAGACGATCTGAGCCAGATTCAAAGCCTGAAACAGGAATGAGATAAAAATCTAGACCGCGTGTATCTTGTAACAGGCTTCAAGATCAAGAAAGGGGGAACTCAGTAGCAAATAAGCAGAAGGAGGGCTGAGCTCCAGCCAAGTGTTTGCTACTTGAAAAGTGCTTAGCTGATGTACTGGGTGCCTGTACCTCCTAACAAGGCAGGAGGACTCATAACATCCAACCGTTTAGATTCATCATCTCATCTGCTCTCACCTTTCTGCTGGCTGCACAGACCAAATATTTGCTTGGCTGCAATACAACAAGAGAATGAATGTAAACAGTGGGACTCTGAGAACTGCTGATCAGAGTTGTTGGGAAGGAAACTAGAAACTCTTAAAAAAAATCTTAAAAGAGGGTTGTGAGTAAAGTGATCTTTTGAAGAAGAGAGCAATTACTTTAATGATTTGCATTTTCATTCTGGAGAAAGTACATCCTATTAAAGGAAATGTGAAAAGTTTTGAATATTCAAAGGAAGAAAGAAAAACAAAACCCACTGTCCCATGAGTGAAACACAATAATTGGGTGTAGTCTAGTGTATTTCCTTTTAGCTTCTTCTTCTATGCATAGGCATTTAATGATATTGTTGAAATCACTGTTTAATATTACACATAATCATTTTTTATGGTTTGCATACAATTTATATAGCCACTTCTCATTGAATGGATTTGCCATACTTTATATTATTATGCCTCTATAGTTGAATGATAATGAGAGATAGGAGGACAAGATAAAATATTTAAAGACCAGCCGGGTGCGATGGCTCATGCCTGTAATCCCAGCACTTTGGGAGGCCAAGGTGGGCAGATCACAAAGTCAGGAGTTCAAGAGCAACCTGGCCAACATAGTGAAACCCCATTTCTACAAAAATACAAAAATTAGCAGGGCATGGTAGCTACTTGGGAGGCTGAGGCAGGAGAATCGCTTGAACCCAGGAGGCGGAGGTTGCAGTGAGTTGAGATCGCACCACTGCACTCCAGCCTGGGCGACAGACTGAGACTCCATCTCAAAAAAAAAAATTAAAAGGCCACTGAAAAAGAATGATACATGCTTTTAAAGAATTTCTAACTAACAGACCAAAAGACAGAGATTTGGAAGAAAAAAACATGAAAATTTGGACAGATAGAATATAAAAAGTATTTTTTTAAAATTAAGGACAAATATGTATTCAGAGGAAGATGACAATGATTAAGTTGTCTTTATACTTGGTCATGTGGTTTATTATTAGTTTTGTCATTGGAAATTATGACCTATTTAAAAATACTGTCAACTTATATGATTATTTCTGGAGATTATATTGAAATAACTAAAAATGCTATGTTAAAACATATAAATATTATTAATATTCTTAATGCTTCCCGAAGGCCTTATATGATGTATAGTCCAAACATATGAAATTGCTTGTGCATATTTCATCTTTATCAGGCATCACCATGCCTATTATTTATTTCAAAACTATTTGCTAATTTGATTGGTGACAATTGATATATCTTGTTTTTTTTTAGTAAGTTTAACATTACTTTGATGTTTGCTAACTCTCTTTACTTTTTTCCTAAATTGTTAGTTCAAGACTGTTGAAAACTTGTCTGTTAAAGGGCTCATTGTGAAAAATCAATATGTAGGAGCTTTTTATATAATTAACGTATCATGCTTTTAAAAGTCATATTTGCTGCAAATATTTTCCCAGTATCTTTATCTTGGTGGTTGACACATAGAAGTTTTACATTTTTTAAATGTTGATATCCTGACATTGTGGTTTAGAAGAAAACACTTTGGTTATTTCATTCAGTCACTTTTCTCATGATGTTTACCTAAAAAATTTACATCGTGTTCTCTTACATGTTGAAATTTGGGAAGAAATTAAACATTCATCCTGTCACATGTGGGTCAAGAGCAGACATTAGCTATTTAGCTGATTGAGTTAAATAGGATACAGAATTGATAACTTCTTCCTCAAGGCAAATCTTCTGAATGGGTTTCTAATTCTAAAAAGAGGATACATATAACCTTATATTTGCAAGTTTATTCTCATTTTTCTGTCTTTTAAAAATAGTTTTAAAGCATTTGTCATTGGTAGTTTGTGCGCTTAGGGTAGTACTTATGGATGCATAACATCACATGCGGAAGTTCTGTGAAGTTTTCGATGTTCTACTTTCTTGGTTACTTATGTTACAGGGATTCTGATTGCATTAAGGATTCTTTCTTTCACCCCGGAGAAGCATACATCTGCTTCTGCTGACATCTGTTCTCCTTTGTGGGTTCTGAGGAAACATTTATTTCTTTTTTGCTTTTCTTCCTGTTTTAGCAATGTCTGCTTCTCATCTTAATAAATCACCTTTATGTTGCAATAACTTAATAGAAGGAGAATACATAGCTAAAGAGAGAATGTGTAGCACAGAACATAGAATTCTGAACAACATTCTTGGCTTGTTCCAGGGTATCTGCCAGGCATTTAAAAACGAGGTTCATGTGTATTGGCTTCTTTTTGAAAAGAAGATTATAAATAACAATATCAAGGTCACTCGTTTCCCTCCATGCTTAGCACAGGGAAGTTGGAATGGTGAATGAGTTAGGAAAGGCTTTGCTTTGGGGATGTAGTTCCAAATATCGGTTCTGCTATGTCTATGAGTTCCTTTCACCTTCCTCCCTGAAGGTTACTGTTCCTTCGAGAACCTGATGCTCTGCCTCCCTTTAGAGGTATAAAAGATCACCATAGTCTCAGGAGAGAAGGGATCCTATTCCACGTCTTCGAATGTACTGATCTTTCCACAGGCTCCTGGACTTCTGAGATGTTTTTCTTATGTCCTAGTTAATGCTACAACCCACTCAGTGCTGATTTCAATGATGAAATGAAAGGGTCTTATTGAAAAAAAATTATGAGATTAATTGCTTATCTTGTCTTAGGAATGAAATATTAACTGGGAGGAGATACGTGCAATATATATAAGGAGCTTATTTCCAGGATATATAAAGAACCTCTGCAAATCAATAATAAAATGAATAGCTCATTTAAAAGTGGTGAATTAAAAAATTCTCCATTGGACAAGCTCGCTCTCTCTCTCTCTCTCTCTCTCTCTCTCTCTCTCTCTATATATATATATATATATGGCTCATTTGGATACTCCCTTTTGGGAAAATATATATATATGTATATAAATAAAGTATAAACATCTTTTATATAAATATGTACATATACTTTTATATATACACATGTATATATTTATATAAAAGATATATATAACTTTAAATATATGTATATATGCTTATATATATGAAAGATGCTCAATATCATGCTTATCAAGGAAATATAAATTAAAACCATACAGAGAATCCTTTAGACAGATGCAGAATAATTAAAATTAAAAAGACCAGCTATACTAAATATTAGCAAAGAAGCAGTACATCTAGACTCTCATACTCCATTGCTGGGAGTATAAATTGGTTCAACCACTTTGGAAAGCTGTTTGACAGTATTTATTAAACCCAATCAGAATACCAATTCCATGACCTGGTAATACCATAATACAAATTCCATGACCCAGTCTTTTTAGCAAATGACTAAAACACTCCAAATGTTCCTCAACAAGAAAATGGATAAATAGTAATGTATTCCTACAACGAACACCATAGAGTAGGAATTGGCAAAGTATGGTCCAAAGACTAAATCCTAGTAAGTAACATTTGTTGGAACAGAGCTGCTATACTCAATCATTGACACATTGTGGATGGCTGCTATTGTGCTACAAAGGCAGAATTGTGTAGTTGCAACAGAGAGCATATTATCCACAAAGCCTAACATATTTACCACCTGACCCTTTATGGAAAAAGTTTGCCAGTCCTGCAATAGAGGCAATGACTAATAATAGACTGCTGGTACAGGCAAGAACATGAGATGAATCTCATGGATATGATGTTGAGTGAAAGAAGCCAGACAGAAAAATGTACATACTGTATAATTTCATTTATAAGAAGTTCCAGAACAGGCAAAATTGATGGTGTTAGAAATCTGAAGAGTGGTGATATTTGGGAGATACACACCAAGAAAGACACAAGGCAAACTTCAGGGATCCTGGAGATGCTCTGTATCTTGATCTCAGAGATAGCTACAGGAACCTGTACTCATACATAAAAGTCAATTGAGCTGCACACATGAGATTAGTGCACTTTACTTTTTTATAGGTAAATTAAAAAATTAATGGAATCATGAATTTTCTGGCTCTAAAATGGGCATATTGGCTGAAACTCTCCATATATGGTTGAAAGGTAAAAACCTGCTGTTTTCCGTGACTTTGGAAGAAGTTGAGGCTCAGTTTTCATAACTGTAAATAAGCCTGGCCAAATTTACTTTACATGACATTTACAAGGACATTATAGTGCTTGATGAGATAGCACAAACTTTTGCTAAATAGCATGTCATCTACAAAAGAATGTCTGTATTTTTTTCTTACATGCTTTTCTTTCTTGTTCACTGACCTTCTGCTTTGCCACACCATTTGTTTTATGCCATTTCTTACTTATAACAATGTATTACCAATTTTGTGCTTCCTTGTTCACCTACATCTGTCTCTTTTCCCTAGTATATTTATAGTAAATTGCTTGCATAACCCTTGGGCCTACATTAATTTATCTTTGAATGTTTTTCATTTCCCCATTGTGTCCTCTAACTCCATTGATTTACCCTATTTGATATTTCTTCATTATTCTAAAATTCACTTGGCTGCTGTTCAACATTCTTATTTTTTCCCCTTTTGGTTGTCCCTGTGTCCTAATTAAACCTAACTAGGTTATAAGAACTCTTGCACAGAGGTTCACTAACCCATGCATTTGAATTGCATTGGATGGATTACTCAAGCTTTGCCAAAGATTGATTTCTTTCTAGCTTTCTCTTTTTCATGGTGCAAAATTTAGTAATCTTGTGCCCTGCCTGCCAACCTACAGTAGTACATGATTTATTCATTTTTGTCACTTATTTCCAGAGAGCTAAAATCATATGTAACTAGTAGCCTCTTTTATTAGCAAAAATGAAAAGTAATAAGAAGATATCAATGGAGTAGGCTATTGCCATAGTTGGTAATCAAGATGATAATCAAAGATTAAGCCTGCTTCCTTTAAAGAATTCCTGAGCACTTTGCAATTACGTTACCACAGATCCTCTTAACATTGCTGCAGTAATTGGAAAACTACTAAACATTTGTTACAGATAGAAGAGAGCAACAGAAAGTACATGAGCTTTCTAAGTTTCCCTCAGCTTATCAACAGCCTGTAGAAGAAGCAGGATATTCAGATGGGGAATCAAAACATGCTTTTAAATCTCAGTTCAAATAGAAAAATAAGTGACTGGAACTAGTGATGTTCTCAAAATCTCAACTTGAGTTCGGGCTCCACCTTGAGGTGTGCTAGCTTGGGCATACACTGAAACCTAAATATTTATATTTCTAGAACTGGAAAATCACTACCTCTCCTTTATACCAACATGTCTGGGAATGAATCAGCTTGGAAAACACTTGTAAGTGCTCCCTTGAGGTCATCTTTTTCACAGAATCAAATATTTTAGGGTTTGAAGGAATTCTCGAAGTCACCAATCCAACCACCCAACTGATACTTGAATCATCTCCACAACATTCTAAACTCCTGTGACCACCAACTCCATCTGTACACGTCCTAACCAGGAAGCCATCTTATCCTTGGTTCGAACTGTACCAAAGAGCTATGCTGAATAGTAAGCTCTTCAAATATTTGAACATGGCTTGTGTGTACCCCTGAGTCTTCTTTTCTTGAGTCAAACATAGCAATTTCTTGTGCCATTCTTTATATAGTGTAGTTTCAAGTCCCCAGCCAGACCTGGTCACTCTCTTCAGTTTCCATGAGCTTCAACAGTCTTTCATTCCTTAAAAATGTGGGGGCAGAAAACTAAACAAAGTCTTCCAGTTGTGGACTGATCTGCACAGAATGAAGCTGAAGTATCCCTTTCCTCATTCAAGATATTGGTGCAGTCTCAGAATTTGTTTTTCTAGTCAACACATCTCATTGTTGGCTAATGAGAGCTTATCCTCTAACCAAGGTCAAGTCCTTCTCAACCACTGCTCCGTACTCATGTGTGCCCCTTATAGATACTATGAGTTGACAGCCTCTATCAGACCATTGCCCAGGAACAGTCATTGGCAGTGTCTATCTGAACTTTACTCAGCTCAAGCCTTTTTGCCTGAACATACTGTCTCTCATGCCTTGATTAAGAGCTCCGTAGGCCTATATATATGTTAAGAGGCTTAGAAATGCACGTAACTTGGTCATTTATGTAAGAGTGTACATAAGTCCATTTGTTCAGCTTCTAAAACTAAGATGGTTTTTCCTAAAAGCAAGATTTATTGACATTTTAATGTAAAGAGCCAGAGAGCAATATTTTCTGTTTTGTGGGACACATGTTCTATGTCACAAGCACTCAGCTCTTGGGAAAGGACCCATAGAGAATATGTTAATGAATAAGTATGGCTGAGTTTCAAGAAAACTTTATTTACCAAAGCAAGTATCAGGCAGAATTTAGCTGATGGCTATAATTTGTTGACCTCTGCTTTAGAGTATCTGAAAACATTTTGTGATTATCATTTTTTCATTATCTTTAAACATTACCATGAAAATGGTAAGCTATTAATTATATTTTACAGATAGAGAAATTTAATAATATACTGAATAAGATCACTCGATCATCTCGTAAGAGCAGTTAATATGTACTATTGAGATAATCTCTCAAATCATCTCCCTTCTCACCATATGGAATCTATGAGATACGCATTTTTATTTGGGAAAAAAAAAAGATTTCAGTGATATCTTACTTGTTTTTTTTGTCTTCTGGTGGGTAGGTTCCTCAGGTAGATTTGATTATAATGATTCCATAACACTACAATCTAAGAAAACCTTCTTTAATCATTGCCCCTGTGCCTGAGGGCAAGTTGCTGCTGCTAGGACTCTGTGTGTGCAATTTGGGGGGCATTTAAACAATGCTCACTGTCTTTCCAAACTATTCATCCAAATACCTGGCCTCCTAAAAAAAAATTGAAAATGCTCATCAATTCCACGTTTTCAGCACTTAACACAATTGTTTATGGGCTTCACTCCTGTACAGCTAGTACACCTTCCATATGGAGCTTCTGCCACGGGACTTTGTAGTTTCATGGTTTTTGCACTTTGGGGTAACAGAGGGGATTCCTTCCTTCCAGATCACTGTCATTTTAAGAATCAAGTAGAGGCTCACTGAAGCACGCAGTTGTGCTTTTCATACTAATCTGCAGCTACATGCCATGAAAAGTGTTAGGAAATCTGAGATGATAAACTAGGGCCTCAAGAAACTCAAGCTGGTAACAACTAAAATGCAGGGAAAGGACAAATGTCTTGGTTTTACCCCCTAGCAAAATCCCTTTTTACAATTCAGGCATCTCTTATCATGAATATACTTTGGAATTTTCCATTCTCCCTAGAGTTCCCTTCCTTAGCATTTTAGTCTAGGAGGCATTTGTTCTTTTGAATGTCATGCAGTGTGACAAATTAGTTCCCTTACTTTTACTGAAGCACTTAATAAGCTGCTTCGCTTATGCACCCTTACTCTTCCCAGGTGTTCTCATAGTCAAAATGTAACAGCCTTCTGTTTTTCCTGAAAAGTCTCCTAATGTTTCATTTGAGAACATCCAGAAAACAGAGGTAAAATAAATGACATAAACATACCATAAAAAGTAGGTCTAAAATCTATGTTGCGCTGGCTGTGTTTTCAATGGTCTTGCGTGTAAGGGTAAATTTGCTATAGGATGAGAAATTCAGTCTTACTGATTTATTGAGACCATCAGTAGCAGAATCAGTACTTCAGTAGCAGAATCAGTACTGTTAGGTCCCAATGGTGGTGAAGGGCCTTTCTGCATGACCAAAGAGGCTAACAGGTTGTACACTTGGGCTTCTGCAAACCCAACCATACTCAGGTGAAAAGAATCAAAGACAATGAAATAACACTCAGCTAAATTAAAAAGGCACACTTATTTTCACAGGGACTACACAAATAAGCAACTAAAGAGCCAACGTCTTAAGAAACTGAGCCTCCAAACATTAAGAACATCCTAGATTTATTTCCTCGCACTCTGGACATGGAGTAGGCAGAAAACAACACAATCCCAGAGAAAGCCTGTAAGTCCCACTCTTTTCAATTCTCCACTCCCAGGATCTTTGTTAAATGGCCCAAATTAAACATGATGGCTCAAATGCCCTCACAAGAGAGTTGTTACAATCTACCTAAGCAAATTCAATTTACTGAAAACTCTCATGGCTTTATTCCCATTCTCTTCAGCATTTGCAAACACTTTGATAGTTTTCAGTCTGGCATTTTCCATGAGTTTCAAATTTGAAAACGTGAAAATCCAGTCTGATTTTGAGGATAGCAAAGAGTTAATACTTATGGGGAAAAGTCAGTGCCCAAAAGGAATGAACTACATTCCCTTTTCAATTTCTCTGCCTTCTGGCTAACTTTCCAAACAGATTTAATCACTCTCAGTATGTCACCATCAGAATCTCTCCCCAATGGCCAGCACACAGCGGCTACTGGGCTCTGAGACTGCCAGGCAGCCAGCAGCCACCTCACAACCTCACCACTCAGCCCAACCAGCTCAGTCCCTCTGGCACCCTTCGGAGGCTGAGTTACTGGCATGAATACTTTCAGAAAGCCCAAGTTAGCACGGGGCCATTTCAATGAAATTAGTGGTGAAAACCATCAAGCATGAGAATTTGATTTCCATCCAAGGAACATAGGTTGATTTTTATCTGCTCTTCCTTGGCATCAGAAAAAGAGGCTAGGATTTCAATAACTGCTGATGCCATTGCTTGTGTGTTGCTTTCTGGTTGAGGATCACGTGCCTGTCTGTGTTTTCTTTCAGAGCACTCATTATTTCTTGTGCTTTTAGGGGCAGCAATTCTAGTTTCCAGAAATTAGCATTTCCTTTTCTTGCCTCCAACAGTAGCAGTGCCAAAGGAAAGCTCTTTTAATCAACTCTGTGCCACAAAATAAGTTGAAACTGTGACAGGTGAAAGTTCATCCCCAGAGGTCCCGCCTGCCCAACTTCCAGTCTTCACTTCTCATCCAACTTCCCTTCACTCTAAAGCAAAAGTTCATTTTTTTTCATTTTCTCTGGAACTGAGAAAATAGGAAGATGCTGGAGTAGGACTCTCCAGCAACATCAAAGTGGGCTCAGCACATAAGGCTCCTGCAGCCACGTGTTCTCTCTGTGACGTTCTCTGTGGATCTCCAGGGAGTGTGAATCTGATTCAAAAACCAGGACCCTTAGCCCAATCAACCACTCTCCCAATGGCATGTTTCTCAGGATCCCGCAAGGGATACAAAGGATTCATTCCTTTGTAGCAGTGCTTTCTAATATGCCTTTGTAATTTGTTGTGGAAGAGTCAGTCACATCTCTATGCTCTTTGCATCTGTTTATTTCTGGCTCGGTATGTTTTCTGGCCTTATTAAGTATTCACAGAGACACAATAACTGTCCTTTTAATCTTCCAGAAGTTAACCCTCTAACCCTCTGAGTTCTAGTATTTTAAGATTTTAGTATTGGCTTTCTCCATCTCTTGTATATCTTTCGGCATTCTAAATACCACCCCTGATTACTGTACTTTCAGAGTGACAGTGTTTTGGAGGTGCAGAGTACTTTAAAGTATTTAAAATCCTTTGCCTGCCTCTTTCCTGCCAAGATCAATTTGTGATCTCACTCTGCGTTCATTTTCCAAGGCTGAGGTATTTCATTTTTCTGCACCACAAATGAGATATTGAAAATTATTGCAACTGCATCAACAGAGGAAATCATTTCTTGAAAGCTGTTGCTTTTCTTTTAAAAGTGATATTGCAAACGTTGTTTCCTATCCTGTAGTAAATAAGCTTGTCAAAAAGGTAAACTTGCTCAAGCCTTCATGAAAGACAAAACTACAATTTAATTGTGTAATAATTTAAAGTCTGCCTTCCTTAATAGCGGCTCCCACTTGCCTAAGCCTCTTACGAAACTGTTGTCATAAGTGGAACTTACCCTGGTCCAACTTCTATCCCCACGCCCACGGAGGGTAATGCCTTCCGGCATTAACTTTGCATTATTTTACCATATGGAGACACATAACATTCCAGTCTTCACCAGGGCCTACTTACCCACAGCACCCAGGGCCCACGAAAGTGTTTTCACTTTAATCTTTTAAAATCAGAATAAAAAATGAATATAATAATTAATGTAAAATCATGAATCCCATCTATATTCGCCTTTACTCCAATTCAGTTGTAAAATATAATTATATATAATATATATTTTATATATATTTATAAATATATAAATGCATATACAAATATGTATTTATAATATATGGACATATAAATAAATATGTAGATAAAATATAATAAATATATATACTTTTTTCTTTCATGGAGGAAGGTGCCCATGAAGGCAAAAGTGCCCAGGGCCCATGAAAGTCATAATGTGGCTCTGGCCCGAAAAGATTTACTTATTAGGTAGGTCCAGAATATGCTGGGAACTTAGCACTACTTGGAAGACATAAAAATGTTATTAGGGGAATGATGATATTGTTTCATTTATGGTCTCCTCCCTGGCCCCCAACATTACGGGCTCCACCCCCACCTGGACTGTTTCCCTCAAGCTGTCTTCTCCCTGCTTTAACAGCCAACAAATCTATGCGTGAGCACGCTGACCTAAAGACAGCCAAATAGAATCTCCGAGATAGCAGAGAGTGATAAGCCTCCATCCAGTATCACAGAAGGGGCACAATATATGTTTATAGAATGCAAGAATGACGTTGTCATAGAATGTAAAGAGGGCAGGTTTTGGAGCCAGAGGGACCCAAGTACAACGTTTGGCTCTGTCATTTACTGGCTGAGTTGTCTTGGTCAAATCACTTAATCTTCTGAACATCCTATGACAACCAGTGATGATAATGCCTATCTCGCAAGTTGCTGTAAGGCTGGAAGATAATTTATGTACAAACACTTACTATAGCTAAATATTATATAAGCATTTTATGTGTAACCTATGATATAGTGAGAATAAATAAAACTGTTATGGAATAGATAACAACTGACAGTAAAATAAAAGGTATTGAATAAGCAATTGGCATTACTATTATTAGTCAACTTCTTCACTCAAATTTTGAATGGGTATTTCCTGTTTATAAGACTTAAGATATAGAACTCCTCTGTAGTTTACAAAGCCCTTTAAATATGACAGATAGTCTTCTGTTACCTTCCTCTTCCTCTTCCCTCATACCCGCTATTTTGCTCTAGCAAGACTTGCAGCTCCTCAAATCTTCCAGCCCTTCTCATATTTCCATGATTGCACGTGCTGTTCCTTCTGCCTGGAACACTCTCCCTTCCCTCCACATTTGTTTGTCTAGAAAATTCCTACCCTTCTCCTTCCATACACTCTTTTGTCCTCAACTCTCTCCTATTCCACATTCCTTTTCATTCTCCTTGCTGTAATGTAGCTTGAAAAATGAAGACATTGTTTAAAAGCACTGATATCTAGTTCTCATGAATTTAAATATAGTATCCATAATTTCTTAGATGACCATTTAAACATAATGAGGTAGGGTGAAAAAGGAGATTTTGAAGAATCTTCTCGTCCATCTTTAGTTAATCATTTAGCTAAAATAAAATCAGAAATTTCATTCAGAGGGACCTTAACTTGGGACACGCCCTCTTGCACTCTCTCTCTCTGTTCACCCCTTAACACTGTTATGACTACACAAGAACAGCTTTTCTCCTATAAGCAACCAGGCAATATTCCAAATATTTCTATTCTTTATTCTAAATACTTTGGACCATAAGTTGTCAGAAATTAAATGAACCAAATTTGGAAAGACTTCAAACTTCCATAACATTATTAACTATGCACCATTTAAAATTTGGCTGGCTGATAATATAAATGGAAAAAACATCTAGAGTCTAATTTTACCTAACTCTCGATAAAGAGATGAAATCTAGATTTTATGAAGAAGTAGATAGCAACTTCCAAATGGATGATTATTTAATTTATTATTCTATTAAGTCCATGCTCATTTTATTCCATTTAGCACTTGAAGCTGAGAAATCAACTTTACCAAAATAACTTTGATCATTGTAGGTAATTCATAATTAAGTTCTTAAACTTGGTTATGGAATTTTAATGTATTTGGACTAAATACATATTTGATGAAAATTTAAAACTAAATGTTTTCAGGTTTCAAATATTTATTATGAGTCCTTTGGATGTCAGCATTCTTTGACAACAGTGTACTACAGCTTAATGCTTCTGAGGAGATTAAAATATGTATTGTATTATTATGAGTGATGATTTATGTCAGGATGTGCTGTCATCTTCTCTAATAAAAAAGATTACAAAACAGATAGCTATAATGTATGGTGCAGGGGGAGGGGGCTGATTTGAAATCTCTATGTTCAATTTTTAGCCAGGAAAGCTATTTATAAGACCTCTCCATATTAAACAATACCCAATCAGTTCTACTGACAGAGAGATGACTTCTAAAAATGAAAAAGGATGAGGCGCAGGCCTATTATGGAGAGTGGAATTCAGGCTCAGGTTGCAACATGAATGGGTTTGCAACGACAGGCTATCTTCTGAGGAAGAAGGCAAAGCCTAGGAAAAGAGAGTAGGGCATAGCAACAGGATGCGATATAAGAGCTATTATGATGTCTTACAATACGAACATTTTTTAAAATTCTGAATTTAGAGTCTATTTAAAATGCATTATCCAAAAGGCTATTTGCTATCTTTAGAAGTTTAATGCATTTTAAAGTAATACTCTTGCATTATGAAGTGTGAAATCACAAAGTTCGACATGGGATGACGATAACCAAGGGCTCCTCCATTATCCAGTGCTAGGAGTCAGGTAGGGATCCCATTATCGACAGGGAGGTCTCACATTCACATCAATTTTGCTTGCATAGATCATAGAGTACAACGTAGCCAAGAATCAATTAGCAGAAGAAATTTAACGTGCCCTACTTTTTAAAGCTTATACTTGGGAATACATGAAAAATTTTCTTCCTGAAAGCTCTTCTGTATGTATAAATAAATAAATTCATATACACAAAATATGTATTTGTAAATTTACTATTAGGAGGTCAATTATACCCTATGGGAGAAAATAAGAATAGAAGATGATTTGATCAAGCAAGTAGCTATTATCCCCCTGCAACAGAATCATATTATTCTGATCTAATATATAATTTTGGTCAAAGAAACTATTGTTAAAGTACAAATAATTGGAGTTTAGTTTTGTAAAAATAGTGATAAATGCTAGCTTTGTAGCACTATAGCATACCTAGCAAGACCCAAAAGCATTCATGGATATAATTTAAAAAAAATTTTTATTTCCATAGATTTTTGGGGAAGAGGTGGTATTTGGTTATATGAGTAAGTTCTTTAGTGGTGATTTGTGGGATTTTGGTGCACCCATCACCTAAGCGGTATGTAGTGAACTCAATTTGTAGTCTTTTATCCCTCACCCCCTCCCACCATTTCCCCTGAGTCCCCAAAGTCCATCGTGTCATTCTTATGCTTTTGCATCCTCATAGCTTAGCTCCCACTTACAAGTGAGAACATACGATGTTTGGTTTTCCATTCCTGAGTTACTTCACTTAGAATAATAGTCTCCAATTCCATCAGGGTTACTGCAAATGCCATATTCATTCCTTTTTATGGCTGAATAGTATTCCATTATGTATATATATATATATATGTGTATATATATATGTATACATATATGTATACATATATATATGAATAGTATTCCATTATATATATATACACACACACACACATACATATATCACAATTTCTTTATCCACTCGTTGACTGATAGGCATTTGGGCTGGTTCCATATTTTTGCAATTGTGAATTGTGCTGCTATAAACATGTATGTGCAGCTATCTTTTTTGTATAGTGACTTTTTTTCCTCTGGGAAGATACCCAGGAGTGGGGATGCTGGATTGAATGGTAGTTCTACTTTTAGTTCTTTAAAAAATCTCCACACTCTGTTCCATAGTGCTAGTATTAGTTTTCATGAATACAACTTTGAAGAACAGAATGGCAATGGTGTTAATTTATTTAAACTCTAAATCCTATCTATATTAAAATAGAATTATTAAATGCTACTAAATTCTATGTTTCACTATATTTCCAGAAATCCCTAGTTAGTTTATTTTGTAAAAAAAAAATCAATTTATTTTCACTTCATTTGGAGGAATTTTGCCCTGTCCATAGGTAGCAGAGTGAGAGATAATAGTTATGATGAGATTCTTTAAGTTATTCTATCCCTGTTATCCGCTCTATCACTGTAGAAATCATCCCAATTATTATCCCAGGAAGAGGAAGATCTCAGTATAAGGACTGTAAGATTTATTTTGCACTAATAGCCATTTTAAAACCCTGAATCAGAAAATTTAACTGGATGTGACTTTCACGTGGTTCTTTACTGCTTGTTACACTTTCACATTGTGGAAAGTCTTCTATCCAGAGATGTATGTCAGTATTTTGCTTTCTCTAGACTGTTTGCTTAATCATACAAGAATAACAATAACAATACCTTTCAATTATAACTTGTATGTGACAGTGACAAATCACTCTTGAGGCCTGAGTTTTCTCATTTGGAAATTGGGATAATGAGATCTACCTCGCTGGGTACAAAGAAAAAAAATAAAGGTGATGAGTCTGGAAGTAATGTGCAAACTACAAAGTTGTATCCCAATATTAAGTAGCTTATTACTGGGAATGTGCTATGTAAGTAACACAGGACTAATGACATTATTTCAATAGATACAGTTTTATAGATAATATAAAACGAGTATTCAAAGTTGTCAAGCTGTTTTTTCAAGTTCACATGTTGGTATGTGATGAAGTTAAGGCTCCAACCAGGTGGTCAGTGATCTAAAGTCTTGTAAGTGCTTTATTTTTCTTCTTTGTTTCTCTGCTTTTCATGTGGCATCTCATAGATAAGAGTTAATATCTTTCTTGCAAATTTAAGTACTGTAATTGCTTCACACTCAATCACTGGTCAGATCACTCTCCCAACACCCTCTACACACTGCATATTTATTCTCATTTTTATCTAGTCATCTATACTGTATCTGATTGTCCTAAGTCCTGCCTCTAGTTTTAAGAAAATTAAGATTATGTAATGCCTTTCCAAGTGTCCTAAATCCTGCCTCCAATTTTAAGAAAATTAAGATTATGCAATGCCTTTCCAAGGCTCGGTGTGAAGTTGCACTGTAGTCCTGCCATTTTCTCCAAGGGCTCTCTTGAACCACCCAGCCCTTCAGTGACCTTGCAGAGCAGTTGCATTGCTACTTGGCAATCTAGTGCTTGATTGGAATATAACTTTTCTAATCCTTTTGTGAATGTAATTCTCATCCCTCTGAACTAGATTATCAAGTCAAGTATAGGGAATAAAGCTACCTTTTAAAAATACCTCCCATAAAATTTGAACACTTATTGTGGATTTGACTAAGGGATTATTTTTAAAAATGTTTTAAAGATGTGATGATGGTATTTTGGTTATTGTTTTTTTAAAAAGAGTTTCTATTTCTTGGAGATACATACATGAGAATTTAGGGGAAAAATGATATAATGTCTGAGACTTGCTTGAAAAAAATCCTACAGGGAGTCAAGGGAGGTGGAGGTGGAAGGAAGTAGGGGGATGGAGATGAAACAAAACTGGCCAGCACGACTGTAGATAATTATCAAAACAGGATAATAAGAAAATAGGAGTTCGCCAGATACTGTTCCACCTATTTTTGCATATGATTAAAAATTCCCATAATAAAAATTAACAAAAAAGTGGTTAGCACAAAAGAAAACTGATGTCTCCCATCAATACTGGCACAATATTTTATATACAGTAGCTTTAGTTAAGTCATAAATAGATGGTGAGAAAAATAATGATTCAGATCATCTTAAATTTATTTGGAAGAAAATAAAAGGTTTTAAAAAATTCTCACTCCAGAAATAAGCTTCATGGTGAGCTATTTCTATCCTGAGAGAAACAACCAAAGGTGAAAGAGGCTATTTCTTGGACGACTCTGGTCTCTGTACCCCAACATGTAACCCTTATTGTCCATGTCCATGGTGTCATTAAAGAAAATTAAATATGAGTGGTTTTAATACTGAATTTAACTTACTTAAACTATCCATAAAATGAACTACTTCCTGAACAAATGAAGAATCACAACATATATATGCTCAATGTCCAGCTGTCTAACTGAAAATGCAGAAGAAAAAAAACTAGATAACAGATGTAGGAGAAAAAAATTTGACCCAAATTCCTAAATTCTTAAGTTTCCTAACATCCAAGTAGATGACTAAAAAGAGAAACTAAAAATGGCAGTCATCTCCTCTCCATTCCCTCCTTTCGCTTACTAACAGAACCCTGGATTTCCAGGCAGAGCAGCTTGGGTGACACTGATTCTTCAGGTGCCAGGGTAGCCCTCACTGTTGTGAGCCAGCCAACAACACACTCAAGCCCCAGCCACTGAGTGTGTCACAGGGCTGGGCGCAGTCCCATTCTGAGACAGAAAGATGAGAAGAAACATTTGCTGAGGGATCCTTGCAAAGCAGCTGATTGGTTCTCAAGGAGCAATTTAACAAGACTGTGTTTCCTGCTGGACATGAATGAGGAAGCAGCTAGCCTCAGATACTGCTGGCAGCCAGCTTGCAACCCCAAGGTGGCCAGTCTCAGGGAGAGACCACCTCCTACAAAGCAGAGCAGAGGTGCAGTGACTCTGGTTCCAGGTGACACTGCTGAGCCACTGAATCCAGCTTCACCGGCAGCTTACTTTCTCTCTTGACTCCTCAGTTTTGAGAGGCAATAAATTTCTTTCAGTATTGATATGGTTTGGCTGTGTCCCCACCCAAATCTCATCTTGAATTAAAGCTCCCATAATTCCCATGTGTTGTGGGAGGGAGCCAGTGGGAAATAATTGAATCATGGGGGTGGTTTCTCCCATACCGTCCTTGTAGTAGTGAATAAGTCTTATGAGATCTGACGGTTTTATGAGTGGTTTCCCCTTTTGCTTGGCTCCCATTCTTCTCTTGCCTGCCGCCATGTAAGACATGCCTTTGCTCCTCCTTGCCTTCATCATGATTGTGAGGCCCCCAGCCATGTGGAACTGTGAGTCACTCAAACCTCTTTTTCCATATAAATTACCCAGTCTCAGGTATGCGTTTATCAGCAGTGTGAAAATGGACTAATACAATTATGAAAGCCAGTTTGAGTTGGTTTTTTTAAACTGAAGTGCAGAATATTCTAGCTGACACCCTAGTCTTGTGCATGGCTCCTTAGATAGTACTGCTGTTTTCTGATGAATGGCCATACTCTTTACATGTCTTCTTGTCTGCTGCATAAGACTTCATCACAGTTCAATTCCAAATGGCCTAACTAAATGATGAATCTGATGAGCTCTGGTATACAGGTGCTCAGGAAAGTGAATGGCAATTACTGAGAATACCAAGTCTTGTTAAAAATATATGTCAACATGCTAATAAGACATGTAAATGGCCACAGCACATTAGAAACCTTAACTGTATACAGCAAAAGTAGAAAACTTTAACTGTGTCTATGAACACCAAGGACATATGCCAATCTACCTCTGTCAGTGATTGAAAACACAAAGATCAGAAATAAACTGAAAGCCTAAAGGGATTTTTAAACACTCTTATCTTTGAAGGAAGAGTGAACAGATGAGGAAATGGTTGTGGATGCATCTGCTTCATTTGTTAGATTTTTCTCTCTGCTCTTTGAATCATGATTTGAAAAAAAGAAAAGTATAAGAGCCTTATGCGTGCAAGAGTAAGGAAGCTTACAAAATGTATGGTAGAGGTGAGAATATTTGCATTTAATAAAATATGATTCACTGAGGCAAACACCTTAAACAAACATCTTAACTCATCATCTGCTGCTATTATAAACCCAAAGGGCATAATTTTCAGGACACAGCTCTGTGGGGGCAGGCACTGGCTTGGTAAAATTAATCAATTCTTTCTGGCAGATAATGAAATACGATTTATCACAGTACTGTTCTCCCTAGAATAGAGAGAACTTAAGGGTAAAAAGTTAAGAATGTCAATTGAGTCATCTGGGAAGATATCTTTTGTTATAATTATTTGTGAAAATAAAACTTTGAATCAGTGTTCCAAAATTAAAAAATAATTGACAAATTTGTTTTGCTTCTAGGTTAGTTATTTTGAGTCCCATATATACATGAACGAAACGAAGAAAAAAGGGCTATGTTTAGTACTTGTAGGATCCAGACCAAGAGGCCTGGAGTGGCTGTGAAGATTTCACCAAAAAAAGGTTATGCATGTTTTCATTAGTGAAGCAGTAAGTGTTTACTGAAAGTTAATTATGTATCTAACACTTCACCAGGTGTTGTGCTTACCACGGATGGTTTAATGGGCCTGCAACCCATGCAGTGCATGGAAGGGCCCCACACTTTAATATCCTGTGGTTGCCATCTTCAAATTCCTAATAATTGTTGAACAAGGGCTCTACATTTTTCATTTTGAATTGGCCCTCAAAAATTATGTAGCTGGCCCTGGTGCTTGTAAATGCTTTACTTCCTATCTGTGACTTATATAGGATATAAGACCATAAGATACATATAGTAATCTCTCCTTATCCACAGAGGATATACATTGCAAGACCCTTGGTGGATGCCTGAAACTGCAGAGAGCACCAAACCCTATGTATACTACATTTTTTTCTTGTATACACATGGCTATGGTAAGGTTTAATGTATAAATTAGGCATAGTAAGTGATTAACAGCAATAACTAATAATAAAATAGAACAATTATAACAATATACTTCAATAAAAGTTATGTGAATGTGATTTCTGTCTTGCTCTCTCAAAATATCTTATCGTATGGAATATTTTCGGACCATGATTGGCTATAAGAAACTGAAACTGCAGAAAACAAAACCTCAAATAAAGGGGGATTACTGCACATAAAAAAGAGCAGGATTATTATTTAAATATATATTGCCTATATAAACTGTCATAAAGCACCAAAATGGGTAGGCTAGTGGATGAGATATAAGACAGCACAGGCTAAGTTATTGGTTGATGATAATGTAACAAGCATAGCAAGTCTTAGAGAATGGTGACATTGGTATGGGCAGGATTTGCTTGAGAAGATTTCTCACAGGACCTAGAACATATTATTGTTTACCTTTTAATTAGTACTAGTGACCATTTATTGAGCATAGACCTTATCTTAGACATGTAAGTATATATTGGCAGGGTAATTCTCGCATACGCTTCCATAATGGAGCTTCAACTTGATTTTCTAGTCTTAGTTGTTTCCTGGTTGATATTGTTTGGCTGTGTCCCCACCCAAATCTCACCTTGAATTGTAGCTTCCATGATTCCCATGTGTTGTGGGAGGGACCTGGTGGGAGATAATTGAATCATGAGGGCAGTTTCCTCCAAACCGTTCTCGTGGTAGTAAATTAAGTCTCATGAGATCTGATGGTTTTATAAGGGGTTTCCTCTTTCACTTGGTTCTCATTCTCTCTTGCCTGCTGCTGTGTAAGATTTGCAGTTTGCCTTCTGCCATGATTGTGAAGCCTCCCCAACCACGTGGAGCTGTGAGTCCATTAAATCTCTTTTTCTTTATAAATTACCCAGTCTTAGATATGTCTTCATCAGTGGTGTGAAAACGGATGAATATACTGGTTTCCTTTGCATCTCTATGCTCCCACTAATCTTTACTGCCCACCACTTTTTCAACAAGTGAGGAATCTGAGGCTCAGAAAGAATGAGTGATATGCCCAATGTCTCAGGGCTAGTAAGTAGTTGATGTGGAATCCCTACCCAAATCATCTGACTCCAGGACACAGACACTTATAATTTGTTTCTGTTTGTCATCTCTGCCTAGGTATGTGTATATCAGCATAGATGTCTCCCAAGATATATTATACATGCCAGGTCGGAGGAAAGCACTAGTACATACCTACAGGTGGGAGTGAGAAAGGGTTGTGGTACTGGGTTAGGGAACATCTGGATGGAACAGAGTAGGGTGAATTAATATTGGGGGATAGTGGTAAAGATAAGACGCATCTTAAAGATGAGTATTAATAAAAGCTGCCATATGCTATGTCTTGTAATTATCCTTGTTTTACACACATGTCAATGGAGATGCCCAAGATTGTAGTAGCAAATGGATGCGCTGAGGTGTGAACCCAGACCTAACTACTTGTATGATCTTCACTAACATCTCACCTGCCACTCCTGAGTTGAGATACGAAGTGGTAAAATTTTACCACTTACAGAGTTTATCTTCACTCCCTCTGTCTTATTTTTCTTCTTATTCTCCCCTAAATCTTCTAATTACATCCTAATTACTTGCTCTCATTTTCTGTTTCTCTTTTCCCTTGTTACTCATTCTCTCCTGCCTGCTTCTGTCCTTCCCCTCTGTTTGCTGAAAGTTAGGCTGGATTTTGAATGCTTATCCTTGGGAATGTTTTTCTAAATTGCATTTAAATTAGGCATTTCATTTATGAATTGTGTTCTCTTTAAAGGAGTTAATGGCATGTGAGTTATCATCTTTTTCTTCTCAGATTAGTCTTTTTTTTTTTTTAAAGCATCATCAAAATATGTACAAGAAAGGGTAATTATTCAACTCAAACTATAATTGTGTCTAATTGACACTCCAGAAATATCCTTCCTAGTAACATCTGAAACAATTTATTAAGATTTTTTTGAACATTGATTCACAGCTAGTATCTCAATTGTAGCACTGAAAAGGCTCTTGATAATTTTGCTATTACAAAATGCATGTTCCATGGAGAGGTTGCGTATCATTTCTCAAACACTATGAGGCAAACTCTTAAGCAAGCCCTAATATCTGGCAGGAAATTGGGCTTACTGACCATTAGCCAAATGGCTGTCTGCCTTTAAGATTTGGCAGTGAACTCAATATTGGCAGGTTAGTGGGGAATGGGTGTTAGAATTACATATTATGGGTACTCTGTGTTCTTTCTCTTAGTCCATGGTAATTTCCATCTTCCCAGCCTCCCCATGTTGAGCTCTCAGTTATCCTTGACTCCCCCTTTCCTGCTGTGTGCACATTCAATCATGGCCCAATTCTGCAACTTCTTTCACACCTCTTTCAACTATCACTGTACCAGTCAAAGCTCACTTATGTCTCACATGGCTGACGTGATACCTACTGCCTACTGTCTTCCTGCCTTCCAGTTTTCATTCCTCCAGTGTAGTGTGCACACTGCTGTTAGGGGGAACTTCCCAAGTCACAGCAGGAGTCAAACCAGTCTCCTCCTCCAAGTCCTTCAATGCCCTCTATTGTTGGGAATACTTAGCAAGGCACCAAAGATTCTGCAATGGGGCTTTGACTTGGTTTTCCAGCCGTAGTTATTTCCTGGTTTCCTTTATACCTCTATGCTCCTGCCAGTCTCCACTGCCCACTGTTGTGAGAACACTCCCTGGGCCATTACTTCTCCCATTCTCTGCACCTAGAGTCTCCTCCCACGGCTATTTCTACTCCCACTCTCCATCCTTTCAAGCCCACCTGGGCTTTGACTCCTATCACGAAGGTTTCTATGATTCAGCCTCCAGTTGGAGGTGTTCTTTCTCTTTATTCTCCAGGTTCCAAAAGCAATGCCCATTTTTACCTTCCTTTGAGCTTTTCTCTCTCTCTCTAGAAAATAAATGGCTTGAGGATTGGGATTATAATAACAGTTTTACAGGCAATAACTTATTCAGTCCCTTAAGCTTTATGAAGAAGGGACACATTCCCTTTTATAGATGAGAATGCTAAGGCCCAGGCAGGTAAAATCACCTTGCCCAAAGCCATACATCTAAAGAGGGGCAGAACGGAGCTTCAGATTTAGGAGTCTTGGCCCCAGGATCTTTTTCGTTTGCTTAACCACTACACTCATCAGCCTCTCTGACCACCTTATATCCACGTCTGCCCCATAGCTTCTAACACAGCTCCTCGCGCATAGTGGGTAATCAGGATAGGTAGGTTTTCAAAACTGAATTGAATTACACTGATTTAATTAGCTCTGGAAGAAACCTCGCCAATCTGAGGATATAAAATGTTAACACTTAATTCCTTTCTCCAGCACTCATCTAATTACTTAGAACCATGGCTATCAATATAGCTGTGAGAGGCACCAGAAAAATATGCAGTAGCTTAAATGAGAACTATGTATATTTTATGTCTGTTCCAAAGCAACACTTACCACACCTCTGGGAGCTCCTGGGCATGGGTCTGAATATAAATAGGCACACTTATTGTTTTATTCAAATTAGTTGGTATGACACTGAGCCCTGTACTGATTTGTCCTGGGGCAAATATGATTTGAGCAGCCTCACAAAGTATTCATAGAAGACTTTGCAGCAACAGAAAAGATACTGAATTCTTTGTCAATGAGGTGTGTCCAACAGTACTATCACATTTGGGGTGTGGGTGTGGTTGGGTAGACACTGCAACATCACAATTGTTCTCACTCTATAGGTGTACCTGTTGGATCACATGTTTGGCATTTGCAGTATCTATATATCTATGTCTATATCTATATTATATTTATATCTATCTCTATATCTGTATCTATATGTATCTATATCTATACCTATATCCATATTCATTACCCCTTTCAGATCTATAACTTGTTCTCTGACATTTATGACCTTTCTGAAGGATCTGCTTAAAAAGTATCTTTATATTGTGACTACTGTTGTCTTGATCTGTTCTCTGGTTTTTCAGCAGTCCACAATAATGCTAGGACTTGCCAGGTTTCTCCTTATCTTACTTAAGTTTACCCTGTTTCATTTGGCCATAATTGACATAATATATAGTTTGACATATCCCGTTTTTCTGAAGTATGTCCTATGGCAGAGATATGGAAAAGCCAAAGGTGTTTTGATGTTGGATCATCTTGGCTTTAGTCTCGATTCTGTCACTGCCTCTGAAGCCCAGGCATGCTACCCTACTTCTTTGGGCTTCTTTCCTCATCCTTCGAATGGAGATGGTAGCACCTGTGAGGATCAAATGAGTGAATGTGGAGTGTGTTCTTAGTCAGTACTGGATCCCTCCCTTGCCTCTTTTCTCTCTACCCCTCTTGTTCCTGTGCAGGCAACATGCACTCACAATAGCATGTATGGGTGGGGGTGTGGCAGAAGACAAGTCTCTAAAGGGAGGCAGAGGACAGGTGGCGAATGTCTATGTCAAGGACTTTGGACTTTATCCTAAATGGAAATAGCAGTCACTGAAGAGTTAAAAGCAGGGAAGTGGCATGGTTAATCAGATTTGCGTATCAGAAGAGTTATCCTCTTATGGTAGAGAACAGATTAGGTCAGTTCTCCTGGTCTGACCTGTATTGCTGCCCCAGGAGTGCAGTTGTTAAAGACAAATTCTCTCCACACCCTGCACTGAATTAAATGTTTTGGGCTTGGGGATCTACATTTGATAAAATATGAAGATTAGTTTTAGGCTTTTTTCGATTTTAGGAGAAGGCAAGGCTGGAGGCAGAGAGAAAGGTGGTTACTGTTCATGTGAAAATTAACAAAAGCTTGAATGAAAGCTGTGGAAAAGGTATAGAGTAATTTGAGATATTTACATGGTAAAACCTGCAGCATGTCTGCTCAGTGGTATTTAAAAGGTGTAGGAGAGAGCAGAATCCAGATGATAACTCGTTTCTGGCTTGGGTCATTAGGAGAATGATGAGGCCATTAATAGAAAACTCGAGAAAAGAAGGAGGAGCAGGTTGTGGGATGAGAAGGGTGAGCTCAGTTTCTGGCATGTTTTGGGGTGACTATAGGTTACCACCAAAAATGCCTTGTAGGTAGGTGGATTTGTGGAAGTGGCATCAGGAGAGACGTTTGACCTGCAGATGCAGAGTGGAAATTCTTGGTAGTTAGAAGGCATAATTTAGAGGTGTACCCCCAGGGAGCCGGACTAAAGGACCAATGCAGTGCCCTGGGGACACCAGCGCTCAAGGGACAAGAAAGGGCAGAGGAGCCACAAAGGTGGCTGAGAAGGAGAACACAGGGAGAAAAATACTCAATGCTTTTGGGGGGTACTTTTTTGAATATCTGCAGAAAGCTTACTGAACAAAATGATATTGGGTGCAGAAGATACATACTTTAAAAGAATGGGAAAATAATTTGGGTTTGATGATCAGTATAGGCATAATGTGTTAAAACCTCAGGAGAAAACCAAAGGTCTTTACAGAACGTCTTAAAAGGCAGAGTTTAAAATTTCCCTTTTATTTCTTAAATACCATTGCTTCTGGTGCCCTTTTTTTTGGGTTGTGAAATTGAGGTGGGAAGGGCAAAAGATCTGTGAGACTCAAGTTTAAAATGAGCAAAGCTGGGACTTCGGCCAAGGTCTTTTGATTCCAAGGCTGATAGCCTTGCTCTCTGTGAAAATACCAATGCATGCCATTGCAGATTCAGTTGCAGTCACATGGTACATGTTGGCAAAGTTTTTAGCCCCAGTGGAGGGGAGGAAGGAGCACTGAATGAGAGGTCAGCACTCCAGGCTTCAGGCTTCACACTGCTCTTGTTAACTTCCATGTCTTTTTGTTTTAGATCTTGAAGATATAAACCTTTTGCCATGTAAATGTGAAGGAGGAAAAAAATGGAAGAGAATCTACGATTTTAAAAGGCATATTTTAGTGGGTTACAATATGTTATAATTGATATTTCTTACTGGCCTAAAAACAACACTAAAATAATCCTGAAGAGCAGAGTAGCTGTAAAAAAAAATCGCAATAAAAAAATCCTCCCATAATAAGCTAAAATGCAACCTGCATCATGAGATATTTGCTAAATTGGCATCTTAATATAAATTTATAATCTCATCTGGGATAAATATTATACCTGAACTAAGTCTAGTTTGATTACCTTCAAGTTCCCAAGAGTTCCAGCTATTTGTGTTATTTATATTCAACTGTAGGACAATATGCTGATATGAATGACTGGGTTATTATACATTAGAATAATAATTGTTATTTTATGAAGTCTTATATAGTATTTTTTCATATAAAAAGTGTTTTCTTGTATATTACATTATTTGCACAATTCTGAGTTGTGTTGTATCCAACTCAGAGATGTAGAACCTACACACGCTAGTGCTTCTCAGATTTATTGCACATAAGAATCACCTGGGGATCTTGTTAAACTGCTGCTTCTGGTTCAGGAATTCTGGGATGGGGCCAGTTGTTTGTGTTTTCACAAGCTCCCAAGTAATGCGGATGCTGCTAGTTTGTGGGCCACACTTTGAGTGGCAAGAACCTAGTCCACATTTAACTCCTGTACTAATACATACTATACCTTTTTGTGACTCTCAATTTCTAAGAAAGAGCATAGCAAGTTTTTCTCCTACATGACATTTTTAAATGGTAGATAGGACACAAGCATTGGGTGGATGCCATACCCACTAGCTACCAGCTGAGGGTCGTGGAAAAATGACCTTTCTTTGCCCTTTCCCATTTTCAGAGTTGGTGAGGGGATCAAATAAGTCATTTTATGTTAATGTGCTTCATAAAGACTTGCTGCTATTTATCATACTTTGTGTTTACCTACAAGATTCCCTCCAAGTTCATAGATTCATAATTCTCTTATTTGTTAAGACTGAGCTTTGCTTTGGCCTTTTAAGTATTTGATCTAATTGGTAACAGTGATGATCTTTATTTTGCTAAGCTAAGGATGTTGAAAAAAATTTATGAAGTGAGAAGAGAACTGGTGAATGGAATCTGACTCGCATGAAGAGCTATGTGAGGGTATTAATGGAAGAAGTGGGGGCAATCTCTAGGTGGGTGAGTTACTCAGGTGGCAACATTCATTAAATTCTCCTGTGCCTCCCTAATATTTTCCACCAAGAAAATGATTTCTCCTTTCTTTCAACACTTATTCCAGTAATGGTTGCACGACACATAACTTACTTGAAATTACATAGGGTCCCATAGAATCCTTTGTAATATCAATCATTTAAAACTTTTGTTGCTTTCAAAATTTAGCTTTTTAAATTTTAATGGGTTGATATATTATTTTTACAAATCTTATAGATTTCAAAACTCATGAAGGTGGGGATTACATCTCCACATGACTTAAAACATAGTAGGTGCTTAGTAGTTATTGGTTGCCTTGAGCTGACTTCCATTAGAGTTAAAAAGCTCCCGTTTAAAAATAGTAAATTATTTATGGGAGCATAAATTCCCCTAAGGGTAAATTACTGTTCTTCACTTAGGTAATCAGATTGATACCTTAATGAGAGTTGCAGCACTGAAGAGATGGGAGGTTTAATTCTTACAAGGGGAATACAATGATTTTTTTTTTTAAAGTAGGCTTGAGGATGTAGCAATATGCCGTAAGTGTTAACTGTGAAGTAAGCAAGTACTGGATACTTTATCTCACTTAACTTGATCTCAGTAATGCTCTTCCTATTATACTTTACATTTTACCTACTTACTCTTGGGGTAAATGATGTTTTTAAAAAATCATAAAAAATACAGTTCTAATACCTGACATGTACTAAGTTTTCAGAACTATTTGTTTGATGAATAAATGAGTGACTTTTTAATCTATAGGTTGGGAGATTGAGAAGCAGCAAATTTAAGTGAATTACCCAAGATCACCCAAGCAATGATTGACTGGATTGGGTTCAAACTCATGTTATATGTCTCCAAATCCAATCCACTTTTTACTTCTTTATAGTAAGTCAAGAACTTTGGACATCCAACTAAAGCAAATCCATCCCTGGGTAAAGAAAAGGAGGTTTGGAAGGAAATAAACTTGATTGACATTGTAATTCTGCCTGAGGCTCAGGGGAGCTTCCAAAACTCATTACCTCTGCCACATTTGTGGCTGCCATAGAGTGCCAATACCTGCATTATTCAAATTCATCTGACAGACTTTAGAACCTTGGGTCACCCAATTTTTGAATTTGAAACAAGTCCCTGTAGATTGCTCTAGTATGGCTCTGTTCAGTGCTTATCCTTCCACACTGAATGGAGGAAAAGCGGGTCAATAAAAAAGAAAGAAAAAATGGAAAAAGAAAGAAGTGAAAGGGAATGTCTATAGCCAACAAATTATGTCATACAATTAAATTTATATATTTTTATTTCCACTAGACTTTATGTTACTTACTCTGCACTAAGGATAACAGACATTCTCCTTTGTGTGCATACTCATAATGCACACACCATTATCCACCTCTACAGACTCAGGTTGTTTAGGGATGCCCTTTCGAAGGAAGGCTCTGGAAATGTCTCAGAGCTGCTGTAGTGTGCTTGTCTACCTGTGCACCATTGCCTCGGATAAAGACATCTCTCTGCCATCACAGGGCCCTCAACTCACCCAATTCGTCTATAGTTTCCATGACTTGCAGTGTTTGGTGGATCCTTCTATTTTTGCTTTTCAAACACCAGAGAAAACACTGTTGAGCTCAAATAACCATTCGAATTTACTGTATGGAAAAAGCATTCTGGTTTATCAGGGCCCTTCGCATGTCAGCTTCTGTAGTGTCCTGCTCACTTACAAGAGAAGCCACAGAGGGATTCGGAAAACATAACAACAGCATAGCTCTCAGTGTAGTGTCAAGGGGGACAGATATAAAAGGTCTTAACATTTCTCTGTTGTTCAGTTTATAACAGATCTTTTCCAGTTATGATAAAAATGTGGTTTTCATAGAGAATAGCTCATCCAATTATTTCAGCTTTTTGATATACATATTTCTGCTGCCTGCCTTCCTTAAATGTCCTCATTTCTTGATATATTTCATTTTCACAAAGGTATTCTAGGTGTAAAAAAGTCAGCATTAGACCATTCAGTAAGCTTGGATTCCACACCTGCCTCTACCTCACTTCATGGAAATGCTCTTTATCTTGGTGTCTGACTTATCTATAACTATGTGGCTCCATCCATAAGGCCAGGCAGCTTTAGTTTCCTTATGTTATAAAATGAGCTATCATAAGAATATATTTCAAAATGCTCAGAGCTTTCTGGAGAGTGAGCAAACTAGGAGGGAAATTTATATTTGGACAGTTTTACCTTATGCCTTCAGAAAGAGAAGCTACCAACAGAACACCAAGGTCTCAGTGATATGCTTTACAGGTGCTTCTTGTCAAATTGTCTTCATTCGTTTATTTACTCATTCAATAAACATATATATATATATATACTGCTGATCTCTCTCTTTCTGCTTCATTTGATCCTACTTATTCTTTGTGTTTCAACTTAGATATCTCTTCTTCTAGGGAAAAATATCCCTAATCCATGCTGGTCCCAAAGTGTAGTTTTAAGAGCAGCAGCTAAACCACATTTATTAGGAGCGTGGATATCAAAGAATGCTTCCTATCAGAAGGGAGAAAAAGAAAAAGAAAGAGGACAGAGAGCAGAGAAAGAAAAATGTTGCAGGTGGAGAGGATAAAAGACATCAAATAAGAAAAGTATATTGCATTTAAGGAGCTAAGAATATCCCAGTACTTCTGGGGAAGGAGGTAGGTTGAGGTGAGAAATGAAGCTGGAAGGTCAGCAGGAGTCAGAACAAGAAGGGGTTTGGAAGACACACTAAAAAGCTGAGACTTCAAAGCTAACTAAAGAGAAAGATGGTCAGATTTGTGACAGCAAATGCTCACGCTGGCTGCAAATTGAAGAGTGGGCTAGAAGGACAAGGGGGGAAAAGGATATCAGTCCTTGCTGCAATAATACAGGCAAGAAATGATGGTGGGGTAAATTAGGCAAATAGAATTAAGTGGACCAGTTCCAGAGATGCTAAGGAAACATGATTGACTGGAAGTGATTGGCTGGATTTGTGTAGGAAGGGAAGAGGGCACCTGGATGCATCCGCCTTTAATACTTGAGCAACTTAGAGGCAGATGGCACTGTTCTCTGAGATAAGGGGCACCAAGAAGGGCTTGGTTGGGAGGATTGGGAAGGAAGTTCATGATACAGAGTGTTTGGGACTCCAAACTCCATGTGCTTCCTGTTATCCTGGCCTATACCTTTTTTCCTGAGGTGACTGGGAACAGGGCAGCATGCTGAGTGATGCGACACCAGAAAAATGGTGAAGATACCATTCCAGTCTCAGAGATTCAGTCTAGTGTGGACAGAAAACACCCTCAAAAAAGTCAAACAGGAGATAGAACGTGCGAAGTGTGTGAAGTGCCATGGTCAAACTACAAGGTACACTGGGAGGGGGTGACTGCTTCTGCAGGTTTGGCCAACTGGGATGTATTAACCCTTCCTGTATTTCTTCTCTGTGGGTCAAGGAGGCTAAGACCTTGTTAGCCTCTGACTAAGCATTTTTCTCTAGGATTCTGAGTAAAAATCGAGGCTCAGACTTACAGGGCTTGGTCCTCTTATTAGGAAACATCACGATTCCAAATATGATAACTTACTCATGACATTCTGACCCTCATTGTGGGCTCTGTTTCACCAGAAGTCCCTCTTCTTCTAACTGTTCTGCATGGATGTTCAATGCTCTACAAGGTTTGGACTGTAGCAGTTCATACTATCGCACTTAAGTTATGTTCTAAAGGCACACAAGGCATATGTGAACACCATCACACTGAGAGAATGCTTTGGACCCAAGTTCTGTCTTTACTGACATTAGTAAGACTTTTCTGGTGCCAATAATATCCTTTCTCACAGCTTTTCCTGGGGACAAGCAGGCCATCTGAGCTGGCATTCCAGATGCCTGCTTTGCAGTCGGTATCTCCATTGTGTCCTCTTGGGGGACTTCGGGGCTCTCTTTGTTCATTTTGTTTTCTTCCATTCATCTACCCAAATGTTTTCAGTACTTACACTGTCCATGGATTTGGGAAGGGAGGCACACAAAGATGACTAAAATGCTATTTCAGCTGCCATAAAAAATGTGAGAAATCAGGCATGTAGAAAAGAGACCATGAAAAAGGGAATGTGTTTTGCAAATTCCAGGATCTGTAAGCCGAGTCCAAGTCCTAAGATCTGAAAGCATAAACTGAATGGTTAGAAGTAGTGAAATTTCTGTTTACTCAATTTTTGTGTGTGTGTATGTGTGTTAGGCATCATGCTAAGTTTCACTCACATATCATCTCCATTGACTACACAGTAAACATTAAATATATTTTATCTCCATTTTATAGATGAGGTCATTGAAACTCTAAGAGGTTAAATCCCTACCCAAAGTTCACAAAGCCAGGGAGTAAACTCAAAACTAATCTCATTGACAACTTGTTCTCTTAACCTCTCCTCTATCCTTCCCACCATCAAACATCATTAGTGCTTCTGCTTTATTTTCTCTTTGTATGGGCAAAACAAATAATAATAATAATAATAACATTTGAAAAATCACTGGATATAGATGCCTAAACTAGAATGTCAAAATAACATGTAATGGTCGCTACAGTTTCAAGTAAATATTTCTATCTAATGTTTACATCCTACAGTAGAAATCTGTCAGTTAAATTAAATTGCAGTTGTCTTTGACTTGCAAAATAATATCTTATATTTCCATTGAATCTATTAGCTGAATCAACTTATTTTACTTCTATAATTCAATGTAACATGTTTCTTTCCATTTGCTATCCTCAGGACACCCTTGTAAACAAGATGTTTCCTGTAATGAGTTTTTCCTGGTAAAAATCATTTAATAAGCAAATATCTCCAATCCCTGGTAATATGTGCTGACAGCCTCCTAACCATATTTGAAATATGAAAGCAGTGTTTCCAAGATGACTCAAGCCAATTGCTTTAATACTTCAATAAAAATAACTGCTATTAGAAGGCTCGATACTGAAGGCACATAATTTCAATCCTGGTTCATAAAATTTAATTTGGATTTATTTCAGGATAATGATCATTGAGAAAAGCAAGTATTGAAATGGTTGGACACATGGGTAAGGACCACTAATCTCCTCTGAGAGATTGCTGGGCTCCAGCAGGGTAGCTGGCAATATATATACACACACCATTAATTATTTGCTGGAATATTTTCTGTGACATTGGTCTCAAGGTGCTCTGCTCAAATACTCTACCTCAGCAGAATCCCTGCCACAGAGTACTTGAGTAAAATAACTTTACATCAAACTGGATTCTCTTTGGCTCTGACCACATGACCAGGTTTCATGGGTCCACTTTTTTTCCTATATCTTATATAACTTTTATGATAAATGAGTACAATTCCAGTGATCTACAAGAATGTTATGAGTAAAAATGTGGAGCATGTATTCACTTAGAACACATGTGGAAGGGCTCTTTAATGTAGTGTTGTCTATGCCTCCCAGCTTACAGATGAGACAACCAGAGTTCTGGAATAAATGACTTGCCCAGGGTCACAGAGCCAGGGCCTCAGGGTAAGTGATCTGATCTTTGGTCCAGTGTCAGTTCAGTGTGCCACACTTTTTACACTAAACCAGAAGGAAGAGGCATTGGTTAATCATGATAACAACAACAGTTTATGCTTATTTTAAGTTTGGTAAGCATGGTATATGCATCATCTTACTCAACCTTCAAAACAATGCTACAACTCATACTTTATTTATGAGAAAATGGAGGCTTAGAGCATTGAGATAACTTGCTAAAGCTCATTCAGCTAGTGAGTGGTAGCCCTGAGATTTGACCCAGGCTATAGAGCCTAACATCCTGTAATGATGATGCCAAGCTGAAATTATCAAGCAAGGTGTTTGGAGTACCCGTATATGCATCTAACAGAGGTGACAGGAAAAGCAAAATCTTTCTATGTGCAAAGAATTAAGAAAATAAGGAGAGTTGAGATAGGAAAGACAGAATCAGGAGATAGGAAAATGAAGGACTTAAGAGGCTAAGAGGGGGAAATTATTTTTTGACCTGCAAATGATCTTTATAATCACTTCAATTTTCTAGTTTATTTTAGTCAGGGTCATCTGGCATTGGTCATTCTGTATTTTAAATTTAGTAGTACCCACAATTCTCAATATTCACTTTTAAAGCATACACTGATTTTAGGAAATCCAAGGTAATAACCTGCCTTTAGTGGGAGTGAAATGAACATTAGAAGCAGATTTCAAGAACAAATGAAAAATTCCCTTGCAGTATTTTATTGCTTTTCTGTTAACAGTGGAAATATATAAACCTATTTCTTTATTCAGCAAATTCAAACATGCATTGCTAGAATGTAATGTTAAAATAATTATCAACGCTCATTTTATCCCCAAGTTATCTAAATGCTTTCGGATCTGGTCAATCACATAATTAATATATTTCTAAGAAATTGCCTTTTGGTATCACTTTTGATATACAACAACTGGTATGGGACTTTCCATCTGCAAAGTGTTATATGATCTCTCTTTTTAAATCTTGTGAGGTATGTCATCAAGGAGTTGATTTATGATCCTGGTTCAGTAACCTTGGACATGTCTCTATCTTGCACATTATTGATAAAATGATTCAATGTTTGCAACCTGAGATTTGAAAAACACTGCTATCTGGAAACCTGAAAAAGATTGTTTTTGAACGCTATAATTGGTCCAAGGATGAAAAAAGACAGGCATTTTTCATAAGTTCAATTTTGCCATAGTCCCAAGTTGGTAAAAGGTATTAATAATAATTGTTGAAGGTAAATTATCTTCTCAAGGTCTGGAGATAAATACTTGATTGGTGAGACTGTCCTAGATAGTAAATTACAACTGTGTCTAGAGGAAGTCACACAACTTGTTTTTTTTTCTTTTATTTTCTATTTTTAATATAGTGGTTGGTGGGTGTAAGTCAATTCAGAACAACATATATTGCACATCTACAATGCACCAGGCACCCTGCTGAGTGTTCAGGATACAAAGGTGGATAACATGAAGACTCCACCTTCAAGGATCTCACAGTATCAAAGGTGAAAATAGCATGTGACATGATTATGGATCACACTGCGAGCTTCCACAAAGCAGAAATATCAGAAAACATGCATTCTTGCATAAGTTTACGCAGTTTTGAATGAATGTCATTGGTTACTTGCTCATTTAAATTATTCATCTGATCCTTTTATGAGCATTTAATAAGTTCTAAATAAAATCTTAGCTCAGACTTCTTTCATTGCAGACACAGAGAAGTCCATTTGATCCTCCTGTCACCTGTCCAGTTGCAGCTTAATACTGATTTTCTCTACCCAAACCTCCAGATTGGGTTAGTTGCTTCATGCTTCATGTTCACTCAACCTTTTGTTTATACATTCACCATAACACATGTTCCCTTCTGTTAAATTACATATTCACTTATTTATAAGTATGACTCCTTTAATCAGTATCTCCTAGAGCTTAGGGTCCGCTCATCTTTGAATTCCCCCATACTTGGAAAAGTTCACACATTTATGGGAACACGTCATAACAGTTTACTGAATTAATGAGTAAGTTACTTAATGTAGAATCATCTGGACATAACTTCTCATATATACAAAGCTTACACTTCTCATGCTACCATTTTTTTTCTTTTTCAACTTTTATTTTAGATTCTGGGGGTACACATATGAGACTTTAAGCAAATCAGTTAATCTCTTTGGTTTTTAATTCCCAAACAAATATCAATATATTGAAGTAGCTAGGCTATATGACTGCTGACATTCCTACTTATTCTAAAATAAAATTATTTGGACACTTTACCATTGGCCTATTGGAAAAGGCCTAATGGATAAGGATATAATTTGACCCTAAATTGATAAGTTTCAATAAAGTCAAAACATTATACTAATGTAAAAAATAATGACAACAAATGCAATAATGAGTCTTACCATGTAGAAGGTGCTTTATATAGAATGTTAGGTAAATGGCCAAGTATAGATTTTAATATATTTTATCCATCCATCCATTCATCATCCGTCCATCCATCCATCCATCCATCCATCCATCCATCCACCCATCCATCCAGTCATTTAATAAATATTTGTTGAGTGTTTGCTAGGTGCTAGGCATTGCTCTAGGCAGTAAGCAAGAAAAAATAAAATCTAGGACTCCTAAAGAACTTACTCTCTAATCAATATTTCAAACTCTGTGCTTTTGCCCATAAGCAATAAGGTCTCCAAAGTTTTGTTAATAACTTTAGTAATATAAATATTTGATTCCCCTGTTTAACTAGGGCCTGGTTCCTAAAGATTTTCATTATATAAATTTAAATGTATAAAATTTTTCATAAAAGCAGGTATTCTAATGCTCTGCTCCATATTTTAAGAACTGCTAAAATTCTTTATTCTTATTCCAGGCAGTAAGAATATTAACTTCAGTTGGGCATTATCTTTCTATCCTCAAAGATCACTCTGAATTACACCAAATTAAATAGATTTAGGAATAAAAGAACAAATTATCTATTTTTGTTTGCATGTCAGGAACAGGTATTTTAGACAAGTCTTTGTAAAATAAAAGTATATCCTTTAGTTAAACTAGTGTTTGCACACAGATATCCCTCTCTCTCTCTGTCTTATACACACACACACACACACACACACACATACACACACACTCCCAAAGAATGATCTTTTCCTACAAAGGAACTAAGAACTGAACAGATAAGCTTGGAATTATTAGTCTTGAAAAATGGGTGTTCCATTTCTGGTGTGTGTGTGTGTGTGTGTGTGTGTGTGTGTGTGTGTGTTTTAAAAGCACCTAAGAGGCAAAGAGTAGAGGCCAGGTTGTACGAATGGACAGCAGCCATCATGGACCATTCATGGAAGTAAATCCACACTGCGTATATTTTGGGGTCATGAATTGGAAAAAGATAATGACTGTTCACTCTTTTATTAAAAAACAATATGGTCTCCATTTCAACCCTGATGTTACAGACCCTGCCCTCTGTGGTTACAGGTACTTGCTTGCTGCTGGGTGACTCTCAGTCTTTTTCTTACATATGCAAATAGGACAACAGCGCTATTAAAAAAGAGTGTGCGACAGAGGCTGGATACTTTTGTAATGATAATGCAATCCTGTCTCCTTCAGGAAACGTCTTCTTTTCACCATTAGGACAAAATCAAACGTTTAACAACTTCGCTTCAGTGAAAACAAAATATGCGCCTATAAAGCTATAATGTGTTGAAACCACGTGACAATCGCTGATGTCCAGATCAAGTTAGCCTTACTTTCAATTGCTATAATTTTATTTATTTATTAATTTTTGAGAAGATCTCACTGTCACCCAGGCTGGAGTGTAGTGGAGTGATCATGGCTAACTGCAGCCTGGACTTCCCAGGCTCAGAATTGCTCAAGCAATTCTCCCATCTTAGCCTCCCAGGTAGCTGGGACTACAGGTGCACGCCTGGCTAATTTTTGTATTTTTTTGTAAAGATGGGGTTTTGCCATGTTGCCCAGTCTCATTTCAAACTTGTGGGCTCAAACGATCCACCCACCTTGGCCTCCAAAGTGCAGGGATTATAGGCATGAGCCACTGTGCCCAGCTGCTATCCCTTTATACTCTCTTTCAGGCTGGAATGGGAACCACATAAATGGCATCTTTCTGCATTTTCTGATTTCATAATACAAAGTTAATAATCAGGTATCTGAGAAGAATGTCATGATTCTAAAGAGTGACAAAAAATTTAATATGATTTTTGACTATCATATTAAAAATCTAGATTCTAGAAATCAAATACTTTGGAAAGATAACACTGCCTATATAGAAATACTCTCTGTCAAAACCTTCAAATAAGTCTGAATTAAAACTGAAATAAAACCTATGAATGATTCTCTCACACTAAACCATTTCTCTTTTTGCTGGTAATAAAAAGTCCAACGAAAAATAACACAGCTAAACTTCCTACAAAGTACTACAAAGGGAGACAATCTCACCTAATCTTGAAAATAAACTAATGAGAAATATTAATTATATTTTGTTGTTTTTATATATCTTTTTTTTTTTCATTAAAAGGTAGCCAGCCATCTGGCTGGGCATGGTGGCTCACGTCTGTAATCCCAGCACTTTGGGAGGCCGAGGCAGGCGGATCATGAGGTCAAGAGATCGAGACCATCTTGACCAACATGGTGAACCCGTCTCTACTAAAAATACAAAAATTAGCTGGGCGTGGTGGCACGTGCCTGTAGTCCCAGCTACTTGGGAGGCTAAGGTGGGAGAATTGCTTGAACCCAGGAGGCAGAGGTTGCTGTAAGCCGCGATCGTGCCACTGCACTCCAGCCTGGTGACAGAGAGAGCCTCAGTCTCAAAAAGAAAAAAAAAAAAAGTAGCCGTCCACGACCAAAATGTTCCTCTCTATCTCTCTCCTATATATACATTTTTTGGGAATATACATCAAGTTATGACTGGGGAAATACTATATTTTATATCTATCTATGTATATTATATATAGATAATATTCTGTAAGCTAAGTATGGGAGGAAAAGCAAGACAACACCCGGTTTCAATAACTCAAAGAAGGCTGTTTTGCTTTGTTTTGTTTTGAAATCCATTCAGCTACATTTAGCTAAAAAGTTCTCTTCTCCATTTAAATATAAGTTGGGTTAGCTGTTTAAAGCAGAATAACTGTTTTTAAAAAAGGAAAATCCTAAAGTATTAAGTGGTGTTAACTGAATTGTGAGATTATGGATAAAGTTTTAATCACACTTTTCAGAACCCTCCAAAAGGTTTACTAGAACGTATACTATTTTCATAGTCATCAAAAGATGTGTGTATGTGTATGGTGATAAGCTATCTGACTTTCCTGTTAAATTAAAATTACCTATTAAATCATGTCATCTATTTTGATACATCACTTCGAAATCTCCCTCTGAACTTGTGGATTTTCTCTCTTATCACTAAACAAGGCCAAAAGAAAATAATAAGTTTTATATATTCTTTAAAATCTCAACAGCCAATTACACACGTGTATATAGGTGTGTATTCTTTTAAATGCGTCTTCACATGGCACATGGACAGATTCTAAATTCCCACCAGAGTTGACCATAAAAGAGCAACAGCAACATGTTCTAGAACACTTAATTTTGAATGATAGTATAGGCAATAGGATATTCAATAAGATTTCAGAAAGAGGATACAGAATCACACACACACACACGGAAAAAAAAAAGGTCAGTTTTCATCCATGTGGTCACACCAACAAGGGAGGGAAGTAAAGGGAAATAAATAGTTTCTAACGAGAATTCTCCAACTGCAATTTAAAACCTGCACCAGAATGGGCAACATGCTAGAAAGAGTGTTTGGTTCTTCCCCTTTATTCAGTGAGTGCATTGAACATCTATTCCTTTGGTTATTCAGTGCATATTCTCAATGAAACTGAGTCTTAGTGAACAGATCATTGTTAAAAAAAATTCTGATTCTTTTCTCCATTTTACATGTTTGAGAGGATAAGTTATTGTCACTTTTCTCTGCTTTAATTTTTCAATTATTAACTAGATATTTGTAAACTTAAAATGTGAAGCTCCCCACCAACTGAACGGACCCCTCTTGGTCAAGGGGGCCCCAGAGAAACCTGAAAAACGAAGTCCTTGGTGGTGATGGAAAGGGAGGTGGGACATGCCTCATGATACCTCCTTCTTGGAGTTTAGGCACAACTGACCAGCATTAATATTAAAATAGAGATCATCAGACTAACGAAATGGACTCTTCATGACACTAAGAGACCGAGTTATAAACAGGACCTAACGCCATGCCAGACAAGGGTTAAGTCACACACCCTTACAAGTCACTCTGTCTCAGTGTATTGGTTAACAGACTTCCTTATATTAAGCATTCTTTTTTGCTGATTCCAAATTTCTAGACAAAGCTTTCCTCCTTTAACCAACTGCAAATTAAAGAATCTCTGAATCCACCTATAAGCCCCCGCTTCAAGATATCCTACCTTTTTGGGCGATACCAATGCATGCCTTCCATGTATTGATTTATATCTTTGCCTGCACGCCTGTCTCCCTGATATGCATAAAACCAAACTGTAACTCACCCACATTGGTGACAATTTCTCAGGACCTCTTCAGACTGTGTTTCCACAGGCCATGGTCATTCCTACTGGCTCAGAATAAGCCTCTTTACATATCTTAAAGAGGTCTTTTGTTTGTTTGTTTTTGTTTTGTTTGCTTATTTTTCCTGTTAACACATGCCTACATCTATTTATATATTACCGTAATATAAATATATATTTATATTATATCATTTGAAAGATTTTTTACTAGCTTTGTTATTTGTCCTTTCCCTTGACAATGTGCAAAGGTGGCACTGGCAGATTTGAAAATGGCTCTGATTTATGAAAGCAAAATCCAAAGAAATGAAAGTTGCTCCTGGTAGCCTCAAACCACGATGCCAGCTTGGAGTTCTGCCTAATTCTATCCTTCCCTCTGGAGGTTTACAATGACCTGGAAGACAGCCATCTAGTTAAAGGAGCCACATTTCTGAATAAAATTGCTGAAGACAGTGCCTTCGGGTCTAAATTTCAATCCCTGCTCTGCTCCATCATTCTTAATTTCTCTGAATTTAAGTTTCCTCATCTGTAAGACAGGGACATTACAGTTCCCAGCTATTTTTGTGAGGATTAACTGAGCCATTGCTTGTGAATGCTTCCAACAGTTCCCAGAACACAATTCATGGAAGACAAATGGGAGTTTCATAATTTTTTCTTTCACTAACAATTTACTACTGGTTCCAATTCTAAACATATTTTAAACATGGCATATGCAACTTTGGTTATCCAGGCCCCCAGTGTCAAACACAAACTAGTTTAGTGTATTGTGAGAGAATTCACATTTACTAATTCAAATTAAAACTAAATGCAAATTGTAGTAGCATAACACACTAATGAACACAGAGGAACTTCCAGTCCCTGCGGTACTACATCTTATGTTATGTAAATACCATTCAAAGGGGTCCCACTCAAAGGTTTGTACTGCACTTGCTTCTTGGCTTGTCTTTTATTTCCTGAATTCCTTGAAGTAATATACTATTCGGTATAATAGACTCTTAACATTCAAAGAAAATTTGATAAAAGGAAAAGAAAAATATAAACCTGAATGGGCTT
Organism: Homo sapiens; assembly: GCF_000001405.40. Classification (NCBI taxonomy): domain Eukaryota; kingdom Metazoa; phylum Chordata; class Mammalia; order Primates; family Hominidae; genus Homo; species Homo sapiens. The sequence continues at coordinate 94,140,047 of NC_000013.11, read as the reverse complement.
ATTAAAAAAAAAAAGAAAAACAATTTTCTCATGATGATATAATGAATGAAAATATAAATTCTCTTTTACATTCTCCTGAGGGTTCTGGGAAGGGGTCAAATAAAAAATAAACATTTCCATAGAAAAAATCAGTAGCTCTTACTATGTGTCAATGTTAACAACAATCAGAAAACAATGTTGTTAAACTGTAGCCCCAGGAAGCTACAGCTGGTGGAATGATCAGATATGACTAAGGAAACAGGCAGGGGTCTTGCTAGTCAGTAGAAGCTGTGTTTGCAGAACATCATCAGAGGAGAATGAACCTCATCATATACCAGCATTACCTAACTCTGTCCAACAGAAAATGAGCAAAAGCAGCAGCCAGAATACAGGAAATAGCACTGATGAGGACCATGGTTAAAGCTAAATGTCTGAGCAATTGCAGACAGGTGGGGTACTGTCTAACTTCCCATCACCTTGATAGGATCCATTTCAGCTATCACAATAAAGGCAAGTCTTTAGATGGATTTGCGCTAGATCTACAAGATACTTGGCAGATGAGGCAGAAGCAAGATGACAGAAGAAATGAGAGATCCAAGGAGCCCCAATCTGGAGATATTTATTTAGCTTCATTTACCTGACAGGTCTCCAATTCCTAAGGTGGGGGAACTGGATATTAATACAGGACAAATACTATAGTTATGCCTGTATGTTCTTTGTAGTTCCTTTCTGAACTGTTGTGTATTTTTTATTTGCATAAATGTATGGGGTATAAGAATAATTTTGTTACATGCATAGTGTATGTAAGGGCTTTTAGGGTACCTATCACCCAAACAAAATACCATTGTTGGCTGCATATGAGTCATGTCATAATGTGGATTTAGCCTTATCTAGTTTACAGGTTTTGCGGGTCCTTCATCATCTGATCCCAGCCTTATCTCCTGTCTATCACCCTCTCCAGCAAATGCATCATGCTTTTTTTTTTCCCCCAGCTAACTCCTACCATATCTTCAAAAGTCAGCTCCAGTGTCATCTCCTGGAAACTGTCTGCCTGGATCTCTTCCCTAAATGGGACAGGCGCCCCTCCTATCTATTCCCTTACCATAATCACATTCCTTATCCCGGTATATAGTAAGTTATCTGGTTTCCTGCCCATTGCCCTAGACGGAGACTTAATTCAGAATGAGGAACATGTCTTTCATCTCTGCAGCCCCTAATGACAGACATTATTGGGTACCTGTTAGGTACTCAGTACAGGAGAGCTTCTGCCATCCTTGTCGCTATTGTCATTGTTACAGGCTGGTGTCTGGCTGTGCTACCCGTAGTGCAAGTTTTCAGCCCTTCCAGAAAATAAAAAATAATGATACCTTAAGTAGGCTTAAGCTTATAGTAAAATTTCACATGGTAAGATCAATAAACGTAAAAATGGCAGATGAGCTTTACTATCTTGACAAGAACATCAGCTCTGAACTAACTGTGTATGTGAGGTTGATGATAAACTTTTGTGGCTGAAAAGATGAAGAAGGTACTTGAAAGTGTCTCAAAGAAGACAAAGCAAACCATCCCACCCAGGTCAAAGTTTATGCCTTTCCTGGAACATGATAAGAGGTGGAATTTATGAAGCATCATAAGTATAAAGACGACTGGAACGATTACAGGAATGGAAGTTCTTTGAGATATAAAGATAAATGAAACAATTTGGTTCAGCAATCTGGTACAAGGGCTGTGAGGTGATTATTAAAGTTTATATAGACAGGGCAAATACAGTTTGAATATCCCTTATCTGAAGTGCTTAGAACCAGAAGTGTTTCAGATTTTGGACTTTTCTGGATTTTGGAATATTTGCATTATACTTAATGGTTGAGCATCCCTAATCCGAAAACCCGAAATCCAAAATGCTCCAATAAGCCTTTCCTTTGAATGTTATGTTGGTACTCAAAATGTTTCAGATTTTGGAGCATTTCATATTTCAGATTTTCATATTTGGGATGCTCAACCTGTACATGTAGATATTTAGCAAACACTATACAATTAGGTCTCAAGAATGCCTCTTAAATATGGAAAGGAGGATTTTGTTTGCTTCTTGTTTTTAAATGAAAGTATTTCTCAAAATGTTGTCCAGGGACCAACTGCATCATTATCACCTAGAAACTTATTAGACATGCAATTTCTAGCCTATCCTAAGTTTATCAGATTAAAAATCTGATGTGGCCCCTCCACCTCCCTTCTTTCAATCTGTGCTCTTAACAAGTCCCCTAGCACTACTGTTTTAGGTTAAAACACTGCACCTGAATAATAGGTCATTTTGCCTTGCTCATTTGCCAAAGTAGCCATTTCTAAGTTAAGGAAGTTTTTAGGTAGGCTCATAGCATTGTATTTCATTTTAGATTGTAAGCTCAATGGCAGGGATACTATATTGATAATTATGTTTTCATATAGCAACCATCACAGTATATTCTTGGTGCTTAATAAATGTTTATAATTGTTAACAACAACAACAACAAAAAATAAGCATCTTCCCTTGTCTCTGCCTGGAAAGTCTTTCTTGCTTTTAGTTGCCTGTTCCAGATCCCACTCCTTAAGGCTCAGCTCAGACCCTATCACTTTGAGAGTCTCTCACCTCTCTATATCCTCATTGCACTCTGCTAGAATTATAGCAATTGCAGCAATTGTCACAAATCCCCTGCCTATTTTCTAAATGTCCCAGCTGGACAAAATTTCACCCTGGGCCCTGTTCTCATCAATAATAGATTGTCTCCACACAGCTTATCCACTCCTTTGGCTTTAATGATCACCCCTCTACTGGCTTCTGAATGTATTTCTCTAGCCAAGATCTTTTCCCCAAACCCTGGAATCATGTATTCAATTGCTGGATATTATCTCCAAGATGTCCTACAGATATGTCATGTACAAGCGATCTAAAATCAAATTTCTCTAACTCCTCAGTTCTCTTTCAATTGATCAACTAGAAATAATTGAGACACTGCCACCTATTAATTTTATTGTGAAAGTCAGAAATTTAGGATATCTTCCATTATTCTTGTCTTTTCTCCTTTGCCCGCAAATCCAATCAGTCATTGAGTCTTACTGATGTAAACTCCTGAAATCTCTCAAATGTCTATACTTCCTACCATCTTTACTCGCCCACTATGGCCACTACCATTTCTTGCCTTGAATCTGTTAATCTCTTCCTATTTTCTCCCTATCTGCAAAGTTAGTGTTTTCTTAATTTCCCAAACTGTTGTCCTGATAATCATTCTGAAACACAATCTCATGGTGCATTCCCTTTTAAAATTCCTTCAATCACTCTACACTGCATTTAGAATTAAAAAGAACAAACTTCTTCTTTTTCTTTTTTTGAGATGGAGTCTCGCTCTGTCGCCCAGGCTGGAGTGCAGTGGCAAGATCTTGGCTCACTGCAAGCTCTGCTTCCCGGGTTCACGCCATTCTCCTGCCTCAGCCTCCCGAGTGGCTGGGACTACAGGCACCCACCACCATACCCAACTAATTTTTTGTATTTTTAGTAGAGACAGGGTTTCACCATGTTAGCCAGGATGGTCTCGATCTCCTGACCTCGTGATCTGCCTGCCTCGGCCTCCCAAAGTGCTGGGATCACAGGCGTGAGCCACCGCGCCCAGCAAAAGAACAAACTTCTTAACACAGCATTCAAGGTCCTTCATATCCAGTCCATGCACACCCTTCTTATCGCCATGCCTGGCCTCTTATCGCCACTCTCTTGTACTGTATTCTCTAGGAACTGCTTGCAGCTCCCCCAAAGACTCTATTTTCCAATCAGTAGTTCACAGAAGTCGGTCCAGTAATTAGTACTAGGTATGAAAAGGATTGCCAGTGAAGTGAAATGAAGAAAAAAAAAAAAAAAAAGATGCTAAACTTATTCAAGTTAAAGAATTGTCCTTTATTCTAAGATTATTCCCTTTTCTACATTCTGGTGTTAATCCTTTGCTTTAAGAAATCATGAAACTAATTGCTTATTTGGAAATGACAATACAATTTGGTTACCTTTTATCCATTTCCTAAATGATTTTTGAAATTTGATTTCTCAATGATAGTCAAAAAACTAGGAAGATCTGCAGGCTGAGAGGTGCTATTCTTCTGCCTGGAAGCTGCTTAACTTCTTTGTCCAGCTAACTTGTAATTTTTCAGGATCTAACTCAAAAATCAACTCTTTCTGAGGGCCCTAAGCTCCTTTCCTGGGTTTCTGTGGCATCCCTGGCCAGTGGTGGCTCAGTGCTTAACCACCTTGCGTTGGAGATGAGCTGTTTGTCTTAGTTTCATGCTATGCTGCAAGCAAGGGCTTCTTTTTCCTAATTTATTGATTCTTGCTAATTCAGTAGTGATTCGATAAATTCCCTTTATAATAAAAAATAGGTACTGGTAATCTGGATTTGGACTGGAGTTATTGGTGTAATGGCTGATGCATTAGCCATGTGGATTTATGTCCTACATGACAGAGACAACCCTGACGGGTGGGTGGGTCATGACTTTTCAACTTTCCATTCCCCTGCAGGTTCTAGCACTGTTCTCTGCCCATTTGGCTCTCAATAAATGCTTCTGAATTAAATTGAAAGTAGAGCCATAAAGAAAATGCAAAATTAAGACACTGAAAAATTAAGATAACACAAGCAAGCTACATGGGGAAAGTCACTTTAGCCAAAAGGCCCTGGACAATTATTTAAAGTAACAAGATTACCTTCAGGGACTTTTTTTTCAAATGCACATATTTAATCATCTAATGTGTAAGTCAAATCTCAGATATAATTAATTCAGTCTGCCTTAACTTTTTTTTTTTTTTTTGCATACTAGCTTACATTAGATAAAGCTAATCTGTAATACAGCTCCGGTAGCCCATGTCTGTAAATGCTAAAAAGAAAGAAAGGAAATTTTGTAGGTGTCCTGTGATTAGGGCACCCTTGGTTTCAGCTAGATAAGTACTATGTCAATGAGTCTCAAAGGGACTTGAGGTCTGTGGCTTCGTAGTCCTTATTTCTGAAGAAAACACTGTTAGATTTTATGAGAGGCAACGGCTATTCTGAAGGTCACATGTGTTAGTGCCAATGTTTCTGTTACGAGTGGGTGACAAGGAGAAGAGGTGATTTCAGACTTTGCTGCTGAACTTTAATTGCTAACTTAAACAACAAATAGATCTTATGTGATTTAGAAGAAGTAAATCATTTGTCTTCAGATTGTGAAAATAAGAGCATTACAGGTGACTTAGACTTTTATAGGAAATCTAGTGAAAAGGATGGGAGGAGTGACCTTAAATAGAAACCCGAAAGTCCTCTTAGAGGAATAGTATGATATTCTGCATATAGATTCCCTACAAAGACCTTAGAAAAAATGCAATACTTAGGTCTCTGCTAAGATGATGAATATGTTTTTTCTCTAAGGGTTATTTAACACATTCCATAATTTTATTATAAATGGTCCAATAAAATGCAACAATAAGTTATGTGCTATATTAGGAGGACACCTCATTTATGAGTAATGTGGTAATTTGTAAAACTAATGGGCACGTTTATGAGCATAAAGTGTTCTAAAGAATAAATAAAATACTTTAATAGGCAAAACTGAGGCATTTAGCATGAGGGGGACACATTCTTCTGGGGGATCTAAATTTCCAGGCAGTTGCCAAATTCTGGAAATGTGGCCCTTCCTAGGATCTATTTGGTTCAAGAGACAGAATAGTACAGTGTAAAGGAGACAATGCTGAACTTGGAGCAGGGGTCTGTGTTATCTTCTGGCACTGCCATTAATTAGGTTTTCTAGGCCCCTACTCCCCATTCATGGGCTGAAGTGGTGATAATGCCCAATCATTAAGGCTCTGTCTAATGCTCACAGCCTTTAACTAAATTTAGTAATTCAGCATTCAAAGGTGAGAATATGAATTCAACCATTTCCAATTTGTCACTGCCTTTATGATAATGAAAAAGAAATCACAGATTAGTTTCAGAAATATTAGCGTTTAACCTCATTGTAGGGTGTGTTGAGCTTTGCAAGCATATCAGCAGTACACATATTTTTGTTGATTTTGCTGTTTTCTTCTGGAATGTTGTTTTCAACTGATGATTAATGTCCTAATAACTTGTTTTTTAGTGTGGCTCTCTGAAAAAAACTAGGCTGTTTTTGTGTATTCATTGTGTGTACCTGTCTTTGGCAGGAGGTGGATCAGTTTTGAGGATGAATATCTCACCTTTGTTATTGCACACAATGGCTCCATTTATGGCTCAAATCTGGCCTCCTGTCTGTGACAGAGGTACTGCTATCAGTAATCCATGAAATGTTTCTTGTTCTTTTAATGAGTTGAACATTCAGCTGAGACCAAAAAAAAAAAAATGCTGTTGTGTTCTTTTTAGGCATACTAAATTCACTTTCTCATCCTCTCCACTTCCAAGTTATATTCATGGAAGGGCACATACCCACAATGTGAAAAAAAGTAAAGCCCTGGATGGTGAAATCATACCTGGAAAGCTGAATTTCTCAGTGCTCTTATTTACCCTATGCTCTCTATTTTCATTTTGCAAAGGGAAACAGAGGTCTTCAGTTATTAAGTTCTGCCAAGATATCTTGTATAATATAAAATGAATACATTCCCTGTTTGTTCTGATTTTTTAATTTGATTTTTTATTTTTTAAGTGGGAAGTTTTTAAGTCATTATATTGTGGCTGTACTTTTTATAATTTGCTATTTCACATCTTATATTTTAAGAGTTAGAATTTTATTTTATTTAGAGCCATGTGTTTTAAAAGCACTTAAGGTTTTTTTTTTTTTTTTTTTTTTTTTGTCACTGGTCAGTACCTGTATGGTGGGCATGTACTTGCTGGTTCACAAACATGGGAATCGAGACAGAGTCATATAGTCGTTGTCTAATTCTTGTTTCTATCTTTTTTCTTAGTGCAGCACCTGACCATCGTAAATACTCAATAACTATCTTCTGAGTGAATGACAGAAAAGACTGCTCTTCTTCCCAGAATGAGAATCAACATTCCATAGGAATAATATTTCAGAAGCTAGACATGCTTTCAAGTTGTCAGTAGATTTTACAATGGCCATACAGGAACATCAAAATCTGATAAAACCTAAAAAACAAAACATTAATATATCTGGAGCCTTATAATTTTTTATTTTTTGCAATTGTCTTCTAATGTATACTGTCTACTATACTTATTAAATGCTAGACTAACTCTGAAATCGTCTTTTAACTTTAGGAAGTCTATCCATGGGCTGGGTCCTGAGGCGGTATTTGGTGGATCCTATTTCAGCATCTGACTCCGTGACCGTGATCTAATCTGAGAAACTAATCAATACCTAGGAGAGAGATAAAATGGCCTTCATGCCAGTTAAATGCTGTGCCTTTCATATAGGCTTCTTGGAGATAATGCTCTAGTCTTTAATGACTAATTTAGATGAGGGAGGTGAGGGCAACTATTAAAGACCCAGGAGGCTGGGGAGGGAATGTTGTACTATTATTTGGCCCATATTTTTGAACAAGGAAGAGATCTTGAGGATTCTTTATTTTCTTCCCTTTAGGAATACAGAAAACAAGTCCACAGGTGGAGAAAATGCCCTGTTCCATGAGGCTACAGCGTCTGTCAGACCACAAGGCTGTGGTCAGGGGTCAGAAGGGTCCCAATAACGAGGATTTTCAAGACTTGCATACATTCAAAATGGAGAGGCAAAATCTGAGGAAGGCATGTGCATTCCTATGGCATTTTGGCCTCAAACCTGCTGAAGCCATCGTGTGTAAGAAATAGCTTCAGGGAAATATAACTACACTGATCCTGTACCAAATACATTTATAAGAAACAAGCAGGAAACACTCAGCTAGAATCACCCTCAAGAAGTTATTAGTGCCATCAATTCTGTGGTAGCTTTGCTCCATTGAGTCTTCTGTACCTCGCTCTTTAACACCCTACGTGAAAAACCATCATGGCCTCCGTGCGCTCTGGAATCACCTTTCTCCACCAGTGTTCTCCAGATGTGTGACAGGAAATGGAGCCAGGGAGGGTTCCAAGGTCAAACGAGGTAACAGGCAGAATCTATTCTCTCTTTACTGAAGTGTCTGAGAAATCTGTCATTATTTCTCTCTCTGCCTCATGTGCACAATAATCTAAGATTTCCTAAACTATTTGACTATGAAATCCTTTATTTTTCTTTTCTTGTATAGCATTTTTGCTAACCACATAAATTATTTTTAAAACCCTTTCATTTGTATTAGCTACCCTCATCCTTAGGCCCACCATTTGAAGAAGGCAAGTTATATCTTATTTTACGTCTTTGAGAG